>NC_000005.10:157579505-157882536 GCF_000001405.40 Homo sapiens
TCAGCACTACGTCTATTAAATTGGAAAGATACAGAGATTACCCTGGCTCCTGTGCAAGGATGACATGAAAATTCATGATGCATTCTATACTTTAAAAGTAAAAAATAAAGAGTATAGGCCAGGATCATCTCTGCAATGAGGGTCTATGACTCACAATTAGATTATAGTCCTGCTGTAGGCAGGTGAAAGAAGGGCAGAAGAAGGTCAGATTCTGTTTCCTGACACCTGTTTCTGAGGCCTAAAGTGCCCCAACATCATAACAAAAGACTATAACAAGGGCTATGGGAGATATGAGCCAGGAACCGTGGATTAAAACCAATATACATATGTATCATAATATCACAGCAATTCAGCTGAACCCTTTGCCACGTTGTAAGTAGTATTGGGGTTCAGAAACCAATATCCCAAGATATGGCACTTTGACACATTAAACTAAAGAAGTCTTAAGGTCTCTTTGACCTTCCCCCACACTCTCCTGTCTCTCAATCCTTTGTCTCTCCCAAAGCACAGCATGAAGTTGTTCTCTGAAGTTCCCTTATGTGCCTAAAGTCTGGACCTGCCAAAGAAGACAACAGTCTCGGGTGCCTTCCCTGTGTTTTCATTAACTGCATTCATATCGCAGGAAGACTGAAGTCTGTCAATACACCTGAACAGACTTTTGTCACAAACCATTGTCAGGTCTGTGGGCCAAAAGACTCTGTCCTAGGCCATTGTATGTTCTTCAAGCCCACTGAATTCCCCTAAAAATCAAGTACTATCCCCCAAAAATCATCCGCACTCCCCTATCTCCCTTTCCCCTAAGAAGTAGGGTATATAAACGTCCATACCCCAATGGGATATTGGACAATCACTCTGTGATTCTCTCCCATGCATGCTAATAAATTTGTATGCATTGTCTCCAGTTAATCTGCCTTTTGTGAGTTGATTTTTTGCTGAAACTTCAGAGGGCAAAGGGGAAGTTTTCCCTTAGCCCCTGCACAAGAATCACCTTTCCTCCAGTTTCCAATAACATGTTCCTCATTTCCATCGTAGACCTCACCAGAATAGCTCTTAATATTCATATTTCTACTAATATTCTGTTCCTGGTGATATATGCATTCCCTAAGATGACAGAAGCTTTCTCTATAGCTCTCCTCCTGTCTTCCTGAGCCCTGGCCAGAATCGCCTTTAACATCTACACTTCCATCAACAGTCCTTCAAAGCAATCTTGGCTTTTTCTAGCATGCACCTCAAAGCTCATCCAGCCTCTACCGATTACCCGGTTCCAAACTCACTTCTGCATTTTTAGGTATTTTGTTATAGCATAGCCCACTTCTCAGGATCAAAACCTGTATTAGTCTGCTAAGGCTGCCAAAACAAAATAGCACAGACTGGTGGCTTAAACAACAGATTTTTTTTTTTTTTTTTTTTTTTTTTTTGAGACAGAGTCTCTCTCTGTTGCTCAGGCTGGAGTGCAGTGGTGCGATCTTGGCTCACTGCAACCTCTACCTCCCAGGCTCAAACGATCCTTCCACTTCCCGAGTAGCTAGGACTACAGGCGCACACCACCACACCTGGCTAATTTTCGTATATTTTTGTTGAGATGGGGTTTTGCCATGTAGATGAAGCTGGTCTCAAACTCCCGGGCTCAAGCAGTCCTCCCTCCTCAGCCTCCCAAAGTGCTGGGATTACGGGCGAGAGCAACCACACCCGGCCAGAAATTTATTTTCTCACAGTTCTGGAGGCTAGAAGTCCAAGCTCAAGCTTCCATCAGGCTTGCTTTCTGGCAAGGCCTCTCTTCCTGGCCTGTAGAATGGCCACCTCCTCACTGTGCTCTCACACGGCCTCTTCTCTGCACATGCAGTGAGACAGAGAGAGAGTGGAGGGGATGCGCTGGTGGGTCTCTTCCTCTTATTATTTTATCTTATTTTATTTTATTTTTGAGATGAAGTCTTGCTCTGTCACCCAGGCTGGAGTACAGTGGCACAATCTCAGCTCACTGCAACCTCCACCTCCCGGGTTAAACAATTCTCGTGTCTCAGCCCCCCGAGTAGCTGGGATAACAGGTGTGTACCACCACGCCCAGCTAATTTTTTGTACTTTTAGTAGAGATGGGATTTCACCATGTTGGCCAGGCTGGTCTCGAACTCCTGACCTCAACTGATTCACCCGCCTCGGCCTCCCAAAGTGCTGGGATTACAGTTGCGAACCACCGCGCCCAGCCTCTCTTATTATAAAGACATCAGTTCTATCGGAGTAGGGCCCCTCCCTCGTGACCTCATTTAACCTTCATTACCTCTGTAGAAGCCCTATCTCCAAATCCAGTCACATTGGGGGTTAAGGTTCCAACGTATGAATTTGGGGGGTGGGAGAGACAAATGTAGTCTATAATTATGGCTATAACCCTAGAGCCATGAGACTAAAATTCTAGTCCCAGTTTTCTCTCTAACCACCTCCGTGACCTTGGGTAGGTGACTTCTCCTTTCTGGGACTGAGTTTCTGCTGAATAACTTGGGAACGGGAAAGGCTGCCGCCAGTGCATCTCACCCAGGAGCTGTGATGAGCAATTGAGATGATGGAAGTGAAAGTTCCGTGACAAGTGGAAAATGCTGAAGTGCCATGCCTAACTGACTTTGTAGACAGGTCTCCTTGCAAAAGACATAGAAACTCCATTCTCAAAGTTCCCTTCCCTTTACTGGCACTCAACTGATCAATATTTAAGTAGCATGTAGGCCTGAAAATTGGGAGGTAGCTCACAAGACAAAAAGTCCAGTGATTCATGCATGACCAAGAAGTCACAGAGTTCCCAGTGTCGTCTCATCCTACTCGTCCTCCCTACTTATCCACAGGAACGAGTATATATACAGCTTTGACCTCATAGAAGCCTTCCCATGTATTTGTAAAGAACATATATGTTATTTATAAAGAATATTAAGTCGCTACATAATCTTTGAGATATTCGTGACATTTAACCTAGTAATTACATTTCTGGGAAACGATCCTAAAAAAATAATCTGCAGTGCACACACAGATTTATGGACTAGAATGCTCATAATTGTGTTATTTATAATAGTGAAAATATTGGAAACAACCTAAATATTCAACTGTGAAAGAACAGTTCATAAATTATAGAATATCCATAAGATGGATTATTATGCGGCCACTTAAAATGATGGGAGTTTCTGCTCTGATGGTAGGTGAAAAAAAGCAGGGTCCAAAATTACATTTAAGTCTGATCTCAGCTATGTAAATAAAAGACATTTTTAAAAAGACTAGAAGGAACTGTGCCAAAATGTTAACAGTGGTTACCTCTGCATGGTAAAACTATGGATGACAGGGGTTTTTTTGGTTTGGTTTTGTTTTCCTGTTTGTTCTTTCTCTCTCTTTCATTTTCTACAATAGTGAAGTACAGTCATGCATTGCTTAATGACAGGGATACATTCTGAGACCCATCATTAGGGGATTTTGTCATGGGAACATCATAGCGTGCACTTACACAAACCTAGATGGCATAGCCTGCTATACAACCAGGCCATATGGTATAGCCTATTGCTCCTGGGCGACAAACCTGTACAGCATCCTACTGTACTGAATACTGTAGGCAACTGTAACACAATTGTAAGTACTTGTGTATCTAAACATAGAAAGTACAACGCAGTGTGCTACGACGGTACTTGTGTATCTAAACATAGAAAGTACAACGCAGTGTGCTACGATGGGCTATGATGCCACTAGGGGACAGGAATGTTTCAGTCTTATGGGATCAGGCATCTGTCTGGTCCCTCGTTGACTGAAATGTCATTATATGACACATAACTATATTACTTTAGTCATGGGAAGGTGGGCAAGTGTTAAAAACAGAAAGGAACACAAAAGGAAAAAGAGTTTTTCCTGGTATGTTAAACAGAGAGTTTTGCAAACTTGACCTCTGTATATATGGCTGACTTTCTCCTCTGACGATGGGAAAACTGGGCTGAAGTTACAGCAACCAGTTCCAGAATGTGGAAGTTGAGGTGACACAGGTCACTGTTGATCTCTAGCTAGAGTATACTATTAATATTATGCTTAGGAAGTGGCCATCCTGCCAGGGGTTAAATCCCTTTTCTGTCCCTTCGTAGCTGTGTGAACTTGGGCCACTAAATTTTTCTGCGATGTTGTTGTCTCATCTATAAAGGACAATGATAATGACAGTTTTTGTGAGCCTTAAATGGGTATTTAGAATGGCACCCATCACAGAGTAGGCAGTCAATGCATGCTAGCCAGAATTACCCTCCTTCTACTGCTAGTGAGTACTAAGAGGTGTGGTGTTATTTATAATGCCTAGCTTGTGCTTTTAGTTGTATAATGTGTGAAGAGTCTAATTATACTCGTTCTCTAATTATTATCAATGATAATAGTCATGTTATACTATTATTGTCTTTTTCCTATCCCCTCTCCCTAGATCGTGAGCCCCTTGTGAATAAGAGCTGGACCTTGTTCTTCACTCAGCCCTCCAGCATTTGGGAGACACAATCAATGTTTAATTAAACAAATTAGAATTAAACAATTAATAATAATTATCTCATCCTGGCTCAGCGCAAACTTTCAAGCCCCTCATTGAAGAATCATCTTTGTTGAGTCCCTGTTATGGGAATAATGTTGGACCAGTGATAACTTTGCTTTGTGAACTATTTTCTCAGCAACTTGCTCTTTTCTTTAAAGTTCCGTTTACTTAGGTATAATTTACATATATTAACATTCTCCATTTTTTAAATCTATGGTTCCATGATTTTTGACAAGCACACACAGTGGAATAACCACTTGCACAGTCAAGACCACACCAAAAACTTTCCTCCTATCTCTTTGCATTCAGCCACTCCCCTCACTCCTGGAATCACTGGTCTATTTTACGTCCGTCTCAAGTTGCCTTTTCCAGAATGTCATATAAATAGAACTACACAGGATATAGACTCTGGATATGGTTTCTTTCACTTAGCTTAGTGCATTTAAGATTCATCCAGGTCTCTGCATTATCAATATTTCCTTCCTTTTTATTGTTCAGTAGTACTCCATTGTATAGATGTATCATTGTGGGTTTATTCAGTCACCCGTGAAGGATATTTGGGTGTTTCAGTTTTTGATGATTATGAATAAAGTCACTATATATATATATTCAGGTTTTATGTTAACACAATCTTTCGTTTCTATAGGGTGAAAGCAATTCCAATGGGTATTGTGGTTAAGTGTATGTTTCACTTTACAAGAAACTGCAAAAAATATTTTCCAAAGTGGTTGTAAAATTTTGCCTTCCCACAAGCAGGGTATGAAAGTTCTGGTTGCTCTGCATCCTTGTCAGCACTTGGTATTGCCAGTTCTTTTGATTTTAGCCATTGTAATGGATGTGTAGCTTCTTAGCAATTATCTTGCTCTTCAAATACTCCATGATGTAGCCAGGTAGGATGATTATATCCATTTTGATGAAAGGAATTAAAGTCTAAATAGAGTCTTTTACTCAAGTTTTATGGATATATTAAAGACTTTAGTCTTTATTTCTGTTTTTTTTAAATAATTCACAAGAGAAGCAAATCTCCCTAAACCCTGGATAACTCACAAAGCTCTTGAAATCATTCATTCAGCAAGCATTCAATGAGTACCTATTATGTGCCCAGCATATGCTAAAATCTACAGAGATTCTGAGATAAGGTTTCCACTATAACAATTATGGTAGAGGGAGGCGCATAAAAGAAAGGAGCTGATAGGAACTGACAAGTAAATTAAGTGACCGATTACAGAGGAGGATCAAGTTTATTGACATATGACTTTTGTCCTTTGATTTGTCAGCATTGGGTACTGTCACCAACGTGGTGCATAATAACTACTATCATATCTGGAGCACCCTGATTGGTTCCAAGCACAGTGCCTACATCATCTCATTTAATGCCCATAATAGTCCCATGAAGAGATCTTAGGTTAAACTATGAGGAAGTGTTGATTTTGTAGGTCAGAAACAGTTAAGCATTGGTAATGTCATATGGTTCAACTGAATAATAATAGTTACTATTGATTGGACAAAGCTTACAATGTGCCCAGTGCATTATCTCATTTTATCCTCTCTGGTAGGTACTACTGATACTCCTACTTTACAGATGAGGCAACTGTGCCTGGAGGTAGTGGTACAATGGGAACTAGAAAATATTCATATGGTAGCCAGGTTGGAGCTGAAGCCTGGATTCAAACCACAATGTGAGTAACATTAAAGTCACTGTCTATAACAACAGTGCTACTCTGATATTACCATAGATGAGCAAACTGAGGCCTGAAGAGGTGATATTGCCTGAGGGGGCCATGGACTGTCATACCAAGGTTCATGGGTCATCCCAGCTTCAAACTCCTGGCCAAATAAGTTTTTCTCATTGCCTCGTCACTCTGGAAATTGGGCTGAATTCAGGAGGCCTGTCCTTGGAAACACTTAACATCTGAATGATGCCCCCTTAGCTCAAAGAACAGCCAGTAAAGAGGCACCAATGCCTATTTTCTCCCATTTGACCCTAATAGAAACATTTTTTTAATTAATAAACTTTATTTTTAGAGAAGTTTTAGGTTCATAGCAAAATTGAGAATCTAGTACAGAGAGTTCCCATGTATCTTCTGGCACACATAAACAAAACCTCTCCCCCAACTATCTATATCTCGCACTGTAGATTTGTTACAATTGATGAACTTATATTGACACATCATCACCCCAAATTCATAGTTTACCTTAGGCTTCACTCTTGACACATTCTATGGGTTTTAATAAATGTATGCCATGTATCCACCATTACAGTGACATATGGAATAGTTTCACTGCCCTAAAAATCCTCTGTGTTCTGCCTATTCATCCCTTCCTCCCCACTAATTCTTGACCATCGCTAATCTTTTTTACTGTCTTCACACTTTTGCCTTTTCCAGAATGCATGCAGTTGGAATTGCACAGCATGAAGCCTTTTCAGACTGGCTTCTTTCAGTTAGTATTGGCATCTAAGTTTCCTCTATGTCTTTTCATGGCTTGATAGCTTACTTCTTTATTCCATTGTCTATATATACTGCAGTATATATATTAATTCCCCTATTAAAGGATATTTTGGTTGCTTCCAAGTTTTTGGCAATTATGAATAAAGCTAGATTATGAATAAACATTAGTGTGCAGGTTCTTGTGTGGACATAAGTTTTCAATTCATTTGAGTAAATACCAAGGAGCCTGATTGCTGGATGGTAAAATAAGAGTATGTTTAGTTGTGTAATAAACTGCCAGACTTTGGTGGGATGCAGTGGCTCATGTCTGTAATCTCAGTACTTTGGGAGGCCTAGGTAGGTGGATCACCTGAGGTTGGGAGTTTGAGACCAGCCTGGCCAACATGGTGAAACCCCGTCTGTACTAAAAACACAAAAATTAGCCAGGGGTGGTGGCACATGCCTGTAATCCCAGCTACTTGGGAGGCTGAGGCAGGAGAATCACTTGAACCTGGGAGGTGGAGCTTGCAGTGAGCTGAGATCAAGCCACTGCACTCCAGCCTGGGTGACAGAGTCAGACTCCATCTCAAAAAAAATAAAAATAAAAAATAAAATAAACTGCCAGGCTGTCTTTCAAGGTGGCTGTGCCATTTTGCATTTCCACCAGCAATGAATGAGGATTCCTATTGCTCCACATCCTCATCGGCATTTGATCTTGTCAGTGTTTTGGATTTGGGCCATTGTAATAGCTATGTAGCGGTATCTTGCTGTTTTAATCAACAATCCTCTAATAACATATGATATTGAACATCTTTTTATATGCTTCCTTTCCATCTGTGTATCTTCTTTGGTAAGGTGTCTGTTCAGGTCCTTTGCCTATTTTTCATTTGGGTTGCTAATTTTCTTATTGTTGAGTTTTAACAGCTCTTGATATTTTTGGATAAATGTTGTTTATCAGATATGTTTTCTGCAAATATTTTCTCCCAATTCATGGCTTATGTTCTCATTCTCTTGATATTGTCATCACACAGCAGAAGTTTGTATTTATTTTTATTATTATTATTATTTGAGACAAGATCTGGCTCTATCACCCAGGCTGGAGTGCAATGGTGCACTCTTGGCTCAATGCAACCTCTGCCTCTGGGCTCAGGCCATCCTCTCACCTCAGCCTCCTGAGTAGCTGGGACTACAAGCACGTGCCACCATGACCAGCTAATTTTTTTTTTTTTTTTTTTTTTTTTGGAGAAACCAGGTTTCACCTTGTTGCCCAGGTTGGTCTCAAACTTGGGAGCTATAGCCATCCACCCACCTTGGTCTCCCAAAGTGATGGGATTACAGATAGAAGCCACCACACCTAGCCAGAAATTTTTAATTTAATGAAGTCCAGCTTATCGATTGTTTCTTGCAAGAATCATGCCTTTGATGTTGTGTCTAAAAAGTCATCACCATACCCAAGATCATCAAGTTTTCTCCTATGTTGTATTCAAAGAGTTTCACAGTTTTGCATTTTATATTTAGGTCTATGATCCATTGTGAGTTAATTTCTTAAAGAGGGTAAGATCTGTGTCTAGATTCTTTTTTTTTTACATATGGGTGTCTAGTTTTTTTGTTGTTGTTGTTGAAATGACTAGCTTTACTCCATTGTATTTGCCTTTGCTTCATTGTCAAAGATCTGTATTTTATGAGTTTTATTTTTGGGTTCTACTACTCCTCATTGATCTATTTCTCTATTCTTTCTCCAACACCACAGTCTTGACCGCTATAGCTTTATAGTAAGGCTTGACAGGTCCTCCAACTTCGTTCTCCTTCAATATGGAGTCGGCTATGCTGGGTCTTTACCTCTCCATATAAACTTTAGAATCAGTTTATTGATATCCAAAAAATAACTTGTTTTTTTTTTTAATACAGTTTCACTCTGTCGCCCAGGCTGGAGTGCAGTGGCATGATCTCAGCTCACTGCAACCTCTGCCTCCAGGGTTCAAGCAATTCTCATGCTTCAGCTTCCTAAGTAACTGGGACTACAGGTGCTCACCACCATGCCCAGCTAATTTATTTTTTCTTTTGTATTTTTAGTAGAGATGGGGTTTCACCATGTTAGCCAGGCTGATCTCAAACTCCTGGCCTCAAGTGATCCACCCACCTTGGCCTCCCGAAGTTCTGGGATTATAGGCATGAACCACCACACCCCGCTATTTTTTTTTTAATGGAATTGTGTTAATTCTACAGATCAAGTTAGGAAGAATTGGCATCTGGACAATAATAAGTCTTCACATTCAGAACATAGAATAGTTCTCTATTTATTTAGTTTTTTTAGTTTTTGTAGTTTTTCTCATCTAGATCTTGTACATATTTTGTTAGATGTATACCTAAGTGTTTCATTTTGGGGAAGGTGCTAATATAAATGGCGTCGTAGTCTGCTTTCTGTTGCCTGCAACAAAATACCTGAAAACTGGGTAATTGATAATAAAGAAACGCATTTGTTAGAATTGTGGAGGCTAAGAAGTCCAAAGTTGATGAGCAGCATATGGTGCAGGTTATCTTGCTGGTGGGGACTGTCTGCAGAGTCCCAAGGTGACACAGGGTAGCACATGATGAGAGGACTCAGCATGCTAGTCCAGTTCCCTTCTCCTCTTATAAGCCACCAGTCCCTTCCCATGATAACCCATTAATCCATTAATCCATGAATAGATTAACCCATTCATGAGGGCAAAGCCTCTTAAAGGCCCCTCCTCTCACTACTGCCGCATTGTGGATTAAGTTTCAACATGAATTTTTGAGGGGACAAACATTCAAACCAAAGTCATATGTTTTTAATGCAAATTCCAATTGTTCATTGATGGTATATAGAAAAGTGACTAACTTTTGTATATCAACCTTGTATCTTGTAACCTTGCTATAATTACATATTAATTCCAAGAGTGGTTTTGGTTATTTTGTTTGTTCTGGTTAATTCTTTGAAATTTTCTTTTTTTTTTTTTTCTTTTGAGAAGAGTCTTGCTCTGTTGCCCAGGCTGGAGTACAGGAACTCCATCTTGGCTCACTGCAACCTCTGCCTCCCAGGTTCAAGTGATTCTCTTGCCTCAGCCTCCGGGGTAGCTGGGACTACAGGCATGTGCCACAACGCCCAGCTAATTTTTTGTATTTTTAGCAGAGACAGAGTTTCACCATGTTGGCCAGGCTGGTCTTGAACTCCTGGCCTCAAACGATACATCTGCCTTAGCCTCCCAAATTGCTGGGATTATACAGGCATGAGCCACCATGCCTGGTGAAAGTATTTTTTTAAATCTCCAAGTATCTGGGGATTTTCCACCTATTTTTCTGTTATTGATTTCTAATTTCATTCAGTTGAAATCTGACTGCAGCCTTTGTATACCTTCTATTATTTTAAATTTGTTAAGGTGTGTTTTATGGCTCAGAATGGGGTTTATCTTGGTGAATGTTCCATGACATCTTGAGAATGTATAAATCTGCTGTTGTTGAATGAAGTACTATTGGGTTCAACTATGCCCTTACTGATACTCTGCCTGCTTTATCTATCTGTTACCAACAGAGGAATATTGAGGTCCCCAACTATAATGGTGCCTTCATCTATTTCTCCTTGTTGTTCTATCAGCTTTTGCCTCACATAGTTTGATGCTCTCTGTTAGGTGCATACACTTTAGGACTGTTAGGTCTTCTTGGAATATTGACACCTTCATCATTATATAATGTCTCCCTTTATTCCTGATAACATTCCTTGCTCTGAAGTCTGCTCTGTTACACTACAATCGCTTTTGATTAGTATTAGCAGAGTGTATTTTTCTCTATCCCTTTCCTTTTAATCTATATGTGTCTTTATATTTAAAGTTGAGTTTATCGCGGACAACATGTGGTTGAGTCTTCTTTTTTGATCTACTCTGATCTGTCTTCTAATTGATATATTTAGATCTTTGACATCTAAAGTGATTGTTGATATAGATGAACTATTACCTATCATATTTGTTACTGTTTTCTATTTGTTGCCCTTATTCTGTTTTCCTATTTTTGTCTTTCATATTTTCTCTGGCTTTTGTGGCTTTGAGCATTTTTATGATTCTATTTTCTCTCCTTTTTTAGCATATCAAGTTGTCCTAGGGTTTGGAAAATACATTTACAACTAATCCAAGTCCACTTTCAAATAACACTCTACCACTTCCTGGGTAGTGTGAATACCTTATAATAACAAAATAGTCCTAATTCCTCCCATTCCTTGTATTATTGCTGTGATTCATTTCTCTGACAGATAATCATGTACATGTATATATAAACATTTATAATTGAATACATATGTTGCTATTATTATTTTGAACACAATGTTATCTCTTAGAAGAATTAAGAATAGGAAAAATAAAAGTTTCCATTTTATTGTCATTTATTTATTCTCTGTTGCTCATTTTTTCTTTATGTAAACCTAAGTTTCTGACCCTTTATCAATTTCATTCTCCCTGAAGAACTTTTAAAAAATATTTATTGGCTGGGCGTGGTAGCTCACGCCTGTAATCCCAGCACTTTGAGAGTCCCAGGCGGGTGGATCATGAGGTCAAGAGATCAAGACCATCCTGGCCAACATGGTGAAACCCCATCTCTACTAAAAATACAAAAATTAGCTGGGCGTGTAGTCCCAGCTACTCAGGAGGCAGGAGAATCACTTGAACCTGGGAGGTGGATGTTGCAGTGAGCCGAGATCACGCCACTGCACTCCAGCCTAGGCAGCTGAGCGAGACTCCATCTAAAAAAAAAAAAAAAAAAAAAAAATGCTTGCAAGCAGACTATTGGCAACAAATTCCTTCCATTTTTGTTTGAGAAAGTCTTTATTTCTCCCTAGCTTTTTTTTTTTTTTTTTTTTTTTTTGAGACAGAATCTCACTCTGTTGCCCAGGCTGAAGTGCAATGGTGCAATCTCAGCTCACTGCAACCTCTTCACCCCAGGTTCAAGAGATTCTCCCACCTTAGCCTCCCAGGTAGCTGGGATTACAGGTGTGCACCACCACTCCTGGGTAATTTTTTTTTTTTTTTTTAGTAGAGATGCTGTTTCACCACTTTGGCAAGGCTGATCTTGAACTCATGACCTCAGGTAATCCACCCACCTCGGCCTCCCAAAGTGCTGGGATTACAGGCGTGAGCCACTGTGCTCGGCCTCTCCTTTGTTTTTGAAGAATTCTGTACCATGGTGTACAGAATTCTGGATTGGTGGGATTTTCTCTTAACACTTTAAATATTACACTCAATTCTCTTCTTGCTTGTATGGTTTCTGAAAAGCTAGCTCCAATTTTTTGCTCTTCCTTAAATAAGGTGTTTTTTTCCCCCTGGTTTCTTTCAAGATTTTGCCTTTGTGTTTGATTTTCAGAAGTTTTATTATGATATGACTAGGTGTAGTTTTTCGTTTGTTTGTTCATTTTAACATATTCCTCGTGTGTGACTAGGTGTCCCTGTTTTTTGTTTGTTTGTTTGTTTACTTGGCATATATCCTGCCTGGTGTTCTCTGAGCTTTTTGGATCTGTGGTTTGGTGTCTGGCATTAATCTAGGGAAATTCACTATTGCTTCTGCTCCTTTCTCTTTTTCTTCTCCTTCTGGTATTTTCATTGTGTGTATCTGTACCTTTTGTACTTGTCTCACAATTACTGGGTATTCTGTTTTATTTTTTCAGTCTTTTCTTCTCTTTGTTATTCAGTTTTGCAAATTTCTATTCTCACATCCTCAGGCTCAGAGGTTTTTTTCTTAGCCATGTTCAGTCTACTCATGAGCCCATCATAGATTCTTCATTTCTGTAACAGTGATTTTAATCTCTAACATTTCTTTTTAATTCTTAGAATTCCCTCCTCTCTGTTTACATTATCTATCTGTTCTTGCATGTTGTCTCTTTTTCCATTAAAGCCCTCAGCATATTAATCATATTTAAAATGTTTTTCAGTTGGTTGGGCATGGTGGCTCATGCCTGTAATCCCAGCACTTTGGGAGGCCAAGGCAGATGGATCATCTAAGGTCAGGAGTTAAGACCAGCCTGGCCAACATGGTAAAGCCCTGTCTCTGCTAAAAATAACAAAAATTAGCGGAGTCTTTAGCAGTTTGTCAATTACAGTTCCAGTTTTCTTCCCCCAGCACCTCCCAGGAGGTTCCTGCTGGTGGGTTTCTGCTCTGATGTTATGATACTCTGTATCTATCTGTTTCTCCAATTTTGTGGGCAGCAGCTTGCCATATAACCTCACTTCTCCACTGGACATGAGAAGAGCTGATTTTTCAGTTCATCAAGCTTTTTACTTGTTGTTACGACCGAGTGGTGACTTCTAAGCTCCTTTCATGCAGGACTAGAAACCGGAAGTCAAATATTTTTAATAGATAATGATGCAAAATGTATCATAGGAGCCAGCTTCCTGCAGCTGTTTCCCCTCCTCAGCTAGCAGCCACCCTTCCCTAGGTGCTTTTTCCCCTTTCTAGATAAAGCCCTGGTGGGATTTAGAGGTTACACCAACCTTTTGCAGACATTTCACTCCATTATCTTCTTTGATCCATTCAAAAAGCCATGTGAACTGGGTGTTAGGATCCCATTTCACAGAAGAGAAAATTGGCATTTTAGGGGTAAACAACTTCCCCAAGGTCACACAGCCAGGACACAATTCCAAGAGGGAAAAGGAGGAAAAAAAGATAGAACCCTAGCATGGGAGTTTTCTCCCACGGAGATGACGTGGGGATACAGATTTCAGAGCAACAACCTTTTGCATTTATAGCCACACCCAAAGGACATCTGGGTCCATGAATTTTTCATTCAGCTCTATGCAAAGCGCTATGACTTGCCCTGGAAACAGAGGTTCCTGGGTAAGAGCCCCTGCCTTCTAGAGCCTCACTAGCCCAAGTGTGGTCCACAGACCAGCAGCATCAGCAGAACCTGGAGCCTATTAGAAATGCAGACTGTCAGTTCCCACCCAGACCTCTTGAATCAGAAGCTGCATTTTAATAAGATCCAAAAAAAAAAAAAAAAAAAAAACCCAAGGTGATTTGGCTGCTACTTAAAGTCTGAAAAGCATTGCTAGGAGACAGTCCAAACTTGATTTTACATATGGTAAGAGAAAACAAGTGTTTTCCTGGAACGGAAGCTAAGGATTGGAAAAGCCCAGAAAAAGAGAGATTGGATATAAACAAGGATCGTAGGAGGCTTCATGAAGGAGGGGTTTTGAAGTTGAGCCTTGAAGCAGAAAAGTGCATATGAACAAAAGTACAGAGATGGGAAGTGTTTAGTGTTTGGGGAAAGGCAAATGGCCTCATGTGACAAGAGGGAGAGAGCGGGAGGTGAAATTAAGAATAATAGGAGCAAATGGTCAAGGATGTTTTCTGTATGGATAATAAGGCAGCTGGAATCCTCTTTGTGAGAGGTCATGAGCTGGTGACCTGTGGGCCAACACAGTGTTGTAAAAATAATTTGGATTGTAGTTGTGTCCAAAATATTTTCAAAATGTTAAAAATTTAATTATCATAAAAATACATAGTGAGCATTTTCCAGGTTTTAATTAACTAATCAGAGAACCAGCAAGATCACCAAGGTGGTTCAAAAAAGGACAGGAAAAACTAGACAAAAGGAACTCTAAAATAAGATTGAGATCCAAACTGGTTAATAACCTACAGGGCAATAAAACTACATTCTTTGGGGTTATCTTCTCTACCAGACGATAATCGTTTACAGCTTTACTGGACAAAAAAAAAAAAAAATCATTGACAATTTATTCGTTTTCTGTAATTTAACATCCAACTTTACAGAGTTATAAAATGTCAGACCCCTAATTAATCACAAACAGTAAACAGCAGGTGAAACAATCTTGTGTTTCCCTGGAGTTAGACAATGCCCTGAACAGAAAAGACAGTGAGTGGTTAAGGGCAGTGATTCTCAAACCTAAGCTTAAAGCAAAATTCCCTGAAGGGCTCATTACAACACAGAATGCTGATCTCCAACCTCAGAGTTTCTGATTTAGTACATCTGGGGCAGACTGATGATTTGTTCTCAGTTGATGCAGATGCTATTTACCAGGGAAAACCCTTTGAGAACCACTGATCTTAGATGCCACTGAATGAAAGAAACTGCAGTCATTCTTTTGCCTCATTTCCAAATTTTGGATATTTTTTCTGAACAGTTGCCAAATGTTCAAAAATCAGAGAAAAAAAATTCCTGATTGTGGCTCTTATGAAAAATTAGAAAGTCAGACAATAGTAAGTCTAAATTCTCCCGTGGTGACAATTGCTTAAAGCTCAATATCAGTTGCTCCTTTTTTTTTTCACTAACCCTAACCTACATCACTCATTTATTTTGCTGGCATTTGATTTTGATATCCCTGCAAAACATGGTGGAAACACAATGCAGAATTTGGAGGAGGAACATGAGTGCAGCTGGTTAACACCTATCTCTGTATCACATCTGATCAGCTCAGGCACCCAGGGCTGGCTTCCCAGAAGTACAACCCAGGCAGTTGCACAGGGCATCATTCTCAGGAGAGCCTCACACTTGATTTAATGCTCTGGTATTGCCATTTTGCAATTCTTAATAATTTTTGGAGAAGAGGGTCTCACATTTTCGTTTTGCATTGGGACCCACATATCATGTAACTGTTTTGCAGCCACCTCAAAGTTTGGAATCCACACTTAAAGGTGACCCTCTCATCACCAGATTGCTAAGGAGAGGAGGAGGTAATTCCAGAATCAGAAACCTAGGGGATACTTTAGAAACCATCTTGCCCTGCAGATAGGGTCACCATTTCATTTTATAGCTAGGGCTACTAAGGTCCAGAAAGAGGAAATTGACTTCCTCAAGGTCATGGACAAATCCTGAAAAGGGAACCAGATTAAAAGTCTGAAGTGGTGAGTCTGCAAGGCTGTGAATACTAAGGCTGCCAGCAAGTTTATGTATCTGATATACCCCTGCATACCAATATGAAAATTCCTGTTTTTCACTTAGCTCAGTCAACTTTGGGTTGATCTGGTTGAAGCAGGAGAAGGATGTGGATAAAACGGGAAGAGTGGGGGTGTGATCTTTAAACAGATCAAGAAACTTGTATAAACAGACCCATTTAGAATAAGGATTGTGAAAGGAAAAAATCTTATATATGAACTCCACCCCTATGTTTGTTACAAAGGACAGATCTCCACCTAAACCCCTAAATAAACTGCAGAGGCAAAAGCATTCAGGAAAAACCCAGCAATATACTACCCAATTGAAAATGGCAATCAGCTCAACATCCCTAATCATCAGAGAAATGCAAATCAAAACTACGATGAGATACCACACTCTAGTCAGAATGGCTATTATTAAAAAGTCAGAAAACAACAGATGCTGGCAAGGCTGTGGAGAAAACGGAATGCTTATACATTGCTGGTGGGAATGTAAATTAGCTCAGCCACCGTGGAAAGCAGTTTGGAGATTTCTCAAAGGACTTAAATAGAACTACCATCAACCCAGCAATTCCATTACTGGGTATATATCCAAAAGAAAATAAATCATTCTACCAAAAAGACACATACACTCACATGTTCATTGCGGTGCTATTCACAATAGCAAAGACATGGAATCAACTAACCTAGGTGCCCACCAGTGGTAAATTGGATAAAGATAATGTGGTCCATATACACCATGAAATACTATGCAGCTATAAAAAAGAATGAAATAATGTTCTTTGCAGCAACATGGATGCAGCTGGAGGCCATTATCCTAAGCAAATTAACACAGGAACAGAAAACCAAATACTGCATGTTCTCATAAATAAGTGGGAGCTAAACATTGAGTGCATATGGACATAAATATGGAAACAATAGACAACGGGGACTACTAGAGGGGGAAGCGGTGGGGCAAGGGTTGAAAAAAAAGCTATTGGATACCATGCTTACTACCCGGGTAATGGGATCATTCACATCCCAAACCTCAGCATCATGCAATATACCCATGTAACAAACCTGCACATGTACCCCTGAATCTAAAATGAAAGTTGAAATTATTGTTTAAAATGGCAATCAATAAAGCACTTAATTTCAGCTGGCTCCACTTAGCCAGAGAACAGCTCGAAGACCTGTAGGTCTCGACTGCCTAGTTTTAGGTTAATGGCTGCACACACTCAGAAAGTCGAGTTCCTGCAGCTGGTTGAGTGGTAAGTTGAAGTGAGAATTAGGCAAATAAGTCAGCCCTTGCTCACATCTGCTCTTGTGGTCTGAGTGGGTGGATCTTCCTCTCCTCCCCAACCACTGCTCAGGAATAGTCAAGAACACAACGCCTGGGTGTAGAACTGCATCATTAAACCCACTGTGCTTGGCTCAGTGATGGGTATATGGCCCTAAGCTGGACCAATGGGCATCTTCCCCAAGACTCTTGACAGCTCTATCAAAAATTTGCTTTCTTCTCGTCTGAGATGGTAAGCAATATAAGTTTGGAGCTATGAGTTGTCTTCTTGCTGCCATGTCAGGAAAGAACCTGTCTAAAAAATGAAGTCAAACAGTGGTAAGAGGTATGGAGAAAGAGAGAGACAAGGTCCTAGTATTATTATTTGAACCTGTGGATTTAGCCATGCCTGAAGTCAGCCGCCTCAACTTTTCAACTACATGAGCCAATAATTTTCTTTTTTGCTCAAGCTAGTCTGAGTTAGAGGTCTGTCACTTGTGACTGAAAATATCTCAATCATGCAAAGGCCTCCTCCATTCTAGGCACTGTGCTAGCTGCTGGGATTATAAGAGTGGACAAAGACACATGTCATTCCTATCTTCACGGTACTTAGCATCTAGTGGGAAAGATGACAGTAAGCAAGTGAGCAAATACACATATACATAAAATATAATAATTACACATTGATATTTGTAAACAATTGATGCTAAAAGAGAGAATGAGAAAGGAGGACTACTTTAGACAGCATGGTGGGGTAAGGCTCTCTTGAGTTGTTTTTTGAGCTGAGAGTTTGTGGTTGGTATGAAGAACAGAGGGAAGAAAGTTTCAGGTGGCAGAGACAGCCACCATTCTCAGGCTTGAAAGGCCTCTATTCATTCCAGGACCTGAAAGAAGGCCTTCATTCATTCACCCATTCAACAAACATCTGTTAGACGGTGTCAAGTGCTAAGTACAAGGAGATAAAAGCAGCCCCTGGAGAGTTGATAAGAGACATTGAAAGCTATACAAATGTTTGAACCATGTTATTCAGCAATTCCACTTCTAGAAATTCAGTCAAAAGAAAATAACAGGAATTTCTGCAAAAACATAGCTATCAGGATGTTCATTGAAGCGTTATTTATTTTTTTAACTCTAATTGAAGTGCCACAAACATACTAAAAGAGTGCACATAGACCGGGTACGGTGGCTCACGCCTGTAATCCCAGCATTTTGGGAGGCCGAGGCAGGCGGATCACCTGAGGTCAGGAGTTAGAGACCAGCCTGGCCAACATGCCGAAACCCCATCTGTACTAAAAATACAAAAATTAGCCGGATGTGGTGGTGCATACCTGTAATCCCAGCTACTCAGGAGGCTGAGACAGGAAAATTACTTGAACCCAGGAGGCGGAGGTTGCAGTGAGCCGAGATCGTGTCACTGCCCTCCGGCCTGGGTGACAGAGCAAGACTCCGTCTCAAAAAAAAAAAAAAGGATGTACATATCACAGTAAACAGTTCAACTATTTTCACGGCCTGAACACACCCACATTATCGAAAAAGAAAAGAGAACATGCCCTGCACTCCAGAAGTCCCCTTTTGCCACCTTCTAGTCACAAATCCCCCTTTAAGCAAGGGTAACTACTAGCCTGACTTCTAATAATATAGATTAATTTTGCCTCTTTTTACTTTATATAAATAGAATCATCCAGTATGTAACTTGGGGGAAAGGGATATGGGAAGGTCTTGGCTTCTTTTGCTTAAGTTTTGTGTTTGTGAGATTTCACTATATCGTTTATGTAGTTATAGATTGTCTGTTCTGCATAGTATTCCATTATCAGAATGAACCACAGTTTAGTCATCCGTTCTACCATTTATAGATATTTGGGTTGTCTCTAGACTGAGACTATTACAAACAGTGCTGTTGTGAGCATTCTTTTGGTTAATATATATTTGCATTTCTTTTAGGTATATACCTAGGACTGACATTGCTGAGTCATAGTATATGATCAGCTTTAAAAGATATTGTTAAACAGTCCAAGAAAATGGTTGTATCCATTCATACCTCAATCAACTTTGTAAGAGAGTTCTGGTTTCTTCACATGGTTGATAACACTTGACATTTTCCATTTTTAAAAAAAATTTAGCCATCTGGTGGGTTTGTGTTGGTACTGACTTTTGGTTTCAACTTTCATTTTCCTGATAGTGAATAAGATGATTAGTGAAAATCTTGTCATCTCTTTGTTGGCCATTAGATATCCCCTTTCCCAAGGAGCCTGTTCAAGTCTGTTTTCCATTTTTCAAGTGGGCAAGCTGTTTTTTTCTGTTGGTTTGCAGGAGTTCTTTAAATATCCTGGCTACAAGCCTTTGGTCAGTCATATATATGAAAATATATTCTTCCACTTTACAGGGTACGTCCTTACTCTCCTTTGATACAAAGCAATTCTTAACATTAATATCTTAGAATTCATCATTTTTATGAGCACTACTTTTTGTATCCTATTTAAGAAATTGTTGGCCAGGTGCTGTGGCTCATGCCTGTAATACCAGCACTTTAGAGGCCAAAGCAGACAGACCTCTTGAGCCCGGGAGCTTGAGACCAGCCTGGGCAACATGGCAAAACTCCGTCTCTACAAAAAAATACAAAAATTAGTTGGTCATGGTGGCCCAGGAGGATCACTTGAGCCCGAGAGGCAGAGGTTGTAGTGAGCCAAGATCACGCCACTGCACTCCAGCCTAGATGACAGAGCGAGACCTTGTCTCAAAAGAAAAGAAAAGAAAAGAAAAGAAATTGTTTCCCACCCCAGGAGCAGAAAAATATTCTCCTATGTTTTTCTCAAAAAACTTTACTACATTCATTTTACATTTAGATCTATAACCTATCTGAAATTTATCTTTATGACGTGAGGTAGAGATCAAGATAATTTTTTCCATATGGCCGTGTTTCCCAAATGGTGCACCAAGTCACCCTTGGGCACTGCAGTAAACTCACAGAGGGGCCATGGGACATTTTACCTTTTTGAGGGAAGCACAGTGACAACTGTTGGATACCATATAAACTGTTAGCTGGAAATCGTTCACAGTTTCAATGTTAAATCATACTCCATTCCCTTCAATGACATGATATTTTTGCAAAGCAGGGTTTTTTGAGGTTGCTATGATAAAAAGTAAATGCCATGTGAAATCAGGAAATGAAAATGATGATGTTGTCTGATTCCAAGACCTGAGAAACTGTGTAGTCCTCAACAGGAGCACAGTCTACAGTCTATTGGTCAATATTGTGGTTACTTAAAAACAAAATATTTTTTCTTTCAATTTACAAGTATTTTTTTCCAAACGATTACTACGTTGTTAAGATATAATTATTCATTAAGTTGTTTGGATCTAACTACTTAATAAATAGAACTGTTAAGTATTTCTTTTTCTTTCGTTCATTCTTTTTTTTTTTTTGACAGTCTTGTTCTGTCGCCCAGGCTGAAATGCAGTGGCATGATCTCAGCTCACTGCAACCTCTGCCTCCTGGGTTCAAGTGATCCTCCTGCCTCAGCCACCCAATTAGCTGGGATTACAGGCATGTGCCACCATGTCCAGCTAATTTTTGTACTTTTAGTAGAGATGGGGTTTCACCATGTTGGCCAGGCTGGTCTCGAACTCCTGACCTCAGGTGGTCCACCTGCCTTGGCCTCCCAAAGTGCTGGGATTAAGAACTGTTAGGTATTTCTTTTGACTGAGGGTTGCCATGAAAAAAATTACTGAGACACTAAAGTTACCATATATGGAGAAAGTGTGGGAACCTTCCTGAGACAGACAGACTCCAGGGCAGTCCCCACAGTTTCCACCCTAGTGTTTGTGTTCTTCTGTGATCCCTGCTCTTGAGTGTGGATGGAATCCCTGACTTGCTTCTAAGCCACAGAATACAGCAAAGGTGACTGATGTATGTGATTGTATGTACAGTACATGACTGTGTTACATTAGACTGTAACACCCAATTTGGGAGGAGACTGCCTCCCTTGTTGGCTTTTAAGAAGCAGGCTGCCTTGTTGCGAGTTACTCTGGGGAGAGGGCCATGTGTCAAGGAGGTGAGGGCAGCCTTAAGCCAACAGCCAGCAACTAACTCAGGCCCTCAGTTTCCATCCTGTAAGGAACTGAATTCTGCCAATAACCACACAAGTTTGAAGCAAGTCTTCCCTGGTCCAGCGTCAGAAAAGACTGCAATGCTGGCCACCACCTTTTTATTTTTTAAGATGAGGTCTTGCTCTTTGCCCAGGCTGGAGTGCAGGGGCACAGTCACAGCTCATTGCAGCCTCCAATTCCTGGATGCAAGTAATCCTCCTGCCTCAGCCTCCTGAGTAACTGGGACTACAGATGCACACGACCACTCCCAGCTATTTTTTTTTTTTTTCCAGAGACAGGGGCTTGCTATCTTGTCCAGGCCGGTCTTGAATTCCTAGCCTCAAGTGATCCTCCCACCTTGGCCTCCCAAAGTGCTGGGATTACAAGCATGAACCGCTGCACCTGGCTGCTGGCCAACACTTTGACTGCAGCTTTGTGAGACCCTGAAGCAGAGGGCCTGGGTAAGCCATGCCCAAACTCTTGTCTACAGAAACTGTAAGATAATAAGTGTGTGTTGTGTTAAGGAGCAAGTTTGTGGTAATATTGTTACCCAGCAATAGATAACAAATGCACTCACCATATAGATAACTGACTGATCCAGCATCATCTAATGAAGAGACCATTCTTTGTAGTGTCTAGTCTTTTTCATAATAGAAGTAGAAACCCCCAAAATTTCTTTCTTAAAAAGTGTGTTTTATTAGGCCGGGCATGGTGGCTCACGTCTATAATCCCAGCACTTTGGGAGGCCGAGGCAGGTGGATCACTTGAGGTTGGGAATTCGAGACCAGCCTGACCAACATGGAGAAACCCCATCTCTACTGAAAATACAAAATTAGCCGGGCATGGTGGCGCATGCATGTAATCCCAGCTGGTCAGGAGGCTGAGGCAGGAGAATCGCTTGAACCCAGGAGGCAGAGGTTGTAGTGACCTGAAATCGTGCCACTGCACTCCAGCCTGGGCAACAAGAGTAAAACTCCATCTCAAAAAAAAAAAAAAGTGTTTTTTTCCTTCTTTTTTTGTTTTCCTAGGCTCTTAAAAACCACCAAAATTTCTAATAAAAGTTTGATTAATAGACCATGATATATTTCGTCCACATGACAGAGTAATAGACAACCCATAAAAATTATGTGGAAAATATCTAGTAACATGAAAACGTTTTCACAGTAGATTACTAAGTGAAAAATATGAGTTTAAAATTGTACATTCAATTATATTCTACTTGTGTAAAATGTGAGTATTATGTGTATCTGCATTGTTAAAAGACTGTTTAAAAATGCCTTTGGGAGAGAGAGGATTACAGGTGTTCAACAACTTTTTTGTGTGTTTTTAAAATTTTCTACAGAGAAATTGCCAACAAATTTCCTATAGAGAGATCATATTAGTTTATACACATACATATTCATACACATTTTTTTCCTTAAAATAGAGATGAGGTCTTGCTATGTTGTCCAGGCAGGCCTCAAACTCCTGGCTTCAAGTGATCCTTCCTCCTCAGCCTCCTAAACTTCTAGGATTACAAGTATGAGCCTCCATACCTGGTCCACATACTTTTTAAATTAAAAAAAAAAAAACAGTCCCTGTGTTGAAGGAATTTATAGGAGACAGGGTGTAGACAAATAAGAATGCTGTAACATTAGAGACTATATATTCAGGACCCTTTAGAGACCCAATGGAAACCATCTTAACACAGAAGGGAAGATATTGGCTCATGGACTTTGATTGGCCTTGCTTGGGTTATATGCCATCCTTGGATCAATTACAAAAGACAGAATATGGCATTCTAGGCCAAAATCAGGAGCCTATGCTACAAGCCCTGCCTGTTGTCAGCACCCTGTGGCAAGGGGTGGGAGACGGCAAGATCTTCCCCCTTTTCCCAAAAAAGGGTGCCAGAAGAAGGGGGATGAGGAAGGTAATTGTGGGAGACCAAGCATGAAGCAGTTAGTTTTGCCTGGAGGAGAGGGGCAAAGGCACAGAGGAAGTGATACTCATGCTGAGTGTTCAAAGACGGAGAGGTGTTTCCAGGCAGCTAGCGTCAGGAGGGCATCTGTAGAGGAAGAGGGGGAGTGTTATGAGCAATGGGGAAGGGAGCCAGAGAGATAGTCAGAGGCGAGATCTGGATGTGGCTTCTGGGTCAGGTGAAGGTGTTGAGCCTTCATTCTGAGGGTCATGGGGAGCCCCCAAAATAAAGATGAGGACATGTGTGTTTGGTTGCCTTTGCTTCTGCAGCAAAATACAGTGCCTGGCAAACACTTTTACAAGCAATGATAGTAATAATATGGCTGCCTCCTGCACTAGACTCTATGACTCTCTGATGGCCATGAGGAGGACGGATTTGGGGGCTTTTGACAATAGCCTCCACTAAACCAGTGTGTTTCCAATGTTTTTGACTGTGATCCTCAGTAGGAAATACATTTTACATTACAATTCAACTAAATTTCACTGAATTATGTTAAAAAAAATCCCCGCCCTAGACTACCAACTCCATCTTGGCAGTGACCATGACTTATAACTCTTGATAATTACCATAGGTTTGATGTCTGGTGAACTGTCTCATGGTGGGCCCATAATATTACTGTTACTACTAAATTCATATTTACTGAATGAACAGGTGCAGATGTCGATAAATGATTCAAAATATTTGCAAACTACAGAGAGTTATACAGGTGCGAACAATTGATGTTGGCAACTAACTCAGACACATATTGATGAGCCTGTATGTTAGACCAATTGCCGGAGCAGGCAGCGGGAGGTGATGCTGAGGGCAGAGGAAGGGGGTAGAGGGAATTTACTGCCCATGGAGGGTGGTTCTCCATGCACCACATTTCAATGATTCATGCTACTTCCTGGGCCACAGTTCTCCTCCATAACCGCACATCCTTTTTCACAGACTGTGAGTGATTTCAATAGTATATGAAAACTATGACTCAGAGGCTGGAAATCAAAGGGTTTTCTTTGAAGGCCGGAAAAATTTCATCTCAAAGAAAGTGCAACAAACGCACAAGGTAGTCTTTTTCTCTGAATAGAGACATGGGTTTAAAACTAGGAATAGTAAATGACACAGGCACAGAGACGGGAAAAAAGCCACTGTTGTAGATATCTTGAAAGTGCATTTGGCTCACGGAGGGTCTCCAGGGACCACTTAAGCCCATCATTTCCATCCCACCTATTGAAGCTTATTGATTAGTACAGTCGCAAAACCCTTCCCATGTGTTCTCTGTAACCAAAGTTCTCTAAGTAAAAAGCAAAGCCCAGGAAACAGCTTTAAAAGGAGAAGTTTACCTAAAGATGAGAAATACTAACTGGGGCTGAGCACTGGCTTCCTCCCAATGTCAATATTCCTGCAAGGTTTAAGGATTGGGATCCCATTTGAAGAAGCACTTGTCGGAAGAAATAATGATGTTCTGTCTTTTTCAAAGAGTCGGAAACCTTTGTGATGAACAAAGTCATAATTAAAGACCTTTAGTTCAGGATTGCACTAACAGTTTGATAGTTACGGATGACTGAGGAGAAATTTCCAATACCAATTATATGGAGCCTCTTTCTTTCTTTCTTTCTTTCTTTCTTTCTTTCTTTCTTTCTTTCTTTCTTTCTTCTTTTTTTTTTTTGAGACGGAATTTCACTTTTGTTGCCCAGGCTGGAGTGCAGTGGGGCGATCTCGGCTCACTGCAACCTCTGTCTCCTGGGTTCAAGCGATTCTCCTGCCTCAGCCTCCCGGGTAGCTGGAATTATAGGCATCTGCCACCAGGCCTGGCTAATTTTTTGTATTTTTAGTAGGGACGGGGTTTCACCATGTTGGCCAGGCTGGTCAAGAGCTCCTGACCTGAGGTGATCCACCTGCCTCGGCCTCCCAAAAGTGCTGAGATTACAGGCGTGAGGCCTACATGGATCCCTTTTCATTCAACAGACAAGCAGACAATTAAGATAATATTCTAAAAAGGCCTTAGAGTTCCAGATTAAGGAACCTTGGGACCAGGCTGACTTAGGCTAAATTCCACTCTCTCCCCCATGTCACAGGTAAGATCCATGCCTTGGAAGTTAGGTAGTTTTTGCCTTGAACATCTTCAGTAATCAGCTTGAATTTTCTAAATGCAACTTCATCATTCTGCAAATCAGCAAGACTCACTTCAAACACACGACCCTTCAGACTACCAGGTGCAATTTTGGTTCCCTGGGTCCTGGTGACCAGTGTCTTTCCAGTATTTCTTCTACTGAACATAGCATGCTTTCACATCGTACCAATCTTTCTTAGAAAATGGATCAACCAGCCAGGGGTGGTGGCTCACACCTGTAATCCTAGCACTTTGGGAGGCCGAGGCAGGTGGATCACCTGAGGTCAGGAGTTCAAGACCAGCCTGGCCAAGATGGTGAAACCCCGTCTCTACTAAAAATAGAAAAATTAGACTGGGCGCAGTGACTTAAGCCTGTAATCCCAGCATTTTGGGAGGCCATGGCGGGTGAATCACCTGAGGTCAGGAATTTGAGACCAGGCTGGCCAACATGGTGAAACCCCCGTCTCTACTAAAGATACAAAAACTTAGCCGTGTGTGGTGGCACACGCCTGTAATCCCAGCTACTTGGGAGGCAGAGGCAGGATAATTGCTTGAACCTGGGAGGCAGAGGTTGCAGTGAGCCGAGATCGTGCCATTGCACTCTAGCCTGAGCAACAGAGTGAGACGCTATCTCAAAAAAAAAAAAAAAAAAAATTAGCCAGGCATGGTAGCAGGCACCTGTAATCCCAGCTACTCAGGAGGCTGAGGCATGAGAATTGCTTGAACTCGGGAGGCGGAGGTTGCAGTGAGCTGAGATCACACCATTGTATTCCAGCCAGGGGGATAGAGCAAGACTGTCTCAAAAAAAAGAAAAAAGAAAAAAAGAAAATGGATCAGCCACTTCTTGGCTCCCTTTTTGCTGTCTTTCGTAAGGTACTTGTTCTTGCCAACCACCATGTTGCTGCTCAGAATGATCTTTTCAATAAACGGTACTGAAAGAACTGGACAGCCATATGAAAAAAATGAACTTCGACCTTTAGCTCACATCATACACAAAAATTAATTTGAAATAAATAATAGAGACAAAAGTTGTGAACATAAATACATTCAAAAGCTGTTGGAACCCCCAAAGCACTTTTTTTTTCTGGCAAAGTCCCACCTCAGCCTCCGAGTAGCTGGGACTATAGGTGCGCACCACCACACCTGGCTAATTTTTGTATTTTTTTGTAGAGACAGGGTTTCGCCATGTTGCCCAGGCTGGTCTTGAGTTCCTGAGCACAAGCAATCAGCCCACCTTGGCTTTCCAGCATGCTGGGATTATAGGTATGTGCCACCACACCTGGCTTCCAAAAAGACTTTAAACCTTGAGAGAGAACTGGTGATCTGAGTCACTTAGCATGTAGTTGCAACTTCTGCTTCTTAGATTATAGATCAACTCTCTTTTCTCATTGTTCTTGTGCTATAAATGACTGGGAGAGACCAGAGACCAGATGTCCTCCCCTTCTAATCACTGACCTTTGTTATAGATTGTCTCCTGCATTATTCTGTACCTAACTCAAACCAGATGGCGCAAAAGACCTCATGACTGTTTCATCTTCAGTATGGAATGTTCAGTATATCTTTCCTGAAAGAAAAAGATGACCTTCACCAATCAGACCATTGTAATTATGCATTAAGCCTTACATAAGGCCGGGCATGGTGGCTCACAGCAGGAATCCTAGCACTTTGGGAAACCAAGGTGGGATAATCACTGGAGCCCAGGAGTTTAAGGCCAGCCTGGGCAACACGGCGAAGCCCTGTGTCTATAAAAAATTGACTGGGTATGATGGCACACACCTGCAGTCCCAGCTACTCAGCAGACTGAGGTGGGAGGATCACCTGATCTCAGGAGGTCGAGCCTGTAGTGAACGCTGATGGTGCCACTGCATTCCAGCCTAGGTTGCAGAATGAAAGTCTGTCTCAGGAAAAAAAAAAAAAAAAAGCCTTGTATAAAAAAAGTTAAAATTCTGATTTTTTCTCCTAAACTTTGTCTATGTAAACCACCCCAAACTTCTGCACTTCAGAGCACAACAGTACAATTCCATCTTTCAAATTTGTGCTTCCTGGGTGGCTGTCCTCAAGCTTTGTGCTCAAAAAAACTCTACATTTAATCATATTTTCTAAATTTTATTATTTTAGGTTGACAAAGTAAAGGCTAAAACTATAAAACTTCTAGAAAAAAAATAGGAGAAAATGTTCACAAACTACAGTCTTATGGTAGACAAAGATTTCCTGGACAGGACACAAAAGTATAAACCATAAGAGAGAGAAAAAAAAGATAAATTAGACTTCATTAAAATTTAAAAATTGCCTGTACTTTGAAAGGTACTATTAAGAAACTGAAAAGGCAGGCCACAGTCTGGAAGAAAATATTTGCAATGCAAATATTAGATAAAGGACTTGTACCCAACATACATAAAGAACTCTTAAAATTCAATGAAAGAAGGCAACTCACAAAAAAAAAAAAAAAAAAAGAAGAAGAAGATTTGAACAAACCCTTCAAAAAAGATGATATATAAATGGCCAGCAAATACATGAAAAATGTTCAACATTATTAGTTATCACGGAATTGTAAAGTAAGGCCACTGTGAGATATCACTTAGAAGAATATTCAGCTTTAGAAAACAGTTTGGCAGTTTATTTATCCCTTACCCTATGACCCAGCAATTCAACTCCTAGGTATTTACTAGCCTGAGAGAAATGAATCACCTAAGCCCTTTATTTAGCTTCTCACAAGTTCACTGATTCACTCTGTGACACTGGCCAGGTTCTTCCCATCTCTGGCCCTGTTTTCCATCTGTGGAAAGCAGATGTATGGGTTGGGCTAGGTCAGGGATGGCAAACGACGTTTGTCTTCAGTACAAACTCCTTATCACTGCCAGGGACTGCCCAGACTACCTCTGTGATGAGAAGGAATGTCTGATAGAAATTGAGAGCTCTGTGACCCACTAACAATGTCTGCTAGAGACATGAGAATGACCCAGAAAGGCCACATACTTCCTATATGCTATATGCCCACAAAAAGATTTGTGCATGAATGTGCATAGCAACTGTATTCATAGCAATCGAAAACTGGCAATAACTCAAATTCCAGATAGATTGTGGTACATCCACACAATAGTTTATTACCCAGTAATATGAAAACTATTAATATATGCAACAACATTGATGATTCCTTTCTTTATATTGAGTGAAGGAAACCAGAAACAACTCTATGAGTCAACGTATGTGAAACTGCCGGAAAAGGCAAAACTAAGCTATACTGACAGGAAGATCTGTGGTTGCCTGGGGCTGGGGTGAGAGAGGGGACTGGCTGGAGGTGGCAGGAGACTTCTGAGGGAATGGAAATGTTCTAAATTTTGATTGGGGCAGGTGCAGACGTTTGTCAACATTCACCAAGTTGTGGCGGGGGGCAGTGGTTCATGCCTGTAATCCCAGCACTTTGGGAGGCTGAGATGGGCAGATCACTTCAGATCAGTAGTTCGAGACCAGCCTGGCCAACATGGCGAGACCCCGTTTCCACTAAAAATACAAAAATTAGCTGGGTCGGTGGTGGGCACTTGTAGTCCCAGCTACTTGGGAGGCTGGGGCAGGAGAATCTCTTGAACCCTAGAGACGGAGGTTGCAGTGAGCCGAGATTGAGCCACTGCACTCCAGCCTGGGTGACCGAGTGAGACTGTCTCAAAAAAAAAAAAAAAAAAATTATCAAGTTGTATGTGCACTTAAAATGGAGATATATTAATATATGTCGATTGTACCTCAAAAAATGATTTTTACAGAAGTAGCTTTGAAACGTAATGAACTGTTCCACAAGCACGTGGCAGGAAGAGGGCCTGCTACCAGGTATGCTGTGGGAGAAACATGGAAGTGAGAAAGGACAGGGCACCTTCAGAAACACATTAGTTTGTAAAATCGCTCTCAGCTTTGCGAAGACCTTTCAGGCGCGCTCGGAGAGGCTGGCCAATTGCTTCTCAGATCCCCTATTAGAAATTTGACCACGGGCCTAACGGGAACAGGGCTGCCACGGAGCATGGAGAGAGGGCCTGGAGCCCAGGACAGATCATTGCTGACTTGGTTCTGAGTTCTCCATAAAAAACCTCATGGCCTTTCTCCTCCTCCAGACTCACGTGCCCCACCTCACTTCCTTAAGAATCTAGGCTCACAGCACGCAGGCAGGCAGCCATCAACCCCGAGCCCCCTTCCCCTTCTCCTTCGGGGAGAAAGCACTAGATGGAATAAGTCCCGTCAGTCCCAGCGTTCAGACATTCTCCTAAGTACTGTTCTTTTAAAAAGCTGGAAAGTTGGGTTAAGGAGTTTGGGGCTATTATTAGTGCCAAACACTATAAAAAGGAAATGCCACTGATAATCTTAGATGGCTGTATTTTCATACGGGGATAATTCAAGCTTCCTTCTTAGAGTTCTCAGTCATAAGAAACCCTTCATTAAAATACTCCCTCGGGCCATAGCCTCAAACCTAGCATTGCTCAAATCCTTTGGGACTATTCAAGTCAGGACTGACCGGGAGAACTCAGCTGGCATTTTTTAGCCCATTTTTATGGCTGCCTCCTTCTGAGTTTCTCGTGTTGTTCTACCAGAGGAAAATAACGAATGATTCAACCTATGCACAAATATTTATTTGCACTGCTTACATGGAGGCGGCATAGCAAAGGGCCTTAGGGGGCAGGCTCTTGTCAGGCTTAGCTGAGCTCTGTCCCTGTGTGGCATCAGGTAAGTTGCTCTTCCTTTCTGAGCTTCCCCTACAAAATGAGCTGTCAACCCTAGGAGCTGATGCCTGGTGCCTACCACTTAGTAAACTCTACACGAATATTAATTTGTTATTACTATCACTGTTATGCATTCAGTTACATCCACCATGGATACAGCAAAAATGCCGTTTCACCCTTGAGAATCCTACATTCCACCTTGCTACACAAAGCATACAGACAGGAGAATAAGAGAACAGCAGAAGTGATGATACCCTACCCCGTGATGAAGAAGCTGCTAAAAGGCATCTCCTTTCATCTTTCATACACTGCAGGTCCTGTGCTTTGAGTGTTATTGAGAAGCAATGTGTCAATATGTGTCAAAAGTCCTTAAAATGTGTTTGCCCTTTGACCCAGATTCCCTCTAGAAATTTTCATAAGAAAACAATTACATTTGTGAGCAGAGATTTCTCCTGGATATTACTGAGAGTAACAAAAATTTGGTAACAGTCTGTCTGAATGACTAACAACGGAAGTTAAATACATATTTAGACATTATGATTGATGAACATTTATGCAAAGCAGGTCACAAAACAATATGTGCAGTGTAGGTCCATTTCGAGGGTATGACCTGAAGTACAATTTTTAAATCGATACATAATAATTGTGCATATTTATGGGGTACATATAATTTGATACAGGCTTATAACGTGTGATGATCAAATCTGGGTAATTGGCATATCCATCACCTCAAACATTTATCATTTCTTTGTGTTGGGAACATTTCAAATTTTCTCTTCTAGCTATTTTGAAATATACAATAAATTATTGTTAACTGTAGTCACTCTACTTTACTATTGAACACTAGAACTTATTCCCTTCTATCTAACTGTATGTTCAGACCCATTAGACAACCTCTGTTCATCCCCCCCTTCCCCACAAATAGTGGTTTGTTTTTTTATTTTGTTCGCCTTCAGAAACACGTTAGTTTTATGAGAAGGAATCTTGCTCTGTCACCCAGGCTGAAGTACAGTGGCGCAATCTCGGCTCACTGCAACCTCCACATTCTGGATTTAAGAAATTCTCCTGCCTCAGCCTCCTGAGTAGCTGGGATTACAGACATACCATGCCCAGCTAATTTTTGTTTTTTTTTTTTTTTTTTTTTTCAGTAGAGATGGGGTTTCACCATGTTGGCCAGGCTGGTCTCGAACTCCTGACCTCCAGTGATTCCGCCCACCTCAGCCTCCCAAAGTGCTGGGATTACAATCATGAGCCACTGTGCCTGGCCTGAAATCGTGTTTTTGTTAAGGATTTATTGTAACCAGAAATTCTAAGAAGGAAGCTTCAATTATTTCCATATTACAGATAATATCTATATACATATATATATATATAGAAAAGGTATATAGACCTTACTCACCAATGGTTTTATTATGTGTGAGTATTTGAGTGGGTTTTTTTTTTCATTTCATTTATTTGTACTTCTATAGAGTGAGTATTGCTTTTAGATAAGGAAAAAAAACAGAAAATTAGGAAAAGCCAATTCAAATAATCTAGAAAACCGAAAGAGAGAACAAATACAGCACAATAGGCAAAGTAAGCAGTAATATGGTTTTTCCTTGACATTTGTAAGAATTCTAGGCCTTTTATTTAGCTTCCCACAAATTCACTGATTCATTCTGTGGCATTGGCCGGGTTCTTCCCATCTCTGGCCCTGTTTTCTATCTGTGGAAAGCAGATGCATGAGTTGGGCTAGGTCAGGGACGGCAAACGACTTTTATCTTGAGTACGAACCCCTTATCACTGCCCGGGACTGCCCAGACCACCTCTGTGATGAGAAGGAATGTCTGATAGAAGGTGAGAGCTCTGTGACCCACTAACAATGTCTGCTAGAGACATGAGAATGAGGAATGACCTAGAAAGGCTATCCACTTCCTGTATACTCCATAATGTAAAGGGCTCTTACAACTCTATGAATCTGGCACATCTTTAAGCAAAAATATTAATCTGAATTTGGAAAGTCATAGGGGTTGGGGGTACCTAACTACATGTATTCATTTTTGGTTAGGTTGCACTGAATGACTAATTTTCCATCTTACTTCACAGACCCCAAGACATAACTTAGGATTTACTAAAGCAGAAAATGGCCATGGTGGTGGTGTCTCAATTGTATTTGCACCCATTATGTCCAAGCCCAAGGACAAAGAATAGATCTGCAGCTGTTGTTTCAGCCTCTTCAACCTGAAACAATCTGAAAGCCACAGCTGTTGCAGGCATAAACCTGATCCTGGCTTTGTCCTTGGTTTATGTCTCATGTTTTGGGGAACTCCGAAAGCCACTCTACTGGGGTTGATTCAGAGAAGGCCACATTTATTCATTACCCTCCTGGAAAGCAGAAGTGCTAAATGCACATTTGTTAGTGGACTTTCCAGCATGGAGTGGGATCCATTCCTGTCTTGACTCAAGGCCCACAGAGGAGAGATGACATGCCTAAAGTCACGCATGAAGTTCAATCTACACCCAGCTTTGCCTGCAGGCAAGCAAACATGGATTCTTTGGTAAAAATCCACATCAGGTTGTCAGCAGCTTGTTATTTGGAGGAAGGGGCAGTCTGAAGGGCTTGACTGTATCTCAGCTGAACCACACTAATCTACCATAGCTTCCACAGAGAACAGCAGGCTGTTTTCAGGGATCTCAGCAACAGCTGTGCCTTCAAACCAAGACACTTCAGAAAAATGATCCGAAAGTGGGCCGGGTGTTTCAGCAGGATTTGGTGGGACTTTCCTACTCAAATGGCCCTTTGTGTGCTTTTAAAAGACAGGGCATTAACCTCGTGCGTGGCTAAAGCATGATGGATGACTTGGAATTCTCCATTTACATTTGGCTGGTGGCCACAGAGGAACCGTCAAAACGCCTGGGTATCGGATGGACAGTACCTGGCTTGTTCAGACTTGTTTCTGATGGAGTGAGTGGATCCCGAGGCTTTTGCTCTGCCCAGGTTTGATAAACTAAACATGGCCAGGCTGTTAGAAAGCTGACTCCAGGGTTCCTCTCACTGCAGCAAAATTCAGTGTCCTGAATCCATAGCCTCTTTAATCATCTTTGTTTATATTCAGCATCTTTATCTACTTCAGGGTTACTCTGATCTCTGCCCATTTGTTGCAAGATGTGTGTGGTCCTACCCAAGACTTGGGCAGCAGGAGCACAGGGCCTGTGCTCATGTAGCTTCTACCCAGCTCCATGAAATCACCTGCTTGATCCTTTTACCTTCTCAGTAAGATGCTTGGCAAGTGAGAGTGAATCTGGATCCGTCAGTTCTCCGGACAATCTTGTCAGGCCAGAGGGAGTCAGAAGTTGACCTTCTGCACCATGCTGGCACCATTATGTGAGAGTATGCAGCACTCTCAGGCAGGAGCTAGCTAGCGTAAATTATTAGGTTCTTTTCTGGCAGACCTGGGTCCTGCTCTTCCGTTTAAGAGGAGCTGTTTACGTCAATTGCTCCTCACTGGGCCTCAGTTTGTTCACCTTTCACTTGTGTTTTTCATGAAGCTCAAAGGAGAAAGCAAAGTGTTCTGAATGACTTTATACAAACATGAGGAGGTGGTAGTGGCCAGTACCCTCCTAACAATTGTCTCATCACATCTTGAGGAGAGAGAGAAGCTAAACACTAGTGCAAGTGGATACTTAAGTAAGATAAACTTATTTCCCTTCTAATCATTTTTTCAAGCTTGGCCTTGTTCTAGCAGCTTGGAGGATTTCAGCTGGGTGTCCCAGAGACATATAAAATAGAGCAGAGAGGGGAGGCATTGATCTATTGCTAATAACACAAGAGGGAAATACTGGAACATAACTACTGCTAATAATAATGACAAACACATTAGTATTTATTATCACCCAATACTGTGTATAATCATTAACCTTCCACAGCAATCCTGTGAGGTATGTACAATTATTATTCTTATTGTACGGAGAACTGAAGTTTGGAGAGGCGAAGTTACTTACACAGTGTCACACAGCCCTAAAAGTGATGGAGCCAGGAGTCTTTCCTAGATATGCCTGATCCCAAAGCTGATAGGTGAAAAATGTGCAGTATGAAAAGCATTCCCTGGGCTTCAAGATGATGACTGGCTTCTTTTTCTTCTTCTTCTTCTTTTTTTTTTTAATCATTATCAGGCAGCCTCCCAGCCAGAGTAGGCTCAGGGACTTCCTTGACTGGCTTCTTGCGTCACACGAGGGGCCTGTTTATATGTCCCTGAGTTTGTCCAGACTAATTCGCAATAAATAAAAACCCACTACCACCACAACCAAAAACAAAAACAAAAACCTTGAACTAGAGAACTGTTCAAGAACCAGTGAGGATGAGCCCTGCAGGAAATGGAACCAAAGACTCAAACACAGTCGGGCTCTATGTCTTCCTGTCTCTGCTTCTGTGTTGCGATGATTTGCTCCTCCCAAAGATGGGTTTTACCCAAACCCCAGAGAACACGGCCACAAGTAGATCCAGACTCACATTCTTAGAGAATCATTTTCCATGAGGAAAGCAAAATTGCCTGCCCTGGAAAGTCCACTTAGAAAAATCCTTGTGAAGGCTCTGACTGGCCTGCTGGGTAGGACACTGAGCCCTGGGCCAGTCACTGTGACCGGGTGCACTATTGTGATCAGCCGCACCAGAACCGGAGGATCTCTCAAAAGAACAGGCAGGAATGGGGGTGGTTATCACAAGCAGACAGGCAAGGTAGCAGGGATCCACTGTGCTCTGGCAGGTGGCAATGGAATTAGGGATGCCTTGGTGGCCCCTTTAATCTTGCAGCTAGCTACCTTTCATGTTTTCTTCCAATCCTAAGCTAGCTCAGGATCTGGACAGGGCGTTTGTATCTATGGAAGAAAGGACTTAACCTGAGAGTTCTACTTGACGTGGATCTTACCCCAGGATTGTTTGTCAGCAAAGTTAACGTGGTAGAGCAGAAAGAGTGCTGAGTTTGGAGGCAGACAGACTTGAGTTCAGGTCTTAATTCTTCATCACTTGCGGGGTGGTGTTGGATATGTTGTTTCACCTCTGTAAGTCTTCGATTTTTTTATTGGCTAAATAAAGATGATAACACTTATTTACAAGCTTGTTGTAAGGACTAAGTGAGATAATCACATAAACCATCAAATACACTGGCATATACTAGGTGCTTAATAAAGTGTACCTTCTACTAATTAATTCAACAAATATTTACTGAGTGTGCAATACATTGCAGGCACAGTGGTAGGTGTTAGGGATAATGCATCAAGCAAGAGATACAATGTTCCCATTCTTTTGGAGCTTCTAGTAGTGGGGGTTGGTGGGGAAAAGATAAGTGAGGAAATAAGACAATTACAGGTAATAATGAGTGCTTTGAAAAAAATAAAATTCTTTTTTTTTTTTTTTTTGAGACAAGCTCTCACTCTTTTGCCCAGGCTGGAGTGCAGTGGCACAATCTCGGCTCGCTGCAGCCTCTGCCTCCCACGCTCAAGCAGTCCTCCCACCTTAGCCCCCTGAGTAGCTGGGACTACAGGCATGTGCCACCATGCCTGCTAATTTTTGTGTTTTTTGTAGAGATGGGGTTTCACCACATTGCCCAGGCTGGTCTCAAACTCCTGGACTCAAGTGATCCACCTGCCTCAGCCTTCCAAATTACTAGGATTACAGGCATGAGCCAACACTTCTGGCCAGAAAAAATGAAATTATTTTTATGCTTATATGTATTATTAGTGTGAAAACCCTCCTGCAATGATGTTTGAACCTCCCTGTTCAGTCTCTCACCACTCATTTATCTATGTGTTGGGAACCGTTCTCAGAGTGCAACAATTGCTTCAAGCTTGACTTTGGAAAGGGACTGGACGATTAGCTCTTAAAGTGACATGAAAGAAAGGAAAGGAAAATGGGATGTTGATAGGAGGAAAATCCCGATGTTATCCCTTAGCTCCCAAATTCCTTTTTTTTTTTTTTTTCGAGATGGAGTCTTGCCCTGTCACCCAGGCTGGAGTGCAGTGGCATGATCTCCACTCACTGCAACCTCCACCTCCCAGGTTCAAGCAATTCTCCTGCCTCAGCCTCCCGAATGGCTGGGATTACAGATGTGTGCCACCATATCTGGCTAATTTTTGTATTTTTAGTAGAGATGGAGTTTCACCATGTTGGCCAGGCTGGTCTCAAACTCCTGACCTTGTGATCTGCCCACCTCGGCCTCCCAAAGTGCTGGGATTACAGGTGTGAGCCACCGTGCCCGGCCCCAAATTCCATTTTGTAAATCATTACCTGGTGGGTTTCAAAATCACCTCGGAAGACTTTAAAAGATACAGATTCTCAGGTTGCATTCCAAATATTCAAATGCCAGTGGTTCAGGGAATTTCTTTTTTTCCTCTTTCTTTTTTTTTTAAGTTTTGTGGTAATTTATATGGGCAATCAGACATAAGAAGCACTGCTTGCCAGCCAGCCTATGAATTCCATTAGTCAGGTTGAGAATACAGGGCTGCATCTGTTACTCTGCTAGTCAATGTATACTTCTTTTTCTAGTTCCTAGGAGAAGACATGGATCATGGTTGGCCCCCAGGGAGCTTAGATTCTAGGGGGAGATATAAACAAAATTGCTATGGGAACACAAAGCAGGAACAATTAGCCTTTGAAAATTAGAGAATACTTTCTGGAAGGAAGAATTCTGAATGAGTTAGAATTTGGTTCAGTTGCATGTGACACAGAATACAAGATTATAGTGGATTAAACTAGGTAGAAATATATTTTTCTCTCATATAAAAGTCCCGAGGAAAGTAATCCAGTGCTGGTGTGATGCTCCCATCTTGTTTTTTGACCCTCCTAGGCATGAGTCCTCTGTGGTCCAAAAAAGTTGCTCACATTCCAACCATCACTTCCATATTCCTGACAGTAGGAAGGACAAAAGGGCAGAGAAGGGCATAATCTCTCCCTTTAAAAATATTTTCTGGAAGGTGCACATGAAACTTCCTTTGTAATGTTATAGTCCAGAACTTAGGTACTTGGTCACACCTTGCTTCAGGAGATGAAACAAAGTCTTTATTCAGAATGGCTATGTACATAACTAAAAACTCAGGTTCTATTATTAAAAAAGAAAAGGAAAGCAGCCATTGGGAAACAACTGGTAGACCTCTACACTGAGATATGAAGAATGAGTAGCAATTAGGCAGGGGAAGTCACATAGTAAAGACTGTCCAAGGAGAACTAATGCGTATCATGTCCCCCTTGGCAGGAGGGACACCAAGAAGCACCCTTCTTTCCACATCTTCGTTCTCATCCTTCATGTTTTGATCTAAAGCCCTCCTGGATAGTGAAACCCCATCTATACTAAAAATATAAAAATTAGCTAAACATAGTGTTGGGGACCTGTAATCCCAGCTACTTGGGAGGTTGAGGCAGAATAATTACTTGAACCTGGGAGGCAGAGGTTGCAGAGAGCTGAGATCACTCAACTGCACTCCAGCCTGGGCAACAGAGGGAGACTCTGTCTCAAAAATAAATAAATAAATGAAAAATAACGTCCTCCTGGGATGAGTCTGCCGGCCCTAGCTATTCAGTGCTTGGATTTACAGTGACCTCAGCACAATACTGGCCTCAAAGCCCTTCATGTCACTGGAATGATGGCTGCTTCGAGAAAACCCCGCCTTTTCATCTGTCAGTAAGAGAACTCACTCTAAGATCTCATCATTGACATTTATCAGGACAAATTTCTGAAATCTCTTTAGAAGAAATGACAATCCCAACTCTTTGATATGATTAGTTATGGCATATCTGCCTGAAGCAATATTATACAAACATGGAAGGTGATCATTTATGAAAGCACGGAGTATGAGAAACAGCTCATGACAAAATATTGAGAAAATGCAAGACTGTGCATGTGTTGTGATTATAATCATGTGAAAAATGTGTGTGTATGTAAACAAATATTAGAAAGAGCATCATAAAATACAAATGATTACTGGATGGTTAAAAGCTTTTTCCTCCTTGGAAAATTCCCTTTAGTGTTGTTATGTTGTTTTCATAAATAAAATTTGAAAATAAGTCTTGCAAGCATTACGTGTTGTCAAAAAAAATTTTATGGTGTCAATGGTAAATATACATAAGAATCACCTGAAAAGCTTACTAAAAATGCATATTCACAGGCTCCAGCCCAAGAAATTCTGATTCTATAGGTCTGAGGAATGGCTGCATTTTTAACAAGCATCCAGAGTCATTTGTTAGAAGTGGTGCGTTGACCACATTTGAAAAACACTGCCATAGATGGTGTCTCAGAGTCACCTAAAAATAGAGTTGGGACATTATCTGTGCCAAAACAGCCTAGCTTTGTGTTGCACCAAAAACTCTAGGCCAGGCCGGGAGCAGTGGCTCATGCCTATAATCTAAGCACTTTGGGAGGCCAAGGTGGGTGGATCACCTGAGGTCAGGAGTTTGATACCGGCCTGGTCAACATGGTGAAACCCCATCTCTACTAAAAATACAAAAATTAGCTGGGCATGGTGGCGGGAGCCTATAATCCCAGCTACTCGGGAGACTGAGGCAGGAGAATTACTTGAACCCACGTGTGGGGGGACGGAGGTTGCAGTGAGCTGAGATTGCGCCACTTCACTCTAGCCTGGGCAAAAGAATGAAACTGCGTCTCAAAAAAAAAAAAAAAAACTCTAGGCCAATATTGGTCTATCATTGTTGGGGAAACAGTAAGAAAATTTAAAACAAACACTCCATCTTAAGAAAAATGCACTCTCCCTGGTTTGTAAAGTGAAATATCACTAAAAGGTACAGTTTTGATGATTTTTCTTTGAGTCTTCCAAGTAAACTTAAAGCTGTCTGATAAAAGCAACCCAATTTTGAACAGTTACATTTCTCCATTTCCCTTAGAGTCCCACACTTCCTTGTATCTTATTTCATGCTTTCCTAACAGGTGCCACACAAGTTCAGCTGTAATCTGCCTTCAAGTGTAAGGCATGGTAATTTCAAGCCCTACAGCTGGATAACATACTCTGCATAAGCCAGCCTTCTGAATAATTCAATATTCATTTTCTTTATTAGTGATGTAGGATTTTTCTTCTTGGTCACTTTGTAGGCTGGGGACCCCTGGCTGGTGACGCCCCGCTCAGACCTCGCTCAGCCACGCTGGCCTGCCCCAGCTCACCTGTGTGATAGTTTGTACCCGCATCGGGCGGTTCTTGAGCTCTTGTACCACACCCAAGAAGAATGAAGATAGGCAAGACATTGAAGGGTGAGGAGGGCAGATAATTTTATTGAGTGATGACACAGCTTTTAGCAGAGAGGGGACATGGGGGTGGTCCCCCTACCCGAAGACAGGAAAGTTCTTCGTGTGGCTGGTTCTGCCTTTTATGGACTCAGAGTAAGGATTATGTGCTGATTGGTTTGTGAGTATGCAAAAAAGGTTAAACAAAGACACCACTCAAAGGTGGGCATGATAGTGAAGAAAACCAATTAGGAAAGGGTAGATATATATAAAATAGGTGAAGGGTAAGCACCAATCAGAGGAAAGCAAACCAAACGGGAAGACAAGTTCTCAATCCAGTCCGAAGATTTAACTTGTAGCTTGGCTTTCAGGCTTTAAACTGTCTCCAGCTTGGAGTGGGGTTTTACCACAGGCCCACCCCTATCTGCCTAGGCATTTGGCAGCTGCCTGCCACTCTCATTAGGGTGACCAACTCATCACAGTTTGTCCAGGAGTTTCCTGATGTTAGCACTGAAAGTCTTATGTTTGGGAACCCCCTGCTCCTCAGTCCTGTGCAAACCAAGACCGGGACAGTTGGTCACCCTAACCTTCCATACAGCTTAAAAGAAAAGACATTCTCCAGGAGGAGGAGTCAGCCTCCACAGTGTCCCCAGGGAGCACAGGCAAAAACTTAGCTTTCTAAAGAAAAAACAAAAATACAGGTAAGGTGCTGTTCTATAGATAGATAGATAGATAGATAGATAGACAGATAGATAGATATTTTTTGAGACAGAGTCTCGCTCTGTCACCGGGCTGGAGTGCAGTGGCGGGATCTTGGCTTACTGCAACCTCCAACTCACTGGTTCAAGCGATTCTCCTGCCTCAGCCTCCTGAGTAGCTGGGATTACAGGCGCGCATCACCATGCCTGGCTAATTTTTGTATCTTTAGTACGGATGGGGTTTCACCATGTTGGCCAGAATGGACTCGATCTCCTGACCTCGTGGTCCTCCTGCCTTGGCCTCCCAAAGTGCTGGGATTACAGGCGTGAGCCACCGTGCCGGACCTGCTGTTCATTATTTTAAGAAATAGGACATTTCGGGCAGGGTGCAGTGGCTCATGCCTGTAATCCCAGCACTTTTGGAGGCCGAGACAGGCAGATCACTTGAGGTCAGGAGTTCAAGACCAGCCTGGCCAACATGGTGAAACCCCATCTCTACTAAAAAAAAAATAGAAAAATTAGCTGAGAGTGGTGGCACGTGCCTGTAATCCCAGCTACTCTGGACGCTGAGGCAGGAGAATCACTTGAACTGGGGAGGTGGAGGTTGCAGTGAGCTGAGATCACAGTACTGCACTCCAGCCGGGGTGACAGAGTGAAACTCCATCAAAAAAAAAAAAAAAAAAAAAGAAAAGAAAGAGAAGAAAAGAGAAGAGAAGGGGAGGGGAGGGGAGGGGACATTTCGGCCAGGCACAGTGGCTCACGCCTGTAATCCCAGCACTTTGTGAAGCCAAGGCAGGCAGATCACTTGAGGTCAGGAGTTTGAGACCAGCCTGGCCAACACAGTGAAACCCCATCTCTACTAAAAATACAAAAATTTAGCCGGGCGTGGTGGTGCACTCCTGTAATCCCTCCCAGCTACTCGGGAGGCTGAGGCAGGAGAATCGCTTGAACCCAGAAGGCAAAGGTTGCAGTGAGCTGAGACTGCACCATTGCACTCCAGCCTGGGCCACAAGAGCGAAACTCCGCCTCAAAGAATAAAAAATAAAAAAATATATATAGAAAAGAACATTACCCTTAAGTGGTTTCAGAGAAGGAGCCAGAGATGTAAAGGTGTTGTAAGCACTTTCCTATTTCTCCTCTCTTCTTACAAATGTTCATCACTTTGAGAAAATTTTACTAAGATTTGTGCATGTTAAACTCATCATCACAAAGGAGAGATTTGTAAAGCTGGATCGGGTGGTCTGAAAGCAGAATTCAGAGATAAAGGGTAAAACTGTAAAGAGGATGTGAAATTTTTCATCAAGTAGAATTTGATAAAAGGCAACTCCTACACTTGTTTTTAGATAAGTAGTTTTATTGTGATGCCTTTGAAAATTCTCTTAAATCCTAAAAAGTTATTAAGATGACCTAGAAAGCTAAAAAAAATGATGTGTCCCAGCAGAATCTGTTCCAACATGTAGGACAAAAAATTTTCAGAATTACTCTGCCCACATCAAAATTTTACTACTTTAAAATATTGCAAGCAGTTCATAGAATCTCCAGAAATTCATTTCAAAATCAGTTCCAAACTACAATTTTCAAAAGCAGTTCATATTTTTGGCTCAGGAGTAATCCTACCAACAGCTGGTTGACACAGTGAAAAACATACTTGTGTATCTATTTAGCACATTTGCCTACTTGAATTCTTGGGTGCAAATCAACTTTCCTTAAAAAGCCAGTTTAAATAGAAAAAGAGGGACTCCTCCCTAACTCATTTTATGAGGCCAGCATCATCCTGATAACAAAACCTGGCAGAGACACAACAAAAAAAGAAAATTTTAGGCCAATACCCCTGATGAACATCAATGCAAAAATCTTCAATAAAATACTGGCAAAACGAATCCAGCAGCACATCAAAAAGCCTATCCACCACAATCAAGTCGGCTTCATCCATGGGATGCAAGGCAGGTTCAACATATGCAAATCAATAAACACAATCCATCACATAAACAGAACCAATAACAAAAACCACCTGATTATCTCAATAGATGCAGGAAAGGCCTTCAACAAAATTCGACACTCCTTCATGCTAAAAACTCTCAATAAACTAGGTATTGATGGAATGTACCTCAATATAATAAGAGGTTTTTATGGCAAACCCACAGCCAATATCATACTGAATGGGCAAAAGCTGGAAGCATTCCCTTTGAAAACTGGCACAAGACAAGGATGCCCTCTCTCACCACTCCTATTCAACATAGTATTGGAAGTTCTGGCCAGGGTAATCAGGCAAGAGGAAGAAATAAAGGGTATTCAAATAGGAAGACAGGAAGTCAAATTGTCTCTCTTTGCGGATGACATGATTGTATGTTTAGAAAACCCCATCGTCTCAGCCCAAAAGCTCCTTAAGTTGTTAAGCAACTTCAGCAAAGTCTCAGGATACAAAATCAATGTGCAAAAATCACAAGCATTCCTATACGCCAATAATAGAGAAACAGAGAGCCAAATCATGAGTGAACTCCCATTCACAATTGCTTCAAAGAGAATAAAATACCTAGGAATACAACTTATAAGGGATGTGAAGGACCTCTTCAAGGAGAACTACAAACCACTGCTCAATGAAATAAAAGAGGACACAAACAAATGAAAAAACATTCCATGCTCATGGATAGGAAGAATCAATATTGTGAAAATGGCCATACTGCTCAAAGTAATTTATAGATTCAATGCTATCCCCATCAAGCTACCATTGAGTTTCTTCACAGAATTAGAAAAAAATACTTTAAATTTCATATGGAACCAAAGAAGAGCCCATATGGCCAAGACAATCCTAAGCAAAAAGAACAAAGCTGGAGGTATCACGCTACCTGACTTTAAACTATACTACAAGGCTACAGTAACCAAAACAGCATGGTACAGGTACCAAACCAGAGATATAGACCAATGGAACAGAACAGAGCCCTCAGAAATAATGCCACACATCTACAACCATCTGATCTCTGACAAAGCTGACAAAAACAAGCAATGGGGAAAAGATTCCCTATTTAATAAATGGTGTTGGGAAAACTGGCTACCCATAGGCAGAAAACTGAAACTGGACTCCCTCCTTACACCTTATCCAAAAATTAACTCAAGATGGATTAAACACTTAAACATAAGACCTAAAACCATAAAAACCCTAGAAGAAAACCTAGGCAATACCATTCAGGACATAGGCATGGGCAAAGACTTCATGACTAAAACACCAAAAGCAATGGCAACAAGAGCCAAAATTGACAAATGGGATCTGATTGAACTAAAGAGCTTCTGCACAGCAAAAGAAACTATCATCAGAGTGAACAGGAAACCTACAGAATGGGAGAAAATTTTTGCAATCTATCCATCTAACAAACAGCTAATATCCAGAATCTATAAGGAACTTAAACAAATTTACAAGAAAAAAAAAAAACCATCCAAAAGTGGGCAAAGGATATGAACAGACACTTCTCAAAAGAAGACATGCATGCAGCCAACAAACATATCAAAAAAATCTCATCATCACTGGTCATTAGAGAAATGCAAATCAAAAATACAGTGAGATACCATCTCATGCCAGTTAGAATGGCAATCATTAAAAAGTCAGAAAACAGATGCTGGAGAGGATGTGGAAAAATAGGAATGCTTTTACACTGTTGGTGGGAGTGTAAATTAGTTCAACCATTGTAGAAGACAGTGTGGTGATTCCTCAGGGATCTAGAGCCAGGAATACCATTTGACCCAGCAATCCCATTGCTGGGTATATACCCAAAGGATTATAAATCATTCTACTATAAAGACACATGCACACGTATGTTTATTGTGGCACTATTCACAATAGCAGAGACTTGGAACCAACCCAAATGCCCATCAGTGATTGACTGGATAAAGAAAATGTGGCACATATACACCATGGAATACTACGCAGTTATAAAAAAGGATGAGTTCACATTCTTTGCAAGGACATGGATGAAGCTGAAAACCATCATTCTCAGCAAACTAACAAAGGAACAGAAAACCAAACATCGCATGTTCTCACTCATAAGTGGGAGTTGAACAATGAGGACACACGGACACAGGGAAGGGAACATTACACACCAGGGCTTGTCGGGGGGTGGGGGTCTAGGGGAAGGATAGCATTAGGAGAAATACCTAATGTAGATGATAGGTTGATGGGTGCAGCAAACCACCATGGCACGTGTATACCTATGTAACAAACCTGCACGTTCTGCACATGTATCCAGAACTTAAAGTATAATTTTAAAAGCCAGTTTAATAGCCAGTAAATTAACAACAATTATAAGTTTCAGTTTTTCAATCTTTTAAGACCATTAAGATACAATGAAGAAAAGTTTATTCAGCCAGTGCTTTCACTAAGGAATTTGAACTGCCCAATGCAGAAAACCATGTGAGAAGTCAACAATTTTTAAACCAAAGCCACCAGCTATTATTTTTTTCTGAAGGGTGCTCTGTGAGATGTTAGTAGGTAATATGTTAACACAAAAAGTTGGGGGGAGTTCACGCTAGATAAGATTGGGAAACGCTGAAATAGAGTTTAACATGTTTCTTTACTGTAAGACTTTTGAGACATAACAATGATAATGGACACTGACACTCTTCAAGATGGGGTGTGACATGTTTTTTCCAAACTTATTTGACCAAATTTTGTCAGAATCTCTAAATTCTCACTGATGAATGTAGAGAAATACTGCTCTTGTCCTCCTAAATTTGGTAACTCGGCTCCTTGAAAGTTCAGACTAACTCTATTTTCAGTCACTTTGCAGTGAAACTAGTTTTTATTTGCAAATAGCCAGAGCAGCTTTGCCCAAAGCATAGAACAGTTTGAGTGACGTTCTATACATATTGAGATTTCAACATATTTTGAGACTATTCTTATAACAAATGTCATTACCTAACAAAAAAGGCAATGAGACCTACTAGAAAGTACTTGTGGCTTTGAACTTAGAGAATTTCACTTTGATGACTTAGAAAGGCAGATGAATTACTGCCAGTGGGGCAGGGCTTTGTTTGGACTGTAGATCTCTAGTTGGTGGTTTGAAAAGCTGTAAATGATCAGATATGGCCGTTTGTAGTTGGGAATGCTTATCTGCAATTGGGTACTTTCTAAATGAAATACTCATATTTCCCAGCCCAAATTGTACTGTGGATCTATAAACAATCCAAACTCCTGGCTTCTGATCCCAGCACTGAGAAAAAGGAGGAAGAGTAAAAGAATTGACCAGGGTTAGCCATTAAAAGAAAAGTTTAAAGAAAGAATCGGAGAGGGGCAGGGCTACCCTACAGACAGGCAGTTAGGATATACCGACCTGTGCTCTATCTTATTCACTGCTTTACACAGTGATTTCAACAACCAATTTGTCTACAAGAATAAGGTCTGTGGTAAAAATCCAGTTAGTCACAAAGTTGCTATTAAATGAGATGAGGTAAAATGGGTCAAATTGTTGCATACATTTCTCTTTAATGGTATAGATATCAAATGTGTAGACAATCAAATGTTACTTTAGTTCAGATGTGAGGTGACATATGTTTGCTTTCTATCACGAAGAAATTAAAGTTTTACTCTTTAAACACATCAAAATGGCACTGGGCATAGTAATAAAGAATATAAAACCATGAAAACAAAATTTGTATTGGGAAAGAAAGTGTCATGTACAATAAATGTAAGTCTGATGAAATGTATTACATTAACAAATTTTGTTTAAGAAACAAATACAGGTTTAGTAAAGGAAGAATGTGGAAGCTTAGAAGAGATTTCCATACACAATTTCCACACAGTTTTAAGTAACAAGATCTCAATTTGCATAAATTATATAGATCACTGAGGGAAAAGCGTATTGGTTGGTGACTATTTCCCATCATCAATTCACTTTGTACCTTAGAGATCTTTTACCATGATCTCAACTTTCATAGTCCTGATACTGTTCTAAAAAGGCCTTCTCAATCCCTAACTGGGTACTTACCAGGAGGTTATGTCACAGGTAGGGTTTTTTTGTTCATCGTGAATTAAATAAATTCCTTATGCTCTTAAATAAACTTCATGGTTTTCAAGACAGCTGCTTGAGCCAAATCTGGAAGAGCTCTTCCATTCTGGGATGTGCTTAAGTCATGTGTACGTATGTGTAAAGAGTTTGGAAATGGCATCAGAATGTGTGGGCAACTTTGTTGATACATGTTTAAGTCTCGTGTGAGCTAATAGAATCTATGCAATTCTGGAGACTATAGGTAAAAATGAATTATCTGTATATGGTATAGAAAACAATCTTCTATGAAAAATACTCTGTTTGCTTACTTCTATCCCGCAAACAGAAAACATCCAACAAGAACAATTTTATCTATGTTTATTTAATTACAACAAAGAACGATGTATGCCAAATGGAAAAAAAATATTTTAAAATGATAAAAATATTTAGAAACAGAAATGACTAAATTTAGCTGAAGAATCACCCAGGTGCCATTAAAACACATTTGGAACTTATAATTGGTTATTAGTGTAAGTTAAATTTAGCAACCAAGTCCAAGTTCACTAGGAGTTGTCAAAATACTTTCAAAATGTTACATCAAAAATTGACAACATCCATAAGTATTACATAAAAAGCAAACAAAAAATCATTTAAAAAATGTATCCTGAGATAAAATAAAAATCACACTATGCTAGATTTATTTCCCCTTTCCCCTCACATACAACTGTGAGGCTTCAGTATTTTGCATGTTCCAGGATAAAGTAATAATAATACATGTTGATGCAAATTTCAGCCATTAAAATTAAACTACTTAATAACTTAAATATTCCTACAATGAAACATCCAGACTCTAGTTTCACTAATCAAAATTTTATGAAGACATAAATTGCATTTGGTTTTAACTCCTCAAATCACGACTGAAAACTTTCAACAAAGAATTCTAGGCTTTTTTTTTTCTCATACCAACTGACCCAGAATATATTTTAAGAAATGTTTATTTTCTGTGCATATTTGTTTTAAAATTATAAATCCCTGAGCACTTTTTCTTCTTCCTCCTCATCACTGTCGGTGACATTGACTTGCTGGATGCTAGAAGGAGTTGATGTCGGGGCTGTGAAGACATTCTCCAAGGTTCCAATGTCCAGCTGAGGCACAGGGTTTAAGTTTTCTTCCCCACTGTGGCTATGACTGTTATAGTAAGAAGTTCCATTCATGTTCTCACAACTCCGAGAATTTTCACTGTGTGTGCATTCACTTGAGTAGTCTCTAAAAGAATAGTCTCTATTTAAAGTTGAAAAGATACCCTCATGTTTTGGGTACCTGTCTTCATAATAACTAAGGCATTCTGGCATTGAACTCGGAAAATTTCCATAGCCAAAGGGAGGCCGACTGTAAGGGCATGTACTGCAGCAGAAAAACACAAACAAGGAATTAGATCTTGCCCACATATTGCCTTGCATACAGACTAACAGAGCAAGTTAATGCCTCCTCTTTGGGGTTTGGAAAGTTCCTTTCTGCAAACACTTCATGTATTCCTCTGCTCTTTTCCCACTGCCCAGTCCCCACCCACAAGGAACAGGAAAGGGAGCTTGTGACTGGAATACTCACCAGCACTATTATCTATCGTTAGCCTCAGGCTTCTTACCTTTGACAACCATGATAACAAAATTGCTTATTCTGGTCTTTCTCTCATGATGCCTCATACCATATAAGGTTTTGGAAATGCAGATGTGTGTTGAGCTATGCTAAGAATTGACACTCAGTGGTTGGGCGCGGTGGCTCACGCCTGTAATCCCAACACTTTGGGAGGCTGAGGCGGGCGGAACATGAGGTCAAGAGATAGAGATCATCCTGGCCAACATAGTGAAACCCCATCTCTACTAAAAATACAAAAAATTAGCTGGGCATGGTGGTGCATGCCTGTAGTCCCAGCTACTCAGGAGGCTGAGGCAGGAGGATCGCTTGAACCCAGGAGGTAGAGGTTGCAGTGAGCCGAGACTGCGCCACTGCACTCCAGCCTGGTGACAGAGTGAGACTCCGCCTCCAAAAAAACAAAAACAAACAAAAAAACCCACAGAATTGACACTTAGTAAACAATGCAATAGTGCAATAGTTGTTTTTAGTGGTATTTGAAAGGAAGCTCATGTTGGGGGGGAAATGTATAACTAGATTGAAATCAAGAGATCCAGAATATTGAGGCACTGGAACAGAAGACAAGTTAAATTTTTTCATTGACATTCAATAATAAAGTAAATTTAAAACACTGTTACTACTAGAAAGATTTGAAACTGATAGTAAACTATGGTCTTAAAGGTCTTTTCCAAAACATTTTTTGGAGGGCAGGAATGTGAAGAATCAAAAAGACATTTTGCAGTTTTAAAAGTTATGGTTTTTTGGCCGGGCGCGGTGGCTCACGCCTGTAATCCCAGCACTCTGGGAGGCCGAGGTGGGCGGATCACAAGGTCAGGAGATCGAGACCATCCTGGCTAACACGGTGAAACCCCATCTCTACTAAAAATACAAAAAATTAGCCAGGCGTGGTGGCGGGCGCCTGTAGTCCCAGCTACTCAGGAGGCTGAGGCAGGAGAATGGCGTGAACCCAGAAGGCGGAGCTTGCAGTGAGCCGCGATCACGCCACCACACTCCAGCCTGGGTGACAGAGTGAGACTCCATCTCAAAAAAAAAAAAAAAGTCAAATCCAAAATTTCTGCCATTTGCTGGGCACAGTAGTGCATGCCTGTAGTCCCAGCTACTCAGGAGGCTGACGCAGGAGGATCGTTTGAGCCCAGGAGTTTGAAGCCAGCCTGGGCAATATAGTGAGACCCCCATCTCAAAAAAAAATTTTTTTAAAAAAGATTATACCTCAAAAATTCTGCTACTCAAACCCATTTGTCAATTGTTTTTAAGTATTATTCTCTCTTTCAAAGGCATAGAGCAGGAATTATAGGAAGAGGTAGAGTCCAACCATCTAGTGACAGATAACATAAACATAATGACCATACTCATCGGCAAAACCCATGGCAAGTTAAGTGTTTCATTTCTGGCCTTCACACACACACACACACACACACACACACACACACACACACAGAGTCAACTTTGTTACCTTACTTTTAAAAACCTAAGTATGACAGACATACTAGACTATTATCTCAAACTCTGAAACTATGCCCTACCCCCAAATCTTCAAGTGCTAGGTACCTTGCTCATGTTAATTATAACAAATGAGGTAAAGTTTCTAAAATTTTTCAGGTTTCCATGCCTACTGCCACTCTTAGTTCGGGCATTTTAAATTTAATACACATGTCCTGAATACACTGTGCTTCTTTTTTTTTTTTTTTTGAGACAGAGTCTCGCTCTGTCACCCAGGCTGGAGTGCAGTGGCATGAATTTGGCTCACTGCAACCTCCGCCTCCCAGGTTCAAGCAATTCTCCTGCCTCAGCCTACCGAGTAGCTAGGATTACAGGTGCCCGCCACCATGTCCGGCTAATTTTTGTATTTTAGTAGAGATGGGGTTTCACCATGTTGGCCAGTCTGGTCTCGAAATTCTGACCTCAGGTGATCCGCCCGCCTCAGCCTCCCAAAGTGCTGGGATTATGAGTGTGAGCCACCGTGCACGGCCAAATACACTGTGCTTCTGGCTAGCACAGCTTTGCTCATATAGCAGGTCTCTCTATCCATTGAATTCCACAGATAATTCAGGGATGAAAAGAGGCTGACTATGGGTACAAACATACAGTTAGATAGAAGATGTAAGTTCTAATGTTCAGTAGCACAGTAGGGTGCCTATAGTTAGCAACAATGTCTGGTGTATTTCAAAGTAGCTATAAGAGAGGACTAAAAATGTTCCCAATATACAGAAATGATAATCAAGGTGACAGATAACCCAAATACCCTGACTTGATCATTACACATTTTATACATATTTATGACAAGTACCCCATAAATACGTAAAATGTTATATATCAATAAAATAAAAATCTATCCCTTCCACAAAGCCTTCATTTCAGCTAGAAATAATTCACCCAACAACTGTCTTTTTCAGGACTCAATGTAGGCAAGACGCTATGTAAGGCTTGGTAGATAATTTTTTAAAAAACATAAAATCTAGGTATATATTAGACATGTGCTAAAGTCTATAACGCCAGCATTATAGTGACTATTTTGGTGTGGTAAAGACGAGTTCGTGTTATATTCAGAGAACAAAAAGATCAATTAAGACAAAGGCAATCCTAGAAGGTTACATGAGTGAAAGCAAAAAACTATAAAAGCATCATGGTGTAGGGGGAAAAACATTAATTAGAATAGTCCAAATAATAATATTATCCAATATGTAAGCATTTACTATTTTTTAGGCATTGGCCAAGGAGTGTATATGTTATTTCAATATAACACTGAACAACACTCAGAACGACCCTAAGACACAGACACTATAAATATCTCCACTGTACAGATGAGGAAATGGAGCTTTAAAAAGGTTAAGTAACTCGCTCAAAGTGATATAATTAGTAAGTGGTAGACAGAATCAGGCAATTTGACTCCAGAACTTGTTCTCCTAACTACCATGCCGCCCTACCCAGGCTCTAGTTCTAGCTATGCCACATAAGAATCTGGTAAACTTAAGTAAATCTTACTTTATCTGATCCTTGTATCCTTCTTATATAAAATAGGGATAACAATGTCTGTTCTGTCAACCTAAAAGGTCTGTCATAAGGAACAGGAGAATATAAGTGATGGAAACTAGAAACACTATTTCAATGTATGATTGGTAAGTCTTATAAGAAGTTACTGCAATTTTTAGCTTGAGGATTTGTATTTGGTTCTTTTTTAATTTCTATCTCCTTATTGATATGATCTATTTGGTGAAACACTGTTCTCCTGGTTTCCTTTAGTTCTTTGTCCATGGTTTCCTTTAGTTCCTTGAGCATATTTAAAACAGCTGATTTAAACTGTCTATTAAGTCCAATGTCTCAGCTTCCTTGGGGATAGTTACTATTAATATTATTTCCTTGTGAATGCCCTACTTTCTTGTTTCTTTGCATGTCTTGTAACTTTTTTGTTGAAAACTGGATGTTTTGAATATTATAATGTGATGCCACTAGAAATCAAATTCTTTCCCTTATCCAAGGTTTGTTGTTGTTGCTTGTTTGGGGTTGTAGTTGTTTATTTGGTTTTCTAGAGTATTTTTGTAAAGACCGTATTCTTTGTTATGCATGGTCATTGAAATCTCTGTTCAATTAGCTTAGCGGTCAGAAATTTGATAGAGATTTCCTTAAAAACCTAGAAACAAAAACAAAACAAAACATATTTTCCTGGTCTTTACAGATTGGCTTTGAACTGGGGCACTCCTTAAATACTTAGCCAGGCTATTTTCAGTTCTGCCTTAGTCTTTACTTCCTGCTTATACAGAGCCTACAGATCAGTTAGAGTTAAAAGCTTGGGGTCTTTTTGTGTATTTTCTGAACATGGGTCTAGCTCTGGATATGTGTGTGGCCTTCTGGATTTCCCATTTATATATATACATTATATATATATTATATATTTTTATATATATATATACAATATATATAATTTTATATATATAAAAAATATATAATATCTATATTATATATTATATATATATACTATATATATTGTATATATATACACTATATATTTTTATATATATACTATATATATTTTTTATATATATACTATATATTTTATATATATATACAATATATATATTTTATATATATATATATATATATACACACAATATATGTATTTTATATATGTAATTTAAGAGATGGGGTTTTGCTGTCACCCAGGCCAGAATGCAGTGGTATGATCATAGCTCACTACAGTCTCAAATTCCTGGGCTCAAGCAATCTTCCTGCCTCAGCCTCCCAAGTACCTGAGACTACAGGTACACCACCACACCCAGCAACTTCCAGAGACTTGAATGATTGGTTTTTAAAAATAGTTTTCACCACTTACACTTGTTTGCTAGAGACTGGGTCCACAGAGCTCCCTGTGCTGCCATCTCAAAAATGAACCGTACTCTCACTTACCTTTTTAATTATTTGATTCTATTTCTATTCTTGAGCTTTGCTCTTGGGTGCAGTTAAATTACTTAAAAACAAGTTGGTCCTTTCAGGTCTTGCTTTTAAGAATTTTGAGCTGGGCGCGGTGGCTCACGCCTGTAATCCCAGCACCTTGGGAGGCCGAGGCGTGTGGATCACCTGAGGTCAGGAGTTTGAGACCACCCTGGTCAACATGGTGAAACCCCGTCTCTACTAAAAATACAAAAATAAGCCGGGCATGGTGGTGCGGCCTGTAGTCCCAGCTACTCCAGAGGCTGAGGGCAGGAGAATTGCTTGCTCGAACCCGGGAGGCTGAGGTTGCAGTGAGCCAAGATCGTGCCACTGCACTCCAGCCTGGGTAACAGAGTGGGAACTCGTCTCAAAAAAAAAAAAAAAAAAATTAGAGCACAATGGCTCATGCCTGTTAATTCCAGCACTTTGGGAGGCCAGGAGTTTGAAAACAGCCTAGGCAACAAAGTGAGGCCCTGTCTCTACAAAAACATGAGAATATTAGCTGGGCATGGTGGTGCACACCTGTAGTCCCAGTTATTCAGGAGGCTGAGAAAGAAGGATCACTTAGGCCCAGGAGTTCGAGGCTGCAATGAGCTATGATCATGCCACTGCACTCCAGCCTGGGTGACACAGCAAGACCCACCCCGTAACTAAAAAAAAAAAAAAAAAAAAAAAAAAAAAGAATTTTTAGTTGTGACCATTGCAACATTTGGGCTAAGGCTATCTGAAGCAAGACCCTTCTGAGTACCCAATGTTCTGTGCCCCATAGAAGTTTTCCAATCTAGTTGGTGGGACTATTCACAGCACTGTGTTAGTGCATGATTGCCAGATATTGTTTTCTCTGATCCTTTCAGGTGGTTCTTTCACTGCCTTGGGTTGTTTCTTCACAAGGATGCACTAATTAGTACTTCACCGAATACTCAAGAGGGACCCTACACAGTCATCTGGAGTTCCCTCTGTGCGTAGCTCTCTTTTCTCTGGTACTCTATCCTGAAAAGTCTAGCTAATTAGGTCTCATTGGATTTCCAGTAGAGACGGGTGAAACCCCATCTGTACTAAAAATATAAAATTAGCTGGACGTGGTGGTGGGCACCTGTAATCCCAGCTACTCGGGAGGCTGAGGCAGGAGAATCACTTGAACCCTGGAGGCAGTGCAGTGAGCCGAGATCGTGGCATTACACTCCAGCCTGGGCAAAAAGAGCGAAACTCCATCTCAAAAAGAAAAAGAAATGTCTGCATCCAGTGGACAGGGTGATTTTAGACTCTGAACCAATGTGTGAAACACCTTGGGAATTTTATTTCTAATGAAAATCACATAGAGCCCTGAGTAAAAACAAGATTCTTTCTGTGCTTTACCTGGATCAACGACAAAAATTTTATATTCCTTTTATCAAGGTTAAGAAGTCCTTCCAGCCAGGTGTGGTGGCTCACGCCTGTAATCCCAACACTCTGGGAGGCTAAGGCAGGCAGATCACTTAAGGCCAGGAGTTCAAGACCAGCCTGACTAACATGGCAAAACTCAGTCTCCACTAAAAATACAAAAATTAGCCAGGCATGGTAGCATGTACCTGTAATCCTAGCTACTCAGGAGGCTGAGGCACGAGAATCGCTTGAACCCCAGAGGCAGAGGCTGCAGAACCCCAGTCTGGCAGACAGAGCAAGACTCTCAAAAAAACAAAAAAAAGAAAAATTCCTTCCAGGGTCTTGGCTTTATAAAGAGGTTTTAGTTTCAGTACCTATCCCCACCTTGAACAGGGGAGCAGAGCAGGGTCAAGACCTCATCTTTTTTCCCTTCACAGACATTAAAACTCAAGTTTAGGGTTTTTTCTGTTTTTGTTTTTGTTTTAGAGACAGGATCACAATTTGTTGCCAAGACTGGCCTCGAACTCCACCTCAGCCTCCCAAGTAGCTGGGACTACAGGTGCATGACAGCACATCGAGCTTAAAACCCAAGTTTATAACCAATGAAACTATTTCTGAATCTGAAAATCATCTCCAGGACCACTACAACTAGTTTTTAACTTGTTGATCATTTTGGCACATGGTGAGTTCCTTGCTGGGGAGTTCAGGTAGGTATTAAATTGTTCATATTTAAATTTAACATTTCTAGGTAGTTACAGCAGAAGGTATTCTATGTTAACTAAGTCTATCATGTTTTGGGACTGTTAGTTTCCCTCCTCCATAAGTTTAGGCAAAAGTTTGTATATGTATGCAGATATGCATTATTATGGAAGAAGTCCATAACTTCAATCAAATTCTCAAATGGGTCTCTGACCCAAACAAAGGTTAAAGAGAATTGCTTTTAACCTTTGATTCATTTGCCTAAAATTTTACAATTTAGATGCTATTTCTACAAATCCAGGAATTCTTTGAACTTACTTTCCCTACAATATATCTGAGTGTATTTTCCATATATTTCAAGATAGTAAATCCCCATTTGTCTTCATATCTTTTCTTTATCCCTACTTACATAGATTTTAAACACATTTTTTACCCAATGGCCAACAGAATGAAGATACTATGTATCTCCCTTGAATGTGAAAGCCCAATATACTGCAAGAAGAAGGAAGAGGAAGGGGTAGGGAGAAAAGAACTAGTCTGAAGAATTAATGTAGTACACAGAAAGAGAGCATTTTGACAAACACAATATGATGATGGTTAAGATCTGAAGGCAGGAATAAGATGTTAGCCCCAGAGAGGGGGAGCAGCACTTCTGAGTGTCCATCTGTTTTGTAAAATGACTCCTTGATTAAACCACCTAGCCTACTTGATTTTTACTCTACATACACAGGGCAAAGTGAACTGCGTAGCGAAAAGAAACACTTTTTGGTTTTTTGAGACATGGTCTCACTCTGGTGCCCAGGTTGGAGTGCAGTGGCATGATCTTGGCTCACTGCAGCCTTCACCTCCCAGGCTCAAGTGATCCTCCCACCTTAGCTTCCTGAGTAGCTGGGACTACAGGCACATGCCACCACGACCAGCTAATTAAAAAAATTTTGGGGGTAGAGACAAGGTCTCACTAAATTGCCCAGGCTGGTCTCAAACTCCTGGGCCCAACAGATTCTCTCTCCTTGGCCTCCCAAAGTGTGTTGGGATTACAGGCGTGAGCCACCACGCCCAGCCAAAATTTTTAATAGTGAATAATCATAAATATATACATATATACACAAAATATGTATATATAAGTATATCTCAAATGTCCATTACAATTCTAACATTGAAATAGTTGGAAAATTCCACATATAAATAACTAGAGTAGGAAGGAAATATATATATAGTTTCACTCTTGTTGCCCAGGCTGGAGTGCAGGGGTGTGATCTTGGTTCACTGCAACCTCTGCCTCCCAAGTTCAAGCGATTCTCCTGCCTCAAGCTCCCGAATAGCTGGGATTACAGGTGCCCACCACCACACTTGGCTAATTTTTGTATTTTTAGTAGAGACAGGGTTTCATCATGTTCACCAGGCTGGTCTCAAACACCTGACCTCAGGTGATCTGCCCGCCTCGGCCTCCCAAAGTGCTGGGATTACAGGCGTGAGCCACTGCATCTGCCCAGAAATATTCCTTACAGAAAATTCCATTATCAGTTGGGAGAAGAGAAAAATTGAGAGAGAATCAATTAATTTTGGCATTTAGGGTTTACTGAAATATACTATCTAGACAGTCATAAATAGATTATTTCCTTGGGGAAATTATCATCAGACACATACAGGTAGAGTCAGAAAAACAACTGAAAAATATTATAATTGATAAGGCTAGTCTTCTTTTCTAAAAAACTATGCATAGCTTAATGTTTATAGTTGACATACTGCTCTGACATTCTTAAATGAAATAAAATTCAGTATAATAGCTAGTCACTTCATTTGGTTCTTCCAATAGCATTATTATTAATTAGCAGTAATAGTATTAACAAAAAAGGTAGTTTCTGTCTTCCAAGAACTTACTTTTGGGTGGGAGCAGTGGCTCATGCCTATAATCCCAGTAGTTTGGGAGGCTGAGGCAGGTGGATCACCTGAGGTCAGGAGTTCGAGACCAGCCTGACCAATATGGTGAAACCCCATCTCTACTAAAAATACAAAAATTAGCCGGGTGTGGTGATAGGCACCTGTGGTCCCAGCTACTCGGGAGGCTGAGATAGGAGAATTGCTTGAACCTGGAAGGCAGAGGTTGCAGTGAGCCAAGATTGCGCCACTGCACTCCAGCCTGGGTGACAGAGCAAGACTCTGTCTCAAAAAAAAAACAAAAACAAAAACAAAGAACTTACTTTCAAGAGCTTCCTTTTAAAATGTTCCTTAAAGTGTCAGATAATTTATACATTAACAGTCAAATCTTACAAGCCTTGTCCCAAATAAATAAGATAGACTTCTATGATTTAATCTATGTAATATGTAAGGAAAATTACCTGCCCCAATGTCCACTTGACTATGTGAGGTTTTTATTCAAAATATATTTTTTCCATATGATTCTCTGCTAGCAACTAACAGCTGCCAATCAAGAGGAGCTGTCATAAAAGAAGTCTTACTGATATAGTAAAAAAGACAAATATGAAATTCAAAATCAATCAAACCTGAATTTGACTATTGGCTCTGCCACTGTACAACCTTGATGAGGCTATTTACTAATCCATTTATTTAACTGAAAAAGTAGGGGAATATTATACCCAAGTCACAGGATTGTTATAAAAACTACGTGTAAAAATTCTTAGCTCTCAAAACACTAAAAAGAAGAAAAATGCAACAAACAAAAAAGTAGTAACAGCTAGAGTGAGACTGTGGTACACAGCCCATTGTAATTGACTCTTCTTCACCTATCCTGTGAGTAAATAGGGTCCAAGCATTTCCCATATTACAAAATTAATTATGTAGCAGATACAATTTTCCACAATTTTTGTTATAGGCCTCAAGATTCTAACTAAGGCCAAGTGTTCTCAAATTTACTCATTCATTAAATTCAATCTACACCCTTCATATTCTTCTTATATGTAGGAAACATTTTATAAAATTCTCCAAAATTCCTGTAAAATCCTAGATCCTAGCAGATAGCAATGAAAAGAGATTATCAACCTCCCCGGCCTTAAATTAAAAGTCTCTTGAGGTTTGATCCCTTGAACTAAAATACTTATTAAGGCTGCAAAAGATAAAAAGATTCTACATAAAACAAAACAAACCCTAGATGACAAAAATCTTCCTTTCTCCTGATCTAATCCTCTGGTCCCACTTTCTTCCAGTCCTGAGCTAAGGGCCCAAAAGCAAGCAATTGATTATAAATTGAAGCAACATAATATATACCTCAAAAGTTGTTTCTATTGAGGTGTAGGTATACCCTAATGGGAAGTAGATTTACTTGCTAAGTAAGAAACAATAAAAGATTGGTGTTAGACAGTTTAATACTCCCGTCTCAACAGAAACCATCTTTGTCTACACATTTAACAGTAATTGAAAAGTAAAGGCTAGGCCGGGAATGGTGGTTCACGCATGTAATCCCAGCACCTTGGGAGGCCGAGATGGGCAGATTATCTGAGGTCGGGAGTTCAAGACCAGCCTGACCAACATGGAGAAACCCCATCTCTATTAAAAACACACAAAAAAAATTAGCCAGGCGTGGTGACGCATGCCTGTAATCCCAACTACTCAGGAGGCTGAGGCAGGAGAATCGCTTGAACCCGGGAGGCGGAGGCTGTGGTGAGCCAAGATCGCGCCATTGCACTCCAGCCTGGGCAACAAGAGCAAAACTCCGCCTCAAAAAAAAAAAAAAAAAAAAAAATGGAAAGCAGAGGCTAATACCACTCTATCAAAATACTTCCAAGGGAGTTAAATTTCTATCATTCCAAAATGAAGTTACACATTTGTTTTCCCTAGATACTTCCCTATGAAAATGAATTCCTTTATTGGTAATTTATGTGGGAAATTTTCTAATTTGGTAAAAAGGGCACAAAGAGGTAGTATAACTTTGGTCTAGTCATTTAACCTAGGTAAATAAACAATTTTTCACGTAGACCAAGTGCCCTCCTCTATACCCTTGCTATTCAAAGTGTGGTCCGTAAACCAGCAGAATTGGCAATCACTTGGGAGCTTGCTAGAAATGCCAAATATCAGGCGTACTATACTCCCATATAGGATACTACTAAACCCCAGACCCAATGAATCAGAATCTGCATTTTTAACAAAATACCACGATTTATATACACAATAAAGTTTGAGATGCACCCCCTCTATACAATAAGTACACCTCAATACATTTGACTAAATGATCTTAAGGTCCCTTATAGTTATTTTGCATGAAAAATTATATCCAACATTAAAGCCTATATTCTTGTTCTTTTTTTTTTTGAGATGGTCACCCAGGCTGCAGTGAAGTTGGTGTGATCTCAGCTCACTGCAACCTCCGCCTCCCAGGTTCAAGTGATTCCCCTGCTTCAGCCTCCTGAGTAGCTGGGATCACAGGCACGTGCCACCACGCCTGGCTAATTTTTGTATTTTTAGTAGAGACAGAGTTTTACCATGTTGACCAGGCTGGTCTCAAACTCCTGACCTCGAGTTACCCACCCACCTTGGCCTCCCAAAGTGCTGGAATTACAGGCATGAGCCACTGCCTGAAGCCTATATTCTTATGTAACAAGAGTCAGCTGGAGCTGAGTTAGAGCTGCACTCTCCCTAGCTACCCCAGTCCTCACCTGGCCCTCTCCATCTATTTATGTTAACTGCTTGGCTCCTAGTCAGCAGAATTGAAGAAGTCTGCTTTTCAGTATTTAAAAACAAATAAACAAAAAAATGTTGTCACAGGTAAAAACTCATTAGCTGAATGTTTAGGTAAAAGGAAAAAAAATGTTAATTTACCTTGATGGGAAGTAGTGAGGTCCGGGTAGGAAGTAAGGGTGATGAAAAGAGAATCTTGGTGGTGTCCCGAACAGTGTGGCTGGATGGCCAAGGGGAGGGGGCTGGTAGACATGTGGGTGTGGAATGGGAGAAGCCTGGGGGATTGGAGCACTTCTGGGACAAGGGGAAACGCTGGAATACTCCCTAGGAGGTTGGATGGTCGAAGTTGCAAATCTGGCATGGGCAGTACTTGCACTACTTGAAATCCTGTTGGCGCTCTCTAGAGAGACAGGAGTGGGTTGCTTCACAGTGTGAGTGGCTTCAGAATGCAGCTGATGAGTGTCTGTTTGGGAAGGCCCAGTAAAGCGTTGGGGTGGGAGTGCTGGATAGACAGGTAGACTTGGATCCTGGACAGCCACCTGAGCAGCACTGGAGACGCTGGGCTGGAAAAGTGTGACAGGGCTTGGGCTCTGGACTGCAGGTGTGGGCAGCTGGATAGCAGGTGAGGTTTCACCTTTAGAAATAAAAATAGCATAAATCAAGAATTAACTGAGTCATTCCATGTTTTTCTTCTTTCAGTAAAGTTTAATAAATTGTATAAGCAGAGGCCTTCATCAATCACCTTACCTAACTGCATCATCATATCAAACCACTCTATTTCATTTGCAGCATTTTGAACAAACTGAAGTTATCTTGTTTTCTTGTTCATTTACATTTTTTGTCTCTCTCTCTCAACTAGACTCTAAGTGCCATGAGAAGAGCAACGTTTTCTGTTTCGTTTGCTGCTGTATCCCCAGGGTGAAACATTCTGTCTGGGGCAGAAGAGGCCCTCAACAAATATTTTTTAGATGAATAAACAAATGAATAAAATTATTGATAGATATATTAAAAGACTGAAAACACATAAATGCTGGTATGCATATATACATTTAAAAATAATAATAATATGAAGCTATTGACACTAGTTACCTTTAAGGAGCCATGATCTAAGAGAGGGGACAGGGCAGTGGGGCAGGAGGAAAAGCCAGACTTTCGTTTTATACCTACTGGTACTATCTGAATGTTCTGTTTACCTAAATATATTAATCTTATTTTTAATATTACTAGGGGTTTCAGAGTAGCAGTATGGGTCATTTTTCTTTTCTTTTATAAACTTCTCTATATTAAACTAAATTATAAATGACATTTAATTTTTTTCGTTGAAAAAAACTTAAACAACAAAATTACTTCACTCTATTGTATTCAATATGAATACGAAAGGAAATTTCCAAGTGAGAACAGGACTTGCCACATGTCAACCACTGGTGACAGATACAAAAGGAATACTATTGCAGCAGAGCATGAAAGATATGGCAAAATTTTTAAAGGTAGGTGAAACAATTAATGTGTTTTAGCTTTCTGTTCTGAAGAAGACAGGACTACTGATTGAGCTGCTAAGTGACCCAAATGACACACCTGGTCTAAATTTAATTCAACTTTCCTGAAGAAATACAGATGGATGCCACAGCAAGAGAGTCATGATCTAACGTATTGCAATACAGTTTCGAATCCATTAATAAAGAAGATGCAGTCCAAGAAATTCTGCGGTTGGACATGTCTCTGTCATAGACTGAAAGAAATGTGGATCTTTTCCCAGCCTCATTCAGGTGACTTCCCTCTCCTTTCTTTTCTCCAGATAAAGCAGATAATGCCCCTCTTAAAGCAGGAAGTAGGGAATTAAGGGACATAGCCACCTGTCTGAAGATGGGCTCTGACCCAGTGAAGTAGAGAAACAGGATGTAATGATGCTGCCCTGATTTTCACCTGATGAGGTTATCTGGACTAGCCCCACTATCTGTGAGGCACAGGCCCTACTCAGGCCCTTCCTGATTTATCAAGCATAGGTTAATTTCCCTTGTCCACGTTCCCTCCAAACCTTGTAAACCTATCACCTATCATGAAATAGTGTAAATCTTTGTGATTATTTGCATGTCTGCCACCCCAACCATGATCACCAAACTGGGAGATTGAGAGCAGGAACTCTCAATTTCTATTCGTATCCCAGTATCTAGCCAGAACCTGGTTAATAAAAAATAGTTAAGAAAAGTATGAATGGATACAGCTTTATAAAAGTTCCAAAGCCTTTAAATGAATAGGAATACTCATATAAAAGGAGGATGCTGGCATAACTGGCATCAAAGACATGTAATCAAAGATCTGAAGAGAATTCCACACTACCATGCTATAAGCGAGACAGGGTAGTGGGGTGGCGGGGATCATCTCACCTTCACTCACGTATTTTTCCATACATGCGCACTGACCACCAGACCTTGCAGCACCACCCCCACTGACACCATACCCATTGACCAGACCTTGCAAGCTGTCTGAAAAAACTAAGATAAGCAGCATTCCACCACAAATCTTACTCAAGGGAATTAACTCTATCGCCTGCATGTGCACAAGGGCTGCATGTGAGAATGGCCTCCTGGCAAATTCTAGAATGACGATCTAGAATTAGAATGACGATCCTAACCCCTAGGATTGTAATATTAAAATCTCTAGGATTGAAATACTAAAATCTCCGCCCAGGGAGATTTTCTGATCATGATCAACATATGAGTTAGCATGATTCCTTACTTGTCTGCACACCCTGCACTCCACCTCGCATATGTAATGACACTCAGCTACCTCATGCATTATGCATATCACCCTCCTGAAGACACCATAATGCACTCCCTTGGAGAGCCAGCCAGAGAACCCTTTCTCCTGTGCTGTCTCTCTTAATACCCAATCTTTCCAGGCATAAGCCCTAACAACCCCTGTCTAGGAAAAGTTTGCCTGGCCTCTTGTTAATTTCTATTACACTGAGAGCCAAGAACTTTACGCCAGTAACATAAGCACTTTCAGAAACTAGAAACAGGGTGGGTGCCATGGCTCACATTTGTAATCCCAACACTTTGGAAGGCCAAGATGGGAGAATCACTTGAGTCCAGGAGTTTGAGACTAGACTGGGCAACCTAGCAAGATCCCATCTCTACAGAAAAAAAAAAAGAACTAGTAAGAGAAGAGGAGCTTGGGAGATAGTACTAAATGTGAGTGACAGAGTAAATAATGCACCAGACATAAAAATAATACCAGACAAGTGCTGGGCGTGGTGGCTTATGCCTGTAATCCCAGCACTTTGGGAGGCCGAGGCAGGTAGATCGACTGAGGTCAGAGGTTCAAAACCAGCCTGGCCAACATGGTAAAACCCCATCTCTACTAAAAATACAAAAATTAGCCGGGCTTGGTGGCATGCACCTGTAATCCCAGCTACTCTGGAGGCTGAGGCAGGAGAATTGCTTAAACCTGGTAGGTGGAGGTTGCAGTGAGCTGAGATCATGCCACTGCACTCCAACCTGGGTGACAGAGCAAGACTCTATCTCAAAAAATAATAATAATACCAGACAAGAAAGTAGATTCTATCAAAGAAATAGTAAAAGTAGTTATATTTATATCTATACTTGCTACGACTACCTAACGAACTCTTTGACAGCAGAGACTACAAAAAAACTTTATATGTTGTTCCTAGCAGAGTTTGCCCCATAATAGGATTTAAGAAACCTTAGTAGTGAAGGCGGCAGGTAAGCAGGCAAACAAATGTGCCACTGGAATTTACTCAGAAGATATCTGAGATAAAACTCACTGTTACAGGGGAGAATACCAGATTAAACTGCCAGATTTCGAATATATTTACTGAATATCTTAATGTGATAAAAGTGTACTGGGAAGATCTAGTACAGGACAAGTGATCGATTAGAACAAAAAGGTTTGGTAGAATACACAGTAAAATGAAATCAGCTTGAGGGCCGGGTGCAGTGGCTCATGCCTGTAATCCCTGCACTTCGGGAGGCTGAGACGGGCAGATTACTTGAGTCCAGGAGTTCAAGACCAGCCTGGCCAATGTTGCGAAACCCCGTCTCTACTAAAAATACAAAAATTAGCCAGGCGTGGTGGCGCTTGCCTGTAGTCCCAGCTATTCAGGAGGCTGAGGCAGGAGAATCGCTTGAACCTGGGAGGTGGAGGTTGCAGGGAACCAAGATCACGCCACTGCACTCCAGCCTGGGAGACAGAGTAAGATTCCCTCTCAAAAAAAAAAAAAAAGAAGAAGCTTGATTGAGAGCCAAATAATGGAGAAATATTACTAGAAAATCCATGAATTCAGTGTGTGAAATATTATGCGGTAGTAATCACAACATATTTAAATTTATGATCCTGGCTAAAGAGAAAGTCAAAAAAATCTACGCTGGGGTTATTCAATTTTTGGAATATTGATATTGGCTAGGGAAAAAGGCTGATAGAGATTAAAATAAAAAGTTCATAGAAAAATGGAGATTATTTTACATGACAATGCTAAAAACACAAAAGAAAGAAATGTGCCTCAAAGTCACAGTTACTATGGCTAACTGGCAAAAAAATAAATAAATAAAAAATAACAAAAATAACAACAACAACAACAACAAAACCTTCAAAAGCTTGTCCAAATGTACAAATGAGCCCAACTGCGGTGAGGCAAATGCAAAAAAACTAGGCAGTCCAAAGGAAAATTGAAGGAGCCACACCTGAGAGACCTCAAAGTCAATACTAATTGACTCCAAATATTTTTACAAAAAGGAGAGAATCGGTGGAATTATTTAGTCATTACGGTATAAACAGCAACTGACAGAGAACAGAGAGACTCAATAAATTCCTTTCTCCTAAAGAAGACCTTAAGATTTCTGAACCCTAATTTTCAAAGTAAATAGGTTAAAAATATTAGATCAACTACAGTATAATGACAAGTTCAAAGAATGTTCTAATCCAATTGACAAAAGGAATATAAATAGATCTTAGATGGCATTCACCCAAGAATTTTTTTTTTAAAGAAGAAAACGGACAACAACAACAACAACAACAACAACAACAACAAACCTCTGTCCAGGCATGATGGCTCACACCTGCAATCTCAGCACTTTGGGAGGCAGAGGTGGGCAGATCACCTGAGGTCAGGAGTTTGAAAAACCAGCCTGGCTATCATGGTGAAACCCTACTAAAACTACAAAAATTAGCCAGACATGGTGGTGCATGCCTATAATCCCAGCTACTCGGGAGGCTCAGGCAGGAAAATCACTTGAACCCCGGAGGTGGAGGTTGCAGTGAGCTGAGGTCGCGCCACTGCACTCCAGCGTGGGCAACAGAATGAGACTTTGTCTCAAAAATATATATAAATATAAATATTAAAAAATTTTTTTAAAAAACCTCAAGGGTGGAACTGAGAAAATTTTAGACAAAGTAGGTACAAATGGCTTCTGCCAGAGATTTTTAGAAAATTAACATGACTTCCAGCTATTGAAACTGATGACCTTGACAACTCTAGCTTGGTGAGTCTATTATCTACACCTGAAATGGTGGTGAAATGTATACAGTACGATATTAATGCACAAAGCTTGCTACAGAAAAAGAGCAAATTGTTTTTATATGAGAAAAATCATATACCTCACTATCTTGATATCTTTCTTCCATGGAAATACAGCAAACATGCTTGAAAAACAAAATTACCGTAACTTCATATTTAGAATATGAAATTACTTGAAACAACAAAAAAGTATATACATTAACAACTGTATATGACAAGATATTAAAATTATGATTCCCCAAGATTATAGCACACGAGATGTGTGCTATAATCTGTTCTAACTTAAGCTTCACAAATGATTTAGAATATTAAATATACAGTGAAATTTCCAAATTTGCAAGTGATACTGACCTCTCTAAATAATATAAAGCCAAGTTGATGAGAACAATCTATAAGAATATATTTCAAAGCCATATGATTGGGGAACAAAATAGCAGATAAATTTCATGATTTACTGTTAAGGTGTATATCTTAATAATTCCCAAATTATGCTTATAAGATAATGTTCTCTGTTTATCTTTTGAGATGCAAGAAACAAATTTGTTTGTTTGTTTTTAGAGACAGCGTCTTGCTATGTTGCCCAGGCTAGTCTCGAACTCCTAGGCTCCCAAAGCACCAGGATTACAGGCATGAGTCACCACAGCTGGCCCAAGAAATAAATCTTTACTGACACTACATGTCACCAGAAATAAGAGATATTGTAAAAAACAAAACAAAAAACTAAGCACAAACAAAAAAATCATTCTTGTCTTAGATTTGATTACTGTTGTGCATAGCTCTGAAGTGCTTCCTATAATTCTGCCTACCATACTTAAATACAACATCATGGAGAAAGAACCCTACCAACATTAGAAGAAATCTTCCAGTTTCTACTAAACCCTTATCTTTGCTCAGAATGGCATAAAATTAATGTATCAAATGTCAACTGTTTCAAATAAGAACGTTGTTAATTCTGTTTCTGGGAAGAGAAAATATACAGCATTTAACAGTGGGTAGAAGCAGATGTAAGTGAGGTCTTGGAAAAAGGGATAAAAAGAAGAAAATTATATTATGAAAACAGAAATCATAACATAACACAGGCTGGGCATGGTGGCTCACCCTGTAATCCCAGCACTTTGGGAAGCCAAGATGGGTGGATCACTTGAGGCCAGGAGTTCGAGACAAGCCTGGCTAACATGGTGAAACCCCATCTCTACTAAAAATACAAAAATTAGATGGGCATGGTGGTGTGCACCTGTAGTCTCAGCTACTCGGGAGGCTGAGGTGGGAGAACTGCTTGAACCCAGGCGTCAGAGGCTGCAGTGAGCCGAGATCGCGCCACTACACTCCATCTTGGGTAACGGAGCAAGACTCTGTCTTAAAAAATAAATAAATAACATAACAGAAAAACAAGGTAAGTGAACAAAGTCATAATTAAGCCTGGGTTGAAATACAAGATTAAAGAAGTCACTACCAAACAGTGAAGACTGAGAGTGCCTGCCTGTGCTAGGACAGAACAGGGCTATAGGATCAGCTTTCTGCATCTCTCTCTTGAGTCTAGACATCTGGAATGTAGCTTGTTGCTATCAATTGCTAAAATGATACATTAAAAAACAACAACAACAACAACACTGAAAATGCCTAAGATTCTAAGAAGTCAGTTTCCAAGGTATCTAAAACTCTCAGCTCATATGGGTGGCTTTATTACCAGAAGGATTTAAAGAGGTTAAAAAAAAATAGAAAAAGCAGGTTTACGCAGTCTTAGTAGGTTTAAGAAAGTGGGCCAGATATGGTGGTTCACACTTATAATCCTGGCACTTTGAGAGGTCAAGGTGGGTGGATCATTTGAGCCCAGGATTCGACACCAGCCTGGGCAACATGGCAAAACCCCATCTCTAAAAAAATACAAAAATTAGCCAGGCATGGTGGTGTGCACCTATAGTCCCAGCTACTAGGGAGCCTGAGGTGGGAGAATCACTTGAGCCCAGGAGGGCAAGGCTGCAGTGACCTGTGATGCTGCCACTGCACTCCAGCCTGGGCAACAGAGTGAGACCCTGTCTGGAAAAAAAAAAAAAAAGTGACAGCAAGTAGTGAATGTATAAAGCTCTCCCTTAAAGATGGTTAAAACATGTTCTGGGGGCCAGGCGTGGTGGCTCACACCTGTAATCCCAGCAGTTTGGGAGGCCGGGGCGGGCAGATCATCTGAGGTCGGGAGTTCCAGACCAGCCTGACCAACATGGAGAAACCCCATCTCTACTAAAAATACAAAATTAGCCGGGTGTGATGGTGCATCCCTGTAATCCCAGCTAGTCGGGAGGCTGAGGCAGCAGAATTGCTTGAACCCAGGAAGCGGAGGTTGTGGTGAGCTGAGATTGCACCATTGCTCCAGCCTGGTCAACAAGAGCGAAAACTCCATCTCAAAAAAAAAAAAACTGTTCTGGAAAAACAAACCAATGATGGATAGCCCTATAACAAGTTATTAAGATATTAGGTTGTCAATTTTTGGTTCTTAAAATCAGTAACAGGAATGTAAAGAACTCAGAGGAGACATTTAGAGAGATTAATATAATGAACCAAACAAATATTTGGTAGAAAATAGATTACTTCCACTGCTTTTCTAGAGCAGTGAGAGAATGGTCTCAACAAATCAGTATCATTACTAAGTTCCAGGACAGGATGCCTCATACCCCATTAGCAAGGCAGTCTTTTATGCTGTTAGTAAAAAGACTCTCCTTTTTCCTATTGAATTACCTCAGTTATTTCCTGCATTATCTGCCTAATCTATGGGCTCATCCTGATTTGCTTAAAAGGTCTGAGGTTTTACACATGGATTATTTGCTACTCTGGCAAACCAAGTGTTTTGATCTCTACTGAAATTTTTCCTTCTCCTATTTAATGTTCTCACTTTCCCTCTTCTTTTTTTCTTAACATTGTTGTTCCAAATTCTTAAGACTAACAGAAAGAACACTTCAAACTTGAGGTAAAATTTTCTTGCAGCTATTTAAAAAATAGTAATCTACAATAAAACTAACTCACCAACTGGATGAGTGATGGGATTCTGTAGGCTGGGAATTACCACAGAGTACGTAGGTGAGCGGTAAGGATAAACTGTTGTAGGATTTGTAGAGATGATATTCTGTGTGGTACCAGAAAATACATTGGAAACACTTAGAGGGAATCGTTTTCGCTTCCCTGGACGAGGCTGATAAACCCAACCTATAGAAGACAAAATATGTTTAAATGTGTAGACTCCATTTAGCCTTTAAATAATTTTTTTCATACTAAAATGCAAAGCACTTTAAAGTGTTTTAAAAACAAATTATTGTCTAAAGTATCTTTTCCAGCTCCGGGATATTATTTCAGTGAATGACTTCTCCACTGTGTATTTTAACATACATATCCAAATAGCTCCTGACTAGTGGCCAATGTTATAACTCATCATTGAAAAGAAGAGGGTCAAATTTTTTTTTTTTTTTTTTGAGACGGAGTCTTGCACTGTTGCCCGGGCTGGAGTGCAATGGCACAATCTCGGCTCACTGCAACCTCCGCCTCCCAGGTTCATGTGATTCTCCTGCCTCAGCCTCCTGAGCAGCTGGGATTACAGGTGCATGCCACCACACCCGGCTAATTTTTTGTATTTTTAGTAGAGACGGGGTTTCTCCGTGTTGGCCAGACTGGTCTTGAACTCCTGACCTCGTGATCCGCCCGTCTCGGCCTCCCAAAGGCTGGGATTACAGGCGAGAGCCACTGCGCCTGGCCAAGGGTCAAATGTTTTATAACCAATGACACAGAATGAACCTGTAGTAGAGTCAACATCAAAACCGCTGTATTTGAATCCCAAAGCCTTTCCTCCACCTTATCAAATAATGCCTCACTATGACATTATTCATCTCATTTCCTCACTTTCTGTAAGTTACAATCATCTATATCTTACAATGCAATAGTCACTAATGATCAGTCACTATTTTTTTTGAGACAGAGTCTCACTCTGCCGCCCAGGCTGGAGTGCAGTGGCACGATCTCGGCTCACTGCAAGCTCCACCTCCTGGGTTCATGCCATTCTCCTGCCTGAGCCTCCCAAGTAGCTGGGACTACAGGTGCCCAACACCATGCCCAGCTAATTTTTTTATTTTTTTTTTTAGTAGAGATGGGGTTTCACTGTGTTAGCCAGGATGGTCTTGATCTCCTGACCTCGTGATCCACCCACCTTGGCCTCCCAAAGTGCTGGGATTACAGGTGTGAGCCACCGCGCCTGGCTGATCAGTCACTAATTTTGTGCCTAGTTCAAGAAGAGTCACTCTCCTAAACTCAGCAATCTCCAAGTCCACAAATAACTTAATTTCTTCCAAAGTCAGAACAGTGGAACTATGGCATTTGCAGCCACTGTGTAATCAGAACAATCACTGGTTCACTGTAGTTGCTGCCTCTGACCTTCATTACTAGAACCTCTCTGCCAATATTTCAGAAAATAATAAGTTTTGTCCCACCTTGCACAGACATGCTGGCCATGCACTGTGCATTTTCCAAGCTTAATCCCAATGTTCCCACTGCTAGGGAGAAATCGGACTCCTTTCACACTATATCATGACAGGGCTAAATCTATCAATCAGAAGGCAGGACTATGTTCTGACAATCATATGTTAAAATGGAATATGGTGACAATCCCTGCATTCTCATTAAGCGTAGACTGCATTTTTTTTCTGTTGCTATCATTTTAACACTTCTATAGTTTACTTGCAAAATTATAGCCTAAAGCTTTCAAGATGTACTTTCATTAAACTTACATCTATCTAAATCAAAACCACAATAAAACTGCGTGTCCTCTGATTTGTATGAGTTGGTGAATATGAAATCAGATATCCCTTTGCTTGGTTCTATTTAAGGAAACTCATGCCCAGTGTCATTTCAATCATTGTTATAATATTAGTCATTATTCTCTTTATTGTACATATCAGAAAAAAATTATATATTTTTGTCTTTCAATCTCAACCTACCCTAATCTTTAACTAAATAAATTCATTTAAAAGAAGTAAGAGGCATTATTTAATTTGATTACCAGGAAATTCCTCTCTGTGCTTTTCCTTAATCTTTTGTGCTTCATCGTAATAGGGTTTCTTTTGTTCTTCACTAAGTTTGTTCCACTCTAACCCAAGCTGGACACTGATTTCTGCATTGTTGGCTGCTGGGTTAGCTTTGGCTAGTGCTGGTCGGTGGATCCTTGCCCAAACCATAAATGCGTTCATGGGTCGCTTCACATGACCATTTCTGTCCTTACTGAAGGGAGTATCTGGTATGCCTACATGACAAAAATTAAAAGGCTAAATTAATGTGCCATACACACACACACACACAATTTTAAGGTAAAGTGCACCTCCGTCTATACTTATTTTTGAAATATCTGGAGGAAATATACACTTCAATATAACCAAAAAAACCTGCCAGTATTCCACAATTCCTTACATCCCCTGAACTCATCATTCTGAACTGTAGTTTAGAATGACTCCTTTTCCTCAAAGAGGATAATATTGTTGAAGATAACTGTGGCAATAATCATGTTGAAGAGAGTAAATTGTTGGCTTATTACTTCTTTGATCTGTATTATTAGTACCTCTAACAATAATTAACATTTATTTATTTACTACTAAAAATATTCTACCATTAAGGAACAGGAACCATGCATGACTTACTCGTGACTATAATCTTAGCTAGGTAGAGGTTCTCTAAACATTCACAGGAACTCATCTACATGCTGCTCTTGTGTCCTTTCAAGCAAAACTATTTATAATATTGTAATACTATATTAGTTGTATTTCACTACGAAGGTGAAGCTCTTACCAAGTGGAATCATCAACACTAGTCCTGTGTCCTGGGAGAAAAATGAAAGAAAACAATAAAAATAATTTTTTGGGCCAGGTACGGTGGCTCACGCCTGTAATCCCAGCACTTTGGGAGGCCAAGGCAGGTGGATCACGCGAGGTCAGGAGTTTGAGACCAGCCTGGCCAACATGATGAAACCCCATCTCTACTGAAAATACAAAAATTAGCCAGGCGTGGTTGCTCATGCCTGTAGTCCCAGCTACCTAGGAGGCTGAGGCAGGAGAATCGCTTGAACCCAGGAGGTGGAGGTTGCAGCGAGCTGAGATCACGCCACGGTACTCCAGACTGGGCAACAGAGTGAGACTCAGTCTCAAAAAAATAATTTTTTGAAAGTCACAGAAGGCAGGTAAAATGGCTCACACTTGCTTCTGACCTTCATTCCTAGAACCTCTCTGCCAATATTTCAGAAAAAAAATGACAGAAAATAATAAAAGTAATTTTTTTGAAAGTCAGAGAAGGCAGCCACAATGGCTCACACCTGTAACCTCAGTACTTTGGGAGGCCAAGGCGGAGGACTGCTTCATCCCAGGAGTTCGAGACCAGCATCTCTTTTTCATAAAATAAAATTTAAAAAAAGAAAGTCACAGAGCCAGTTGAAATTTCAACAAAGGAAGTTATCTAAATTCACATCTCTCATGTATTTTATCAAAAATAACTGTCCATAAATTTATTATATTATTTTAGGATTACTTCATATATTAAAAATTTCTTAAAAACACTAAAGATGAAATAAGTAGTATAAAGAAAGCTTTCCCTTTCTTTCCTTTAGAAAACAAAAATAAAATCTAAAAACTACTAAAGATAAAAGCAACAGGGTGGAGTGGAGAGGAAGAATCAACACAGAAAATTAAAAAAACAATAAAACATAAAGTTAATAAAAATATGAACCAAAGATTAATATGACTTTCCAAGATGTTCATTGGCAAAGTGTTCTGTGTGAACTAAATCTTAAAATAAGAATTTGCTAACTATATATCTGGAAATACTGAATAGAAATAAAAACATTATTTGTACTTGTTACTGCTGCAACTAGTCATTTCTTTAAAAATAATATTTATGGCTCATTCTACTGTATTCTTTTCAATATTTCTATAAGTCATTACCTTTCAGAGGAATAAACCCTAAAATATTACATTGAATCACGTATTGTTTTCTGCTAGAATATTTATTATTCATTTTTAAAGATAGCCTCTATAATCGGTATAAACTTTCCTGTTTAATTATAATCACTTTTTTCATTCAACACCATTATTTCTTCTATTTCTTGATACATATAAAAGTACTGAGCTGTTATACTACAATATTTTTAATCTTGATTATTTGTAGCATATAAACTGAGGGCTATGCGCTGTCTAGCAAGAATATTTCTATTTTTGTGTACAAAAATTAGTCCTATCTAAATACTGGGCCTTAAAATCGATTTTTTAAAAAATACTTGAGAATCTTGAAGGCATTCGTGTATTTTACTGCTATATGTACAAGTCGATCAGAAGTGATACCTGTGCAGACTCTGCCCTGAAAACAATCAGTTCCATTACTTTACTTTTGTAGTTTAGACTTGGGAACTGCTGACAAAACAGCTATGGGCAACACAGACGCAGTTTTGAAAACCCGACTCCCCTGCTGTCTAATACCTGCATCTGAGGGCAACACGGTGAGCGGGACATCTTTGGTTTCAATTTTTACAGAAGGCTCCAGTAGGGACTGCATTTTAGTAGGCACTGGTGTCAGGGGGACCTTGGTCAATCTTATCAGCTCTGAAGGCGGAGCTCCCTGAAACTGGATCCGGGCCCCAGGGGGGACCGTGTGGAGCGTCAAAGGGATCCTAAGGTCTTGCTGGTGCGGCCCAAAGGCACCGGACGTTGGGGCCAAGATGACCTCCGCGCTGCCATGAACCAGGCCATTGGACGCGGGCTCCGCGCCGAGCCTGCAGTCCTCGAGGAGTCTCTCGGGTTCCTCCGTTTTGATCACACCTTCTCGGATGGCTGCCGGGCTTTTGCCTGCCCCGCCTTGCATCGAGTCTCTCATGACCTCCTCCGCCTCCAGCTTGCCCTTCTCGTCCCCTCGGAAGTAGCCGAGGGCCGGCCCGGGGCCTTCCAACTTGACCACCCTGGAGGCTCTAGGACCGGTTTCGACGGCCCCTCGAGGCCCCACTGACTGATCCAGGCTGGGCCCCAGCTTCTGCTTCTTGGCCTTGACATGCAGCGCCAGGGGCTGCACCGGGTGCAACTCGGGCCTGGAGGTGGCGCCGTCTGACGCTGTCGGCGGCTGCAGGAGCCGCAGGTCGGGCCTGAACTGCAACAGCCGCGCCTGCGCGGACGAGGCAGCGGCTTCCTCGTTCTGGGCCTGAGGCTGTGGTAGCAGCAACACCTGCTCTGGCTTCACCTGCAGCAGCCGCCGCACCGCGGGCTGTAAGCCGGACGCCACTGCCTCCCCGCACGACGAGGCCAAGGTCGCACTGGCTGCCGCGCTCAGTGTGGGAGACGACGGAGGGGGCTCCATGGCTGCTGCCCAAAAGGAGGTGCCCTCGACCGGCAGCGGGGGCGGAGCGGGACGCAACGGGCGCGGCTGAGGCGGCGGCTCGGGTCTGGCTCTCTCCATGGGGGAGGGGGACGCCCCGGCCAGGATTGTGAGCTCAGCCGTTTGTTGGCGACCTTCCCCCTCCCCCTTTCGGTTAAGAGCCTTGCAAGGCCTTTGCTACCCAGAACCCTACGCGGTTCAAAACGCAGCTGTCTGTCTGGGCCTCACCCAATCACAACGACCGATACCCGTGGACGGCCAATCACAGGCGGGTTTTCCGGCTCTTCCTGGTCCCTACTCTCGCCTCGTGCTGAGTCCTCGAATCACCTGCCATGGTAGGAGCCGCCGCACTTGTTGCACATTTTCGTTCTGACTCTCTTGTGGAGTTCTCTTACAGCCGTTGTCTTTAGTCATCCCTCCCCCACCCGGAGCTGCGACAATGGCGTTGCCCAGGAAACGTTGCGCTTCCAGGCCGCTGACATCCAGGGAATGAAGTCTTGCGTCACAAGGGGAGCGACGGCCTTGTGCACGCGCTCTGTGCGGCCTGAGTAATCTGTCGGCCCTGAGTACCACCAGGGCTTTTGAATCTTTGCCAAGGGAGAATGGGGAAGATTTTGCAACTTATCAATAACCTATTAGCTAATGTTGCTGGGGAGGATCTTCGACTTTGTGTGATTATTGTGCTAAAGTTTCAATTAATCACCAGGCCCTGTGGCCCTACTTCCAAAATACTATACATCCCAAATTCATCCACTGTTTTGTGTCTCTACCTGCCATTATCCTGTTCCAGGCTCCCAGCATCTTTCACTGGGATACTGCCGTAACCCTGTAAATAGTCTCCCTGCTTGTCACCCTTGCCCCACTACACTCCAGCTGCCAGTGATCTTTCGAAAACGCAAATCTAAGGTTGTCACACTTTTCCTAAACTTTCCATGGCTCCCCACTGATAATGTAATGAAAGTCTAAAATTCTTAGCAAAGCCTTAAAAATCCCCCAGTGGCTTGGGATCTAACCTCCTACTACTGCTACTATTAGATTGGTGCAAAAGTAATTGTGGTTTTTGCCATTAAATAGTTATTGAGTCTTTGGGTTTCAGCCACATTGGCCCCATCATCATTCTCTTTCTACTGCAGGGTGTTTAAACATGCTCAGCATGCTACTCTTTCCTTTGTGTCTCCTTAATTCCTCCTGCACATTTTTCATATTGCAGCTCAACTGGGACTTCTTCAGAGAAGCTTTTACTGACTCTGAAAATCAGATAAAATCTTGGTCTACTTATACCTCTATCACTTGGTTTGCTTACCACAATTTGTAATTAGAATTTTCATGTGATGATTCCACTGCCTCTCCCACTTTAGACTATAAAGTCCTTGAAGGCAGAACAGTTTGTGTTTTGCCCATCACTGAATCCACAATGCAGACCATTGAGCCTGGCATATAGTACTCAATAAATACTTGTTGAATAAATAAATGAATAGCGACTGTGATAGGGTAATAATAAAATAGTAATAATCACTACCTGTGTTAAGGGCTTACTCTTATGCTAGACACTGTTCCAAATCCTTTCCATGTTTATGTTTCTCCTTTTAGTAGGATTGTGTTTATTTCCATTAAACATCACCAAGAAAAACAAAAAGAAATCCTGTATTAACATTTGCTGCATTTCTAAATGACATTCTGGCCAAAAACTATAGTTTATCTTGACGTAGATGATTTTTGCAATCAAGACAAGTTATCACTCAAAGACCACTCCAATTTATTGTCCAATCCTCTGGTAACAAATGTGGTCAGTAGGAGTTCTTATACCTGGCAGATAGACAAGGGCAATGGTTTTCAAACTTTTATCTCAAGAACTCATTATACCCATAAAAACTATTGAAGATCCTGGGCTGGGCGTGGTGGCTCACTCCTGTAATCCCAGCACTTTGGGAGGCTGAGGCAGGCGGATCACTTGAGGTCAGGAGTTCGAGACCAGCCTGGCCAACATGGTGGAACCTCGTCTCTACTAAAAATAAAAAATTAGTTGGGCATGGTGGCACATGCCTGTAATTCCAGCTACTCGGGAGGCTGAGGCAGGAGAATCGCTTGAACCTGGGAGGCAGAGGTTGCAGGAGCCGAGATCGTGCCACTGCACTCCAGCCTGGGCAACAGAGCAAGACCCTGTCTCAAAAAAAAAAAAAAAAACTATTGAAGATCCCAAAAAAGCTTTTGTTCATGTGGATTTCATCTATCAATATTTACCATGTTGTAAATAAAAACAAATTTTAAAGATAGCAACTCATTTAAAACGTCAACAATAAAACCATTCTGTGGTAACACATTTTCATAGGAAAAAATTATATTTTCCCCACCTTATGCTCACAAGAGAATGAAGTGAAAAGAGCAAATATTACATTAGGATTATTATGAAAATAGTTTTAACCTAGCTGACTCTGTAAGTGTCAGTCCCCATACCACACTTTGAGAACCACTGTACTAGGGTTTAAATGGGAGAGGCAACTGTATGCATGAGCAAAAGCTGATAAAAGAGGCAAATAAGTTGTCAGAGGTGTGTGAACCAGAGCACCTCCATCTTGAGTAGGTGCTGGGTAAAATGAGGCTGAAACATACTGGGTCGCATTCCCAGACAGTTAAGGCATTCTAAGTCACAGGATGAGATAGGAGGCTGGCACAAAGTACAGGTCATAAAAACCTTGCTGATAAAACGGGTTGCAATAAAGAAGCTGGCTAAAACCCACAAAAACCAAGATGGTGATGAGAATTACCTCTTGTCATCCTCACTACTACACTCACACTGGCAGCATGACAGCTTACAGATGCCACTGCAATGTCAGGAAGTTATCCTATATGGTCTAAAAAGGGGAGGCATGAAAAATCCACCCCTTGTTTAGCTTATCATCAAGAAATAACCATAAAAATGGGCAACCAGCAGCCCTTGGGGTTGCTCAGTCTATGGAGTAGCCATTATTTTATTCCTTTACTTTCTTAATAAACTCGCTTTCACTTTACTTTATGGACTCGCTCTGAATTCTTCCTTGTGCGAGATCCAAGAACCCTCTTTTGGGGTCTGGATCTGGACCCCTTTCCTGTAACTTCTTTCTGGTGACCCAGGTGGGATTATAGTGTGTAAGCCCCCAGTAAGTGGTGAGGTCCTGTAACATCTTTCTGGCAACTATGGAATGGACTGCAGTATGGAAACCCCGACCCAAAGGCTAACTTTGGGTAAGTGGTGGGGTCCGGTAACATCTTTCTGGTGAACCCTAAAGGGACGATACTTAGGAGACTCCTGACTCAAAGGAAATAGACTATAGCACTGATTGGACAATTTTGGATAAGTGGTGGGGTACCCAGATAAAGAATGGGATTGGGTTAGAAGCCCAACTTAGGAGGGTTAGAGTCCCTTCTAAGATTTAGGGGGCTAGAAGCCCCTCTCGGTAAAGTCCCCTTTGGCTAAGAACAGGTTTGGCACTACGGTATGTTAACTTCTATTCTCCTTGGAATAATCTGCCTTGTACTCTTTGCTGATGGATGCGGATGACAGGGTTAGGCAGGTACAGGATCATGGGACATGAGGAGCTTTTTCCTCCCGTAAAGGGGAAACTTGAGAGTCGATGGGACTGCTGGAAAACATCCCTTCACTACCGAGAAGTGGCCACCTGAACTCTTCACTGTCGCTGCAGTGGGTGGATCTTTCTGTGGCTTCCCTGAACGCCTGGCCTTCCCCACCTTGCCTCAGGCAATGCTGTCGTCTCTCTCTGTGCAAACTGGTTGTAGGAATGGTAAAAATCACTATTTCTTACAAAGTTTTGATTAATGGAAGAAAGGATTTGTGAGGCTAGTCTTAAGCTGTAGCCAATCTGGTGTGTTTCCTGTGTCATTCTGTATTGTTCTGTCATAAAGAGGGGTACCTTAGGATAGAACATGGGCTTAGGACACCTATAAGCCTGCTGTTCAAGATGGCCCAGCAAACTGGTCAGTTAAAAACTTTGCTGCAGGTCCGTGAAAAAAACTGGATGAGGTTTCCCTCTTGTCTTGTATGTCCTTGGGAGCTTGACCTTGTAACCATGTGGCTGTGCTTTCTCTTTCACAGTGGTGGCCCGGGTTCAGGGTTCAATTCCCATCTTAGGAGATGAGTCCTTTATCTTTTGTCTGTGTATTTATGTGTATCATGTGTGTGGTGCTTGTATATAACAGAGGTTTGATTAATCGGTTAAAAATAATAAGTGCTTCAGTCATATTTTTGTGAGAAAAATTAAACATATAATGCCTTTTATATAGTTCATGTGACTTAAGTAATCTTTGGGAAATGAAGACAGTTTTAAAGATTATTGGTAAAATAAAAATATCTTAAAATGTAAACATTTGGTCTAAATTATGCAGGTCAGATATTAGGTTTGCTAAATGCTTTAAGTTCATAAGCTGCTGCTTTCACTTTTGAAAATTGTTTAATTTACCTACTTTGACCATATTAGAGTCTAGATAAGGCCTGGGGACATGTGATGTTAGCCATACCCCAAGCAATGCTAGAAAAAGTCAGACCTTATCTGCACTTCTGTCTGTGTCCTAGGCTGCACACCTAGTACATAATTAAAATGCTTACCAACCAGGGTTTTCACCAAAAGTAAAAATCGCTGAAAGTTAACATTGTAACATGTAATTGAGACTACTGAAGAATAGTTCTACACATAAGGTGTGTAAGGAAAGTGAAATGTGTTTTTGGTAAAAGATCATTAGAAGTCATGAGAATGTAAATTTTCTTCCTTAGATTAAATGGTTAAATTATTGTTTTAAGTTAGATAGAATGAAGCTGAAGGTTTAAGAAAGTTTTGGAAAGTGTGAAAAATTAATTGTAGGACATTCTGTGTGTGAATATATTAGTTAAAGTTAAAGGGGTATTCAGTTTTTCTATAAATTAAACATTGGAATAAAAGCACAAGTTTTTTTAGAGCAAAAACCTGCTATGATTTGCTCTTTAACAAAAATATGTAAAGGGTTATAAAAGGTTTGTGAGAATCTTACCTTATAGTCAAACTGATTAAGATTGAATACATTTGTCTATAAGGTTTTATAAAGAATTGGGTTTGTCATCAATAATGCACTAATGCAAGAGTCACATTTGGCTTATTTGGTACAAAAACCACACAGGAAGCATTATCAAATGTAAAATGGTGTTTGGATTTTTGGGGGCTGTAATTGTATAAATGTATTATTGGTATATATTGAAAATTATTTTTAAAAGTCTTATAATTCTGATATGACTTGGTGTATATTGTGAATAATTATAATTGTTACATAAAATCATTGTATACCACAGAAGGAAGCAAATTTCCTTATCAATTGAGACTTTAATAGTGGCTGTCCTAAGACTTTTTGTCATCCACACACAATTGTTGTCTTTTAATCCTCTTCAAAAGTTGGTTTATAATCAACTGTAGAACTCTAACAGGTGTTCTTAAATGCAGATTTCTGATAACTTTGGAAATTGTGATATTAAAATAAAGGAAAACACTTTCAGAATACTCATGGAGAGCTGAAATGTTCAGGAATATCAAGCAGAACAGAAGTTAACTGCATTGACTGAACTAATAGAAGACTAAAGTAATCATTTTAACTTTGCTTAAAATGCTGCTGATCCTTTGTTTTGTTTTTCAGAGTCAAGGAAACTTATCTTTTGAGCTATTTGCAGCTTGTAGCAATTGAGTAAAGTATATTGCTGTGAATAACATTTGAAGCATATTTAGTTCTCTCTACCTAATTTCTCCAGAATGTGGAAACTATTTGTGAGTATTCTTACATTATGGCAATATAGTTATTTGCATAAGTGCAATAAGAACCTCTTTTCTTTTGCAACAGGACACAATTGGAAACAGTGGTTATTTTACCAACGCTTTGACTGGAATGGCACGTTTTCCTTTAAGGAATCAAACTTGACTTGTAAAGCCAATAAAAGCCCCTTGGGGAATTGGCCTCAGACCTTGTCTACAACAGCCCCTGTACAGGGTTTCTGACCTGTGGTAAGTAAAGAATGTCACTTTCTACAGGTCCAGGATCCCCAGGTTATCTTGGGACCCCAAGAGGAGGGGAATTTACTCATCTCATAGGTATTTGAGGGTACAAACCTATGGCAGGGCTCAGCTCTGAAAAAGTCTTATCTGAGATTCTTTCTATGGAATAAAGTTGCATCAAAACCAATTTAAAAAGTGGTTATGTAAAAAATAATTATTCTCATTGCACTTTATACAACTAATCAGGCCAATTATAGTAAAGCAAATCAGTCTTACCGTGATTTGTCTTTAGTAAAAATGGGAAACTGGAGAGAGAAATTATGTTTCAGAAACTGTGGTACACTTGTTATTAAATTCTAGTCTCATCAGTTGTTTTTAAGTTTGTTTCTGCAATTTAGGCTAACCCTGCTTATTCCTCTGAACCAACTAGTGACATCTGACTGCTGCTCAGAAGAAACAAGAGGGATGGGTAATGTAAAAATCTAAATCAGTATTCTAATTCTGAGCACACTTATGAATCTTCCAGATATCACCTTTTGTCAAAACTCGGAGTTATGAATTGCCCTCGCCATACTGATGCTTTCTGACTGAGCTCCTCTCTACCCTGAATACAAGAGACTCTCATAGTTAAGCAAGAATATCATTGCTCCTATTCAGCATGAAGAAGTTACAGAAGATGGATTTTCAACCCTCTGCAACCCTTAGGATTAAAATTATACAAACCTTTAGGATTATAAAAGGGAGGGGGTAATGTCAGGCGTGTGAACCAGAGCAACTCCATTTTGAGTAGAAGCTGTGTAAAACGAGGCTGAAACCTACTAGGCTGCATTCCCAGACAGTTAAGGCATTCTAAGTCACAGGATGAGATAGGAGGCTGGCATAAAATACAGGTCATAAACAGCTTGCAGATAAAACAGGTTGCAGTAAAGAAGCTGGCTAAAACCCACCAAAACCTAGATGGTGACAAGAGTCACTTCTTATCATCCTCACTGCTACACTCCCACCAGTGCCATGATAGTTTACAGATGCCATGGCAACATCAGGACATTACCCTATATGGTCTAAAAAGGGATGCATGAATAATTCACCCCTTGTTTAGCATATCATCAAGTACTAACCATAAAAATGGGCAACCAGCACTCTGTCTATGGAGTAGCCATTCTTTTATTGCTTTACTTTCTTAAACGTGCTTTCACTTTACTCTGTGGACTCATCCTGAATTCTTTCTTGTGTGAGATCCAAGAACCTTCTCTTGGGTTCTGGACCTGGACCCCTTTCCTGTAACATCTTTCTGGTGACCCAGATGAGCCTATAGTGCAGATATTCCCAGTAAGTGCTAGGATCCTGTAACGTCTTTCTGGTGACCATGGAATGGTCCCACTATACTGTGGAAACCCCCAACTCAAAGGCTAACTTTGGGTAAGTGGTGGGGTCCAATAAGAAAGTTAGTGTTAATTTTGTGCAAGGTTTCAGTTCATATTCTGATTTCAGTTATCAAAATGTAATTGACAATAGATGCATGGGTGTATTTCTGAACTCTCTGTTCTGTTCCTTCCATTCCTTCCATCTATGTACTATAAACCAAAAGTATCTGAGGCAAGCCTTAATCAATTTAGAAGTTTATTTTGCCAAGGTTAAGGACATCCCCGTGACACAGCCTCAAGAAGTCCTGACAACATGTCACCAAGGTGGTCAGGCTACAGCTTGCTTTTATACATTTTAGGGAGACATAGGACATCATTCAATACTGTAAGATGTACATAGCTTCAGTCCAGAGAGGTGTGACAACTCAAATCAGGGCTTCCAGATCACAGGTGGATTCAAAGATTTTCTGAATGGCAATTGGTTGAAAGACTTATCTAAAGACCTAGAATCAACAGAAGGGAGTGTCTGGGTTAAGATATGGGGTTGTGGATACCAAGGTTCTTATTATGCAGATAAAGCCTCCAGATAGTAGGCTTCAGAGAATATCAGACCTAAAAAGTCTATTCTGTCAGTCTGAAAGTCGCTGTTTCTATGTTAATGCTGGTCAGCTGTGCCTGAATTCCAACGGGAGGAATGTTTAATGAGGCATGTCTGACCACCCATTCCCATTGTAGCCTGAGCTAGTGTTTTAGGTTTACTTTAAAATGCCCTAGCCTGGTGCAGTTGTTCATGCCTGCATTCCCAGCACTTTGGAAGGCTGAGGCAAAAGTATTGCTTGAGTCCAAGAATTTTAGACCGACATGGGCAACGTGGCAAAATCTCGTCTCTACAAAACAATACAAAAATTAGCCAGGTGTGATGGCCTGTGCCTGTAGTCCTAGCTACTCGGGAGGCCGAGGCTGGAGAATTGCTTGAGTTCAGGAAGCAGAGGTTGCAGTGAGCTGAGACTGCACCAGTGCACTCCAGCCTGGGCAACAGAGTGAGACTCTGTCTCAAAAATATAAAATAAAATAAAATAAAATAAAGTAAAGTAAAATAAAATAAAATATAAAATAAAATAATAAAATATAAAAAATATACCCTTGGCCAAAAGGAGGGGTCCATTTCATTGGTTGGGGAATTTAGAATTTTATTTTTGGTTTACAGTATCTCTTTTTTTTTCTTTTGTTACAAATGGGGTTCTTACTCTGTTACCCAGGCTGGATTATAGGCATGAGTCACCGTGCCAAGCTATATACATATTTTTATGCCAGTACCACAGTCTTGATTACTCTAGCTTTATGGTAAATTTTGAAATTTTGAAATCATGTAAGTCCTTGAACTTTGTTCTTTCATTAAATCATATTGGCTTTTCTTGGTCCTTTGGATTTAAAAGATAAATTTTAGGTTCATCATATCAATTTCTTTTAAAGCAAACCCTAATGGTATTTAGATAGAAATTATATTGAATCTATGGATCAATTTTGGGAAAACTGACACCTTGATGATACTGTATTTTCCTATTTGCAAACATGGGACATATCTCCATTTATTTAGGTCTTAATTTCCTTTGACAATGTTTTATAATTTTCAGTGTACTGTCCTGTACTTCTTTCATTAACTTTATTTCTAAATCCTTTATTCTTTTTATGCTATTTGTGAATGTAATTTTTTAAAATTTCCTTTGCAGTTGGTTGTATGTTGATTTTTGTATTTTTATTTTCTTACCTTATTGCACTGGCTGGAACTTTTAGTCCAAGGTTAAATAGAAGTGGTGAGAGTGTACATCCTTTTGCCTTGCACCCAGTCTTAGGAAGAAAGCATCCAGTCATTCACCTTTAAGCATGTTGTTAGTCATAGGTTTATGTAGCTGCCTTTTATCAAAGTAAGAAAGTTTCCTTCTATTCCTAGTTTATTGAGAATTCTACCATGAATAGTAGTTCAATTTTATCAAATGCTTTGTCTGTGTCTATTGAGATGATTATATGGCTTTTTCCTTTAAGGGTCAGCAACATTTTCCAGAAAAGGCTATATAGTAAATATTTTTGGTTTTGTGAGCCATATGAGCTCTGTTGCAACCAATCAACTCTGCTTTGTAGCAGAAAGCAATCATAGACAATATGCAAATGAATGGGCTTGGCTTTGTTTCAGTAAACTTTATTTGCAAAAACAAATGTCATGCCAGATTTGGCCCAAGGGCTATAGTTTGCTTTTGGCTATAGTTTGCTGACCACTGATTTATTCTATTAATATATGTATTACATGAATTGATACTCAGATGTTAAGCTAAAGAACATTCCTGTAATAAATCGACCACACTTGGTAATAGTGTATAATCCTTTTTGTACATTACTGGATCTAATTTGTTGTTATTTAAACAATTTTAGCATTTACATTCATGACGAGTGTTGTTCTATAATTTTCTTGTGATATCTTTGTCTGTGGCTTTTAGTATCAGGGTAAAATGAGCTGTAAAGTGTCCCCTTCTATTCTTGAAAAGATTTCCATTGGATTGGTATTATTAATTATTTAAATGTTAATAGAGTTCCCAATAAAACCATGGAGGCCTGGACTTTGCTTTGAAGAAGATTCTAAAATAATTTAATTAAACGCTTTAATGTTTTTCACTGATATATATCTATGCAAATTGTATAATTTCTTTTTGAGTCTACTTTGATCATTTCTGTTAATGAATTTGCCCATTTCATCTAAGTTGACAAATTGTTGGCATAAGGTTGTTCAAAATATTCCTTTATAAGCCTTTTAATTTCCATAGGGTTCAGAATGCTTCCTCTTTTAATCCCAATTTTGGTAATTTCTGTCTTCTCTCTTTTTTTCTTGGTCATTTGACTAAAAAGTTAACAATTTTGTAGATCTTTTCAAGGAATTAACTGTAAGTTTCACTAATTTTCTCTATTGTTTTGCTGTTTTCTTTTTATTGATTTCTGCTGTGGTCTTTAGTCCTTCATTCTACTTTGGCTTTTCTTTTTGTAGTTTCTTAAGGTGAAAGCTTAATTAATTTTTCTAGGTTATTGAAGTCTTCCTTTCTAATTTTTAAAGCTATAAATTTCTCTCTAAATATTGCTTTACCTGCATTAATTTTGATATGCTCTGATTTTACAGTCATTCAGTAGAAAATATTTTATAATTTCCCTGGAGGTTTTTTCTTTGATGTGTAAACCACAAATAAAATTCAAAAGCCTCCCCCACAAAAATCTGATTGGACTTTCTCCTCAGCCAGGGAACTCTAAAACTTACCCTGAAAGACTGGTTCAGGCCATGAAAGGAAGTAGGGGTTGGACATGCCTCATTACACTCCTCCAGCATTAACCAACACAAACCTTATATCTGATAAGAAACATTGATGGTCTTCTCTCTAATGCCTGCTGGAGGCTTTGTCTGCATGATAAAACCTAGGTCTTCACAACCCTTTATCATAACCCAGACATTCCTTTCTACTGATAATAACTTTTTCAAGCAATTGCCTTCAGAATATGTTTAGGAAGAAGTTGAATCCCTGAATAGACCAATAACAGGCTCTGAAATTGAGGCAATAATTAATAGCCTACCAACCAAGTAGGACCAGATGGATTCACAGCCGAATTCTACCAGAGGTACAAGGAGGAGCTGGTACCATTCCTTCTGAAACTATTTCAATCAATGGAAAAAGAGGAAATCCTCCCTAACTCATTTTATGAGGCCAGCATCATCCTGATACCAAAGCCTGGCAGAGACACAACAAAAAAAGAGAATTTTAGACCAATATCCCTGATGAACATCAATGCAAAAATCCTCAATAAAATACTGGCAAAATGAATCCAGCAGCACGTCAAAAAGCTTATCCACCACGATCAAGTGGGCTTCATCCCTGCGATGCAAGACTGGTTCAACATATGCAAATCAATAAACGTAATCCAGCATATAAACAGAGCCAAAGACAAAAACCACATGATTATCTCAATAGATGCAGAAAAGGCCTCTGACAAAATTCAACAGCCCTTCATGCTAAAAACTCTCAATAAATTTGGTATTGATGGGATGTACCTCAAAATAGTAAGAGCTATTTATGACAAACCCACAGCCAATATCATACTGAATGGGCAAACACTGGAAGCATTCCCTTTGAAAACTGGCACAAGACAGGGATGCCCTCTCTCACCACTCCTATTCAACATAGTGTTGGAAGTTCTGGCCAGGGCAATCAGGCAGAAGAAAGAAATAAAGGGTATTCAATTAGGAAAAGAGGAAGTCAAATTGTCCCTGTTTGCAGATGACATGATTGTATATTTAGAAAACCCCATTGTCTCAGCCCAAAATCTCCTTAAGTTGATAAGCAACTTCAGCAAAGTCTCAGGATACAAAATCAATGTTGAGAAATCACGAGCATTCCTATACACCAATAACAGACAAACAGCCAAATCATGAGTGAACTCCCATTCACAATTGCTTCAAAGAGAATAAAATACCTAGGGATCCAATTTACAAGGGATGTGAAGGACCTCTTTAAGGAGAACTACAAACCACTGCTCAACAAAATAAAAGAGGACAAAAAAAATGAAAGAACATTCCATGCTCATGGATAGGAAGAATCAATATCATGAAAATGGCCATACTGCCCAAGGTAATTTATAGATTCAATGCCATCCCCATCAAGCTACCAATGACTTTCTTCACAGAATTGGAAAAAACTAAAGTTCATATGGAACCAAAAAAGAGCCCGCATTGCCAAGACAATCCTAAGCCAAAAGAACAAAGCTGGAGGGATCACGCTACCTGACTTCAAACTATACTACAAGGCTACAGTAACCAAAACAGCATGATACTGGTACCAAACCAGAGATATAGACCAATGGAACAGAACAGAGCCCTCAGAAATAATGCCACACATCTACAACCATCTGATCTTTGATAAACCTGACAAAAACTAGAAATGGGGAAAGGATTCCCTATTTAATAAATGGTGCTGGGAAAACTGGCTAGCCATAGATAGAAAGCTGAAACTGGATCCCTTCCTTACACCTTATACAAAAATTAATTCAAGATGGATTAAAGACTTAAATGTTACACCTAAAACCATAAAAACCCTAGAAGAAAACCTAGGCAGTACCATTCAGGACATAGGCGTGGGCAAGGACTTCATGTCTAAACACCAAAACACCAAAAGCAATGGCAACAAAAGCCAAAATTGACAAATGGGATCTAATTAAACTAAAGAGCTTCTGCACATCAAAAGAAACTACCATCAGAGTGAACAGGCAACCTACGGAATGGGAGAAAATGTTTGCAATCTACCCATCTGACAAAGGCCTAATATCCAGAATCTACAGAGAACTTAAACAAATTTACAAGAAAAAATCAACCCCATCAAAAAGTGGGTGAAGGATATGAACAGACCCTTCTCAAAAGAAGACAGTTATGCAGCCAACAGACACATGAAAAAATGCTCATCATCACTAGCCATCAGAGAAATGCAAATCAAAACTGCAATGAGATACCGTCTCACACCAGTTAGAATGGCGATCATTAAAAAGTCAGGAAACAACAGGTGCTGGAGAGGAGGTGGAAAAATAGGAACACTTTTACACTGTTGGTGGGACTGTAAACTAGTTCAACCATTGTGGAAGACAGTGTGACAATTCCTCAAGGATCTAGAACTAGAAATACCATTTGACCCAACCATCCCATTACTGGGTATATACCCAAAGGATTATAAATCATGCTGCTATAAAGACACATGCACACGTATGTTTATTGTGGCACTATTCACAATAGCAAAGACTTGGAACCAACCCAAATGTCCATCAATGATAGACTGGATTAAGAAAATGTGGCACATATATACCATGGAATACTATGCAGCCATAAAAAATGATGAGTTCATGTCCTTTGTAGGGACATGGATGAAGCTGGAAACCATCATTCGCAGCAAACTATGGCAAGGACAAAAAACCAAACATCGCATGTTTTCACTCATAGGTGGGAATTGAATAATGAGAACACATGGACACAGGAAGGGGAACATCACACACCGGGGCCTGTTGTGGGATTGGCAGAGCGGGGAGGGATAGCTTTAGGAGATATACCTAATGTTAAATGACGAGTTAATGGGTGCAGCACACCAACATGGCACATGTATACATATGTAACAAACCTGCACATTGTGCACATGTACCCTAAAACTTAAAGTATAATAAAAAATAAAATAAAATAAAATAAATATATATTTTAAATATACATTTATTTTAAATATATAAATATTTAAATAAATATAAATAATTATAATTTATAATTTATTTATAATAAATAAATAAAAATAAAACTATATGGAGCCCTTAAGTGTTTTAGGTACTTGACATCTATTGTGTATTATTACCCCCATTTAATAGTTCAGGAAACTCAGACCCAAAGAGATGGAGGAACTTCACTAAGATTACACAGTGAGTCACTGCAAAGTTGCAAAACCTGGTCTGACTGACCATCTTGCAGGATATTCCCTTTTTTTTTTTTTTTTTTTTCTTAGATGGAGTCTCACTCTGTCACACAGGCTGGAGTGCAGTGATTTGATCTCGGCTCAAATTTCAAAGCAATGAAATTCCTGAAAGCCACTTAGTTATTGGGAGAGAAGAAGATTAAAAGAAAGAAAAATTAGTGAGTGAAGAATGGAGAGGTATTGGATGGGAAGATATTGTGGGAGAAATGGAATCTTGAAACTAAGGAGATTGGCCAAAGGTTTTTGTTTTTTGTTTTTGTTTGTTTGTTTGTTTTTGAGACAGGGTCTCACTCTATCACTCAAGCTGGAGCACAGTGGAAAAATCATGGCTCGCTGTATTCTTGACTTCCTGGGCACAAGCGATCCTCCCACCTCCACCTCAGCCTCCAGAGTAGCTGGGACCACAGGAACATGCCACCATGCCTGGCTAATTTTTGTATTTTTGTAGAGATAGGGTCTGGCTATGTTGCCCAAGCTGGTCTCAAACTCCTGGGCTCAAGAGATCCTCCCCTCTCAGCCTCCCAAAGTGCTGGGATTGGTGTGAGCCACTATGCCCAGATGAAAGATTCTTTAGTCCAGTAGACACACACACACACACACACACACACACACACACACACACACACACACACCTCAGTTCAAATGAAATCTCAGCTGGGATCCCATTCAGGTCATCAAAATCGTTAGCATATTAACATTTATTGAGCACTCATGTGCCAGGTATAAGGCCCAGCTCTTTTCAAACATGATCTCATTGAATCCTCCCAACAGCAGAATAGGTAATTTTATTAGCCCCATTTTATGGATGAGGTTTTTTGTTTTGTTTTGAGATGAAGTCTGGCTCTGGCGCCCAGGCTGGAGTGCAGTGGCACAATCTCAGCTAACTGCAACCTCCACCTCCTGGGTTCAAGCGATTCTCCCGCCTCAGCCTCCTAAATAGTTGGGATTACAGGCATGCACCACTACACCTGGCTAATTTTTGTGTTTTCAGTAGGGACGGGGTTTCATCATGTTGGCCAGGCTGGTCTCCAACTTCTGACCTCAGGTAATCCACCTGCCTTGGCCTCCCAAAGTGCTGGGATTACAGGCATGAGCCACCATGCCTGGCCAAGGTCAACTCTTTAACATCAAAGCTGGACTCCAACCCAGGTGTCTCTTCCACTAGGTATCTGAAGAACTTGTCACCCACTCTGGGATGGATAGGCCATTAGGGAGAGTCAGGCTGGGTTAGGGAGATGTGGATGAGGGAGAGGCTCACCCAAGAAGTGGAGGGATGGGACGTAGGAGTCCTGACTGCTGCCCCAGACTCCTATGAAATAAAGAGATGAGCTCAGCTTGTCACTGGAAAATCTCTGTGGAGTATTCATTGTGCCTGAAGTTCTATGATGGTGGCAGTGGACAGATGAAAAGTACTATCTCTTAAAGAGATTAAGTATGTTTGAACACAACTTCATTTCTTGTTGAAAATACATTTCATTTCCCCTCCCTTCATTCCCCCACCAAATGCATTGTACTGCTTTGGAGTACTTGGAAAAACCAGTTTAAAAACCTTGAGGCTGGGTATGGTGGTTCATGCCTGTAATCCCAGCACTTTGGGAGGCCAAGGCGGACGGAATCACCTGCGGTCAGGAATTTGAGAACAGCCTGGCCAACATGGTGAAACCCTGTCTCTTCTAAAAATACAAAAATTAGCCGGATGTGGTGGCAGGCCCCTGTAATCCCAGCTACTTTACTCTGGAGGCTGAGGCAGGAGAACCACTTGAACCCAGGTCGCAGAGGCTGCAGTGACCTGATATCATGCCACTGCCCTCCAGCCTGGGCGACAGAGCGAGACTCCATCTCAGAATACATACATACATACATACATACACACACACACACACACACACACACATACAAACCTTGCTGGATGCACAGTAGACTTTGTTCCTTCCCTCTACAACATTTCTCCATGACCTGGAACAAAAAGAAGGGAACTTCTGTTTACTGAGCACCTATGACCTGCAAGGCATTTTATATCTTACCTCATTCATTCCCCACAACAACACTTGTCAGGCATCACGCCTATCTTACAGGCAAGAAAACCAAGGCACAGAGAGGTGGAGGAACTTAATGTCAGATGTGAACCAGGCCATACGATGCACAGGGCGTGCTCTTCCCATGCCAGGCTGCCGCCCCAGTGATTCTCAGCTTCATTATGAGCACAGAGTTTATTTCAGCCATTATTGGCCAAAGGAACTGCTCTGTGAGGGATGCCCATGTTTGGAGCCTTCGTTTATGGTCCCTGGCCACTGACTCTTCTCCTACGGCTGTAGCTGTTGAGGACAGTGGTTGATAACATGTCAAGAAGGAAGCCTGGGATGAAGACTTATTCCCCACACTGCAGGTCCTAGCTCCAGGCTGTCAGGCAGGGGCAGTGATTTCAGAATGTGAAGGATTCAGAATTTGGTGGGTCCAGAGGATCCTGCCAAAGGGTTAGCCAGCTGGAATCAGAGGGGTAACTTGTCAGGGAGCAGGGGGAGGTAGGTAGCTGCTGAAGTTGCTGCTAAGAGTGATCCCAAAGTTCTGACATATCTGTCTCATCCATCCATCCATTCATCCATTCACTCACCAATCCATCCATCCATCCACTCATCCATCCATCCACTCATCCATCCAACCACTCATCCATCCGTCCATCCATCCATCCATCCATCCACTCACCTATCTATGTGGCCCTTGAACACACAATCAGAACATAAAGGTGGAAGAATGGGTTTTCTTCTTTGCTGTGACACCTCTGGCTTTTCCTGATCAGTGATGGGGACCTGCAGACTGGGAGTGCTTCAGCTCTGGTTCACTCTGATCTTGGGCAAGTTACCTCTCCACTCTGAGAGGTTGGGGAGGTGGAAGAAACCATATAGCTGTCTTGTGCAGATCGCCCCTCCTATTTCATCGATGGGTGACTGAGCCTGGGAGTAGGAAGGTGACTTGCCAAGGTCAGGTAAGGAATTAGTGGTAGATTTGGTACTGGATCCCAGGATCCTGCTGCTCATTTGTAAAGTGAGAATGGGAATCCCGGCTTTCCTCACTTCCCAGGATTGTAGAGAGGACCCCATGAGATAAATGGTGGGAAAGCATTTTGACAGGTGAGGTCACAAGGCCAAAAGGTGCCAAATGTGCACCTGGGGCCCTGGCTGCTAGACTAGGGCAGATCCCACAGAGACCAAAAGGGGTCAGCAGAGGCTTGTGCTTAAATGCTCAGCTAGGATCTGCTGCAAGGCACAATGCCTGGGTGCTGGGATTGGGGAGGGAAGCAAAGTCATTTAATTTTTTGAGACAGAGTCTTACTCTGTAGTCCAGGCTAGAGTGCAGTGGCACTATCTCGGCTCACTGCAACCTCTGCCTCCTGGATTCAAGTGATTCTCCTGCCTCTGCCTCCTGAGTAGCTGGGATTGTAGGCAGGCACCACCACACTCGGCTAATTTTTGTAGAGATGGGGTTTCACCATTTTGGCCAGGCTGGTCTTAAACTCCTGACCTCTAGTGATCTGCTCTCCCCGATCTCCCAAAGAGTTGGGATTATAGGTGTGAGCCACCGCGCCCATCAATTTTATTTATTTATTTATTTATTTATTTATTTATTTATTTATTTATCTGAGACAAAGTATTTCTCTGTCGCCCAGGCTGGAAGTGCAGTGGCACAATCTTGGCTCACTGCAACCTCCGCCTCCCGGGTTCGACTGATTCTCGTGCCTCAGCCTCCCTAGTGGCTGGCATTACCGGTGGGCGCTACCACGCCTGACTAATTTTTTTATTTTTAGTATAAACGGGGTTTCATTATGCTGACCAGGTTGGTCTCGAAAACTCCTGACCTCAAGTGATCCGCCCGCCTTAGCCTCACAAAGTGCAGGGATTACAGGCATGAGCCACGGCACCCAGCCTGGCCATTTTTCTGTAGAATTCCAGGAACAGGCTGAGTGGGGATGGGGGTGGTTCTGAGGCTACTAAAGAGAAGAGCCAAAGATTGTATAGGTAAATTCTACCTGCCAACGCCCTAGACTCAAATGCATCAGGCTCACCCCAGGAAGGGCAGCTAGGGCTGCCTTGTTCTAGAGACTATATGAAGGGCAAGGAAAAAGCCTCCTGAACCCAGGTGGAAGCCTAAATGCTAAGGGATGTTCTGGATCCTCATCATCAGATAATCCAGAGAGAAGTGAACTGATGGCCCCTCAAACCAGTGAGTAATGGGAATAAAGGAATGTGCTGTTCATCACAGCAACTAAAAGTCTGCAGGAGAGACAATGCTCTTGAGGGTAAGGGTAGTGATAGGAGGAGGGTCAGTCATTTTCATGCTAGTTAAGAAATATTTATCAGGCACTGTATTAGGTGTTGGAGATACTGAAATGTACAAGACAGTCATGGCCCCTTTTTTCAGAGCTCAAAGTCTAGTGGGGGAAACAGACATTAAATAGGCAATTACAGGCAGACAGAGCTTAAAAAGAGGATAACAGTGGCTACCTTAAAAGGATGTTGTGAAATTTAATGAGATAATCCAGGTAAAGAGTTTTATCAGGGCTTGGCACAGAGTAAGCCCTCTAAAAATGATAACTATTTTTCTTGCTTTGGATAGGGAAGTTAAAATGAAGGGCTCTGTGGAAGTGAAGTGTGAAGAGAGATCTATTCCAGGTCGGAGGCTAGGGAGTCCCAAGACCGCCTGAAGAAATCACAAGAAATCTGAAGAACTTTTAGCTTGAGGGAGAGGGAGGGGAGAAAAAAATAGCAACTCGTTAGCAGTTCAGTTTCACCACTTTACAGCCTATGAAGTCTTTGGCTTCCCTCATCTGGTTCGATCTTCAAACCTAACCAGACCGGCATCTAGAGTTAATATTTCCATTTTACACAAGAGGGAAGTGAGACCCAGTGGGAAAAATGACTTGTTCAGAGTCATAAAGCAAAGTCCGGAAGCAAGTCTTTCTGGTCCATTATGTGTGGGAAAAGTAAACAAAAACCGCGGGGCGTTACCGAAATATTAGGTTATAAACGTGGAACAAAGTCTAAGAGTTAACGAGAGCGAGGCACCACTTATAGGGGTGGGCCAGGTAGGTTTCCCGGGGGAGCTGGCATTGGAATAGGCTTCTTCGCCTGCTCGGTGTCAAGACCCCGCAGGAGATGGCGGATTCATTCAGGAAGCAGCCGCTCCGGGAAGCCTTAGCCAAGGGTCTTCCGGAAAGACACCAGTCTTGATCCTGGAGCCTCAATCCCCGCTGACCCAGCACTTTGGTTTCCATAGCAATTGTCTCGTCGCAGAAAGGAATCGCCTGTGCTGGGTCTTCAGACCTCAGCTCCATGCCGCTGAGCAGCCCCACCCTGGCTCAACCCGTTACCCGCCCCGCCAGCAGGCCGGGGTCACTGCAGTCCCCACGTCGAAGCGGAAAAGGTCTGCTCAGCTCACCGCACCCCACTTCTTCCAGACCCGTCCGTCTTCACAGCAACGCGCCGGGTCTCACCACGGCGGATGCCGAGGGACAATATTACCGCGTCCGTGGCCGCCGGACTCTGCACGCATGTCCAACAGCCCCCGTCCCCTTCCCCGCAGCCAATATGTGTCTCCCAGGCAACGCGCCGCGCTCGGTTCAGGGCTCCGCCCAGGGACTCACTCCGCGTCAGCGCGCGCCCACCTAGGTGGGCTGGCAACCAGCCACCAGTTTCCAACTCTTTCTCCAACAGGGAAGCCGCAATGACACAGCCGACTAGGCCCTCGGTCACCTGTGACCAGGGATCCTCCACGATCGGCGGGACCGCCGCCCAGGCGACCACCAGTTCCAGCGCCACCTCGGGTTCGAACTACCAGCGCGATAGACTCGGCCGCCGCCCAGAAATCGGCGTAGGGGGTCAGCCGCAGATCTGCTTTCCGCGGCCGAGGTCCGCGCAGCAGCCGGTGCTGTTCAGGTGTGGCCCGCATGCCCAGAGCGTTCGTCAGACCCTCGGACCCGCGAGGGAACCCTAACTCTTTGGGACTCGCGCTCCCCTTAGCCGGACCCCGGCCCTTTTTCACACCCCAGGATAGTCGATTTCTCGTAGCCCCGGGCACCAGCACCTTCCCAGTCTAGCTCTTCGGATTCCCCGGAGCCCGAACTCCCTCGCCCCGGAATCGCGGGAGAACCTGGAATCCCCATCTCCACTGACATTTTCTCAGAATGACATCTCCACTGACATTTTCTCAGAATCGGTCCTGGCCCGTCAGTCCCCCAGGCATGACAACATGTGGCCGCAGTGCCCTAGGGGGATGAGCCCTGACTCTTAGAACCTGGCGAGGCCCAGGTCCTCCCAAGTTCGAATCCGTCTCATACGCCCCTTCTCAGCCTCTCTTTTCCCCGGTGGTCCTGGAAAAAACCCCAGTTCCCTCTGCCTGGCCCGGATCCTCACAAACCCCAATTACCCGCGCTCCTTTCCATTCCACAAACCCCCCTCACTGCATCCTTCAGGCCCCTGTCCATGGAGAACTTGAGGTGGAAAGCAATTTGGTTCAAAATGACCTTTATTACTTGAAAGGGAATATTTCCAGTCGTTGCCACCCTCTTCCCCTTCTAGTATTGGTAAATTTGGTGCACCCACTGAGTGGGTGAAGAGTTTTATGTGTCCTTAAATGTTTTAGGGATTTTTTTTAAACAACAACAACAAAAAAAAACCAGGATTTGGGGGACTTTTGTGTTTGAGCATCTTGATCTCTAAACCAGCCTTTTCCATCACCTCATACCTAGGCTGTGCATAGGTCAGAAAAATGTAAATGGGAGACTGGGAAATTGGATTGTTCATATTAGTTTGTAAATCTAAAAACATACACGACACTCCGGGTTCCAAATTGGCTGAAAATGAATTGCAATTCTCCTGCCTCAGCCTCCTGAGTAGCTGGGATTACAGGCGTGCACCACCATGCTCGGCTAATTTTTGTATTATTAGTAGAGGCGGGGTTTCACCATGTTGGCCAGTCTGGTCTGGAACTCCTGACCTCAGGTGATCTGCCTGCCTCTGCCTCCCAAAGTGCTGGGATTACAGGTGTGAGCCACTGCACCCGGCATCAGTTAGAAAAAAATTCTAGTCCTTCAAAATGTTTCACCCTTCCACAGTTGTCTTTTTTGTCCTAATTATAAAAGTAGCATACACTTATGGATAAATAAGGCCAGGTGCAGTGGCTCATGCCTGTAATCCCACCACTTTGGGAGGCTGAGGAGGGTGGATCGCCTGAGCTCAGGAGTTCGAGACCAGTCAGGTCAACATGGCGAAACCCTGTCTCTACCAAAAATGCAAAAAATTAGCCGGGCATGGTGGCTGGCCTGTGGTCCCAGTTACTCGGGAGCCTGAGGTGGGAGGATTGCTTGAGCCTGGGAGGCTGAGGTTGCATTGAGCGGAGATTGCGCCACTGCACTCCAACATGGGCGACAGAGTGAGATCCCATCTCAAAGAAATAAAAATAAAATAAAATAAGAAAAATAAGACTAGCAGCATGATTGGCTAGGGACAATCACCGTTAACATTTTGGTGCATTTTGTTCAGGCTTCATTCATATATAATATATATATGACAACATACTTATACTTAAAAAACAATACATCACAAAAAGTTCAGTTTCTAGTAACCTGCTTTCTTCTCCCATCTAATACACCACCCGTGTCTATGTTTCATACACAATTACATGTATTTTATTTTATGACATACCAAAATTTATTCAATATTGTACATTTTGTTTCCACATTTTAGAAAGAAAATATGAACAATTTTTTTTTTTTTGAGACGGAGTCTCACTCTGTCGCCCAGGCTGGAGTACAATGGTAAAGTAGTTCACTGCAACCTCCGCCTCCTGGGTTCATGTGATTCTCCTGCCCCAGCCTCCCGAGTAGCTGGGATTACAGGCGCTCACCACCACGCCCAGCTAATTTTTGTATTTTTAGCAGAGATGGGGTTTCACCATCTTTGCCAGGCTGTTCTGGAACTCCTGACTTCCAAGTGATTCGCCTGCTTCAGCCTCCCAAAGTGCTGGGACTACAGGCGTGAGCCAACTTGCCCGGTCCTGAACAATTATTTTTAAATGGACAAAACCATTTAAAGATATATGTTCATAAGACTACTTCGTGGTGTAACCAAATTATCAAAAAGTGAAAACTCAGTGCCTGTAAGTGTATCCACTTTTCACCATTTTCTCATTTTGACCAAATTGTTGTATTTTCACCTGGAGTACTTGGCTCCATTCTACCCCACCCCACCCCATCTTTCACCTCTCACCTTTCAGAGTCTCCTAAAACCCCTAGCCACCCCATACCTCCTTCACTTTTCTAAACTCCCCAAACTTTCTTCCAGAATTTCCCTGTTAACCAGCCTAACACCTGTCCAAGCTTTTCATTTGCATTTCTCCCTGCTCTGATTTATACTCCCCCAACCCCCCACCTCCCAGATCCCCTTGAAGCATATGCTCTAGAGCAAGTGCCCCCCAAGCTAAACACCTCCCAGATTCATCCTTCTGAATCCTACCCTACAACTTTACTCCTCTCCTCTAAGACTCCTCTCACCATTTCATCCTTAAGAAGGATCATCAAGATGACTGCTTTTGGCTGGGTGGGCGTGGTGGCACTTGCCTGTAATCCCAGCACTTTGGGAGGCTGAGGTGGGTGTATCTCTTGAGGTCAGGAGTTTGAACCCAGCCTGTCCAACATGGTGAAACCCCGTCTCTACTAAAAGTACAAAAATTAGCCAGGCATGGTGGCGAGTGCCTGTAGTGCCAGCTACTCAGGAGGCCGAGGCAGGAGAATTGCTTGAACTGGAGGTGGAGTTTGCAGTAAGCCAAGATTGCACCACCACACTCCAGCCTGGGAGACAGAGTGAAACTCCGCCTCAAAAAAACAAAAAACACAAAAAGGGTGACTGCTTCTGAGGATGGTTCTGAGTTCCTGATAACCCTTCTCTTAAGGACTGCACTAGGCCATTTTACATCCTCAGAATGGCTTTTCTTCTGGGTAACCATGAAATACCCCTTTAGCATACCTTTTCCACAACAAGAAACTGTGGTTACTCCCCTGTTCTTTTGAAAATTATGACAGAGCTGCACTTGTCCCAAGAAACCCGGGGAAGCCTCAGCCACTCCCTCAGGACCCCATCAAATGTGCTCTGGCCCAGGCCCCAACCGTCTGTAACCTGTGCCACCTTTCCCTCCCTGCTCCAGCTTAATGAATTCCAGTGAAGCAGCGATGAAAAAAACTTTACCCAAGAGCCATTTATCTCGGGTGATTATTCATGATAACCGCATCACACAACGAATCTATGAGATGGAGGTAAAGTAGCCACAAGCTTTTGCATTAGAGGGTGTTAGTGGCTTGACCCATATTCATTTCATTCTCCCTATATGCTGGGATATCATAGAGGTGATAGGGAGTCATCAAGGTGCTCTAAGGCAGGCCCCATTTTACAGAGGAGGCAATTGATACTCGGGGTTACTGACTTGCGCAAGGTGTCGCACCTGTTCCTGGGCTAAGGGAGCCAGAGAGAAAGACTCCATGTCTCTTGGGTCTTTTTTTCTGAAAGCACATTATCTCTCTATTTAGGGAATCCATGAATGGATTCTTATTTTCTCCCATACAAAGTCTTGGGTCCTAGGCCACACGCAGTGGCTCATACCTCTAATCCCAGCACTTTGGGAGGCTGAGGCAGGAGGATCACTTGAGGTCAGGAATTCGAGACCAGCCTGGCCAATATGGTGAAATCCTGTCTCTACTAAAAATACAAAAATTAGCCAGGTGTGGTGGCAGCCAGGTGTGTGGCAACAGAGCAAGACTCCATCTCAAAAAACAAACAAACAAAAAAACAGAAAACCAAAGTCTTGGGTCCTAGAGTTTGAATGGGCCTCAACACCATCTTGTCAATTTTTTCCTTTGGGGATTATCCCCATTTTCCAGATGAGAGCTGAGGCTCTTCTCCCACTTTTTGCTATGGACAGGTAGAGTTTCACCTGCTTACTCGAAATCCTGAGTGCTGTCACCCCACTGTTCCCATAGACCCTGATTGATGGATTCATTAAACCTGTCCTTAGGGCCTGCTTGGGACAGGTACTGTGTTGGGCGCTAGGAAGAGACAAGTGAACAAGATGGACTCCAGAAACACACTCATTCTTTCAAGCAGAGCAGGGTGCCCAGGGTTGAGCTGCTGCCACCTTCTTTTCTTTTTTGAGACAGAATTTCATTCCTGTTGTCCAGGCTGGAGTGCAGTGGCGCTATCTCAACTCACTGCAACCTCTACCTCCCGGGTTAAGCAATTCTCCTGCCTCACCCTCCCAAGTAGCTGGAATTACAGGCATGCACCACTACGCCCGTCTAATTTTTGTTTTATTAGTAGAGACGGGGTTTCACCATGTTGGCCAGGCTGGTCTCAAACTCCTGACCTCAGGTGATCCACCCACCTCAGACTCCCAAAGTGCTGGGATTACAGGAGTGAGCCACCACGCACAGCTGCTGCCTGCTTCTTGACTCTTTTGAGCTTCCTTCCATGTTCCAGGGTCAAGTCTGGATGGGCCCACAAAATTCTAACATTAAAAACAATTGGAGATCCTTAAGAGATGGTGCCAGATCCTCTTGAAGGTCACAAACACCAAAAGAAGAGTAGGGACCCGGGCATTTCTCTTTCTGCTACACTTCCATGGGTGTGGTGTAGTGGAAATAGATGGGCAAGCCAGCTTTGTGTGACCCTGTGTGAATTACACTTCCTCCAGACTCTGCTTTCTCATTTGTAAAATAGGATCTATTAAGATCCTCTCAGTTGCAGGTAACATAAACTGAACTTGAACTAGTTCGAGCAAGATAGAGAAGTTGGGTTTACATAATCAAGGATGGATAGGGCAGAGTCGCCAATGTTTTTGGGGAAAGTAGCCAGGGGCTGTACTACCACCAGGTATGTCTTCCATTCTCTCTCATCATCTTTGTATCCCCTTTTTTTAATTTCCTTTTTTTTTCTTTTTTTTTTTTTTTGAGACAGGGTCTCACTCTTTTGCTCAGGCTGGAGGGCAGTGGCATGATCACAGCTTGCTGTAGCCTCAACCTCCTGAGTTCAAGCAATCCTCCCACCTCAGCCTCCCAGGTTGCTAGGATTACAGGCACGTGCCATCATGCGCAGCTAATGTTTTGCACTTTTAATAGAAACGGGGTTTCACCATATTGCCCAGGCTGGCCTCAAACTCCTGGGCTCAAGTGATCTGCCCATCTCTGCTTCCCAAAGTGCTGGCATTATAGGCATGTTCCACCATGCCCAGCCCTTTGTGGCTTTCTGTATTTAGTAGGTAGAGGCCAGGGACACTGCTGAATATCCCGCAGTGTATGGGACAGCCCTCCACCACACACTGCCTAGCTCAAAATGTCAGTAGTGTCAAGGTTGAGAAACCCTGATTGGTAAGAGTCATGCTCAAGGTAAAATCACTAGTTGAGAGAGGCCAAAAAGCCTACTGTCATGGGGTGTACTAGAAAATGGTGGTAAGCCAGGGTGGTGGCTCACGCACTTTGGAAGGCCGAGGCGGGCGGATCACCTGAGGTTGGGAGTTCGAGACCAGCCTGACCAACACGGAGAAACCCCTCTCTACTAAAAATAGAAAACTAGCCAGGTGTGGTGGCACATGCCTGTAATCCCAGCTACTTGGGAGGCTGAGGCAGGAGAATTGCTTGAACCCTGGAGGCCGAGGTTGCGATGAGCCAATATCGCATAATTGCACTCCAGTCTGGGCAACAAGAGTGAAACTCCCTCTCAAAAAAAAAAAAAAAGAAAAGAAAAGAAAAGAAAATGGTGGTAATAAGGTTGGGCACAGTGGCTCACACCTGTAAGCCCAGCACTTTGGGAGGCTGAGGCAGGTGCCTCACTTGAGGTCGGGAGTTTGAGACCAGCCTGGCCAACATGGTGAAACCCTGTCTCTACTAAAAATACAAAAATTAACCTGGTGTGGTGGCTCAAGCCTGTAATCTCAGATACTTGGAAGGCTGAGGCACAAGAATCGCTTGAACCCAAGATGTGGAGGTTGCAGTTAACCAAGATTGTGCCACTGCACTCTCCCTAGCCTGGGCAATAGAGTGAGACCCTGTCTCAAAAAAAAAAGAAAAAAAGAAAATGGTGGTAATAGCAGCGACTTGGTAATGGGGCTGGATCAGAATAATCTCAGGTGCATGACAAAAGTGGAGATTGCTGGCCCCCATCCAAACCCTATTAAGCAAGAATCCTTGGGGCCTACGTTTCTATCAAGCAACTGAAATGCTTCTGATGCTCAGCCAGGTTTGGAGAACACGGACTTGAACTATGACATTTAGTGCCCACCCTCCCTCTTTAATTCCTCATGTCAAGTAATCATGTCAATATTGACTGGCCTTTATGAAGAAGTCCTTTGCTTAACCTTGTGCTAGGTCTTCAGATAATGTTAGTGCTTATCAGAATCCCCTGGAGGGCTTGTTAAAAAACGTACATTCCCAGGATCACCACCCACCACATTGTTTCTACATGCCCCAAACCCTCCCATCCTTCAAAACCTAGCCTCAGTTTATATGCTAACTTCTCTGGGTAGCTTTTCTTTTCTTTTCTGAGACAGAGTCTCGCTCTGTCACCCAGGCTGAAGTGCAGTGGCATAATCTCGGCTCAATGCAACCTCTGCCTCCTGGGTTCAAGCGATTCTTGTGCCTTAGCCTCCTGAGTAGCTGGGATTACAGGCACATGCCACCACACCCAGCTAGGTTTTTTTTGTATTTTGAGTAGAGATGGGGTTTCCCCATGTTGGCCAGGCTGATCTCAAACTCCTGGCCTCAAGTGAGCCACCTGCCTTGGCCCCCCAAAGTGCTGGGATTACAGATGTGAGCCACAGCGCCCAGCCAAGTGAAATTTGTCGTGATATCTCCCTTCCTTGAACTCTGTGCTTCTTTTGGAAGTGGATCACTTTCTCTCTTAGAAATATTTGGGCATGTGGGCCGGGCACGGTGGTTCATGCCTGTAATCTCAGCACTTTGGGAGGCCGAAGCGGGTGGATCACGAGGTCAGGAGATCGAGACCATCCTGGCTAACATGGTGAAACCCCGTCTCTACTAAAAATACAAAAAATTAGCCAGGTGTGGTGGCGGGCGCATGTAGTCCCAGCTACTCGGGAGGCTGAGGCAGGAGAATGGTGTGAACCCAGGAGGCAGAGCTTGCAGTGAGCTGAGATCGCGCCACTGCACTCCAGCCTGGGTGACAGTGCGAGACTCCATCTCAAAAAAGAAAAAAAAAAAGAAATATTTGGGCATGTGTCTTACATCCTGACTACATTGGAGTTACTGTGAAGACCTGTGGCAGTTTTTCTTAGTATCCTCTCCTGTAGCTAGCTCATTGGAGTAAATGCATAAGACATAGGATGTTGGCTTCCCACACCTTACCGCCTTTTGGGGGACAGGACAGAAGTTATACAATAGAAGAAATAAGTAGAATTCAGTGTGAGACAGAGTCTCACTCTGTTGTCCAGGCTATAGTGCTGTGGTGCGGTCTCGGCTTACTGCAGCCTCCACCTCCTGGGTTCAAGCAACTCTTCTGCCTCAGCCTCCCGAGTAGCTGGGATTACAGGTGCCTACCACCATGCTTGGCTAATCTTTGTATTTTCAGCGGAGACAGGGTTTCACCTTGTTGGCCAGGCTGCTCTCAAACTCCTGACTTCAAGTGATCCACCCTCCTTGGCCTCCCAGAGTGTTGGGATTACAGGTGTGAGCCACTGCGCCAGTCCTTGGAGTTATCTAGCTTAATGCATGCTTTTTACAAATAGAGAAATAGGCTCTCTGTGAGTCAAAGTATATGGAATGTACATAGGGTCCAGCTGACACTTTTCCCACTCCCCCATCAGTAGCACAGATGTCTGCCCTGCTGCGAAGTAATCCTAATCTCACCTCTTTAGGATCTTGATCCTAACCTCACCTCTGTTTTTTGTAAGGTGAGCGCTTTAGAGAAGACCAAGAAAAAGATCAGCCACTACTATGAACACCTGAAAAAAAAGTTCATGACAGAGCAGCTCAGAAAGCTCGGGCGATGGAGAGAGGAATCCGTGAACAGCAACCGGTACTTAACCTTCGGGATACCACCACCAGTTTAAACTCCAGTCTCCCAAGAAAGGCCAACCACCCTAGTTCTGGCAAAGGGATCTGCCCCAGGGTCACGATGACACCAGTGTGACCCGAGGAGAACTAGTAACTACAACCTACACAACTGTAGAACAATAAACAGAAACCAGCAGACAGCGGAGCATAATAAATCCTCAGCAATCCTCATATTCCTTGCCCATGCATCCCCTCTATTTGGTGAAGGAGGTCCTGATAGTCTCGTAGATGCTCAACTCAAAAAGGTGGGATCAAGCTAGCTTCCATGCTTAAGGCAAAGATTGACCTCTCGGTGCCCACATGTCTGAGGTGACATGCCGGGCCAAGTGTGCTGGGACAATGGTACCTTAGATGGAAGGCCTCAGTAATGCCACTGCCTGGCATTCCAGTGGTAAGGAGGTCAGGGGGAGGCATCAGAAGGACCTGGCTTAAGTGCTATTTCTACCACCAGTCAGTCTTGTGACCTTGTCACCTCCTTGGACCTCCATTTCCTTATCTGAAAGAATGTGGTAGTAGTAAGGGAACCTACCTCCAAGGTCTAGCATGAGGATGTAAAGTGCTGAGCCCAGGGCTCATCATTTCCAGTGGTTCTCACCATGATGGCTCCAGTAGCCTTCCAGTGGTCCCCACTCCCTGTTCTGCCTGCTCTCCAGACTACACCTGGATAGTCCCCACACTGTAGCTTTATTTGCGAAGATCCTTCATCTGGAATGTCCCTTTAGCTCTCTCTTCATCCTTCAAGGCTTATCTGTATGTCATTTCCTACATGGCATTTTTTTCTTTTTCTTTTTCTTTTTTTTTTTTTTTTGAGATGGAGTCTCACTCTATCGCCTAGGCTGGAGTGCAGTGGCGCAATCTCGGCTCACTGCAACCTCCGCCTTCCAGGTTCGAGTGATTTTCGTGCCTCAGCTTCCTGAGTAGCTAGGATTAAAGGCATGCGCCTCCACACCTGGCTAACTTTTGTATTTTTAGTAGAGAAGGGTTTTCGCCATGTTGGCCAGGCTGATCTCGAACTCCTGACCTCAGGTGATCCTCCCTTCTTGACCTTCCAAAGTGCTGGTATTACAGGCATGAGCCACCGTGCATGGCCACCAAAGTCATTTAATTCCTGGAGACCCCTAGCAGGAACACTTTCCAGCCCAGCGCTTTGTTAAGTCAGAAGTGTTACTCTGCCTATTAAAATTCTGGGCCTGGTCCAACTGCTGACTTTGAAAGTCTGCAGACCTATGAGGGCCGAGGGGACAGAGCCAGGGGCAGGCCTTGGACTGGGACCTCCTGCCTCCCTCAGTAACCTCTCTCTGGGTTTCAGCTCTCCCACTTGCTCTTCAGGAATGGTGGGGCTGGTGGGTGATTTCTGCACTTCCTTCCATTTCTCAGATCCTGAGATGTGGCACAGAGCTTTGCATACATAATGCTTCACGAATGTCTGCTGAGTGGAAGGAAACAAATCCTGCTCTGAGCAAAGCAAGAAAGTCCAGGCTTATCAAAATGATCACTCAGGGAGAGTTTAACTTGACTAATCACTTTACAAAGTGATTCCCAGTGGTATTCCTTATCCAGTCTGCTCATCCAGGAGCATTTTCAAAGCTTCTGTCACCAAGCCACTGTCATTCAAGTTGCGTCTTCCAGCTAATGGAAGTACCCCCATACAGGAGCTTTGTGCGATAGTCTTAAGTTTGGCCAGGCGCAGTGGTTCATGCCTGTAATCCAAGCACTTTGGGAGGTCCAGGTGGGAGGATCACTTGAGGCCAGGAGTTTGGGACCAACCTGGGCAACGTAGTGAGACCCTGTCTCTACAAAAAATAAAAAATAAAATGAAAAATCAGCCTGGTGTGGTGGCGCATGCCTGTACTCCCAGCTACTCGGGAAGCTGAAGTGGGAAGATTACTTGAGCCCAGAAGGTCAAAGCTGCAGTGAGCCAAGATCACACCACTGCACTTCAACCTGGGTTAGAGAGCGGAAACCCTATCTCAAAAAACAAACAAACAAAAACTCCCTATAGTTAAAAAACATTCACCTTCCACATCATCCAACACATGTTTATTTATTAATAGCTCCTTATACATACCAGGCACTCTTGTAGGTGCTGGAAATCATTAGTGAACAAAACAGACTCAAATCCTCTGCTTTCATGAAGGCACGATCCTCAGCTCACTGCAACCTCCGCCTCCTGGGTTCAAGCGATTCTCCTGCCTCAGCCTCCCAATAGCTGGGATTACAGGTACCCATCATCATGCCCAGCTTTTTTTTTTTTTTTTTTTTTTTTTTTGTATTTGTGTAGAGACAGGGTTTTACCATGTTGGCCAGGCTGGTCTTGAACTCCTGACCTCAGGTGACCTGCCCGCCTCAGCCTCCCAAAGTACTGGGATTACAGGTGTGAACAACTGCACCCAGCCAAAGCTTATATTTGAATAGTCTCGGGGTGGTGGAGAGGGGAGTAGGAAGAACAGGAATCAGATGAAACAGGAATCAGCTGCTGGAGTCTGGTGCCTCTGGCTGAAGGCAGGATGCCTCCTTTGGGCTTTATGGGGAGAATCTGGTTTGCACAGTATTTTCTCTGTACGATCCTTTGACATCTGGAAATGCTGTTCCCAAGCCTGGAAGGCTGTGTGTGTCCCTCCCTGCTTCAGTGAGGTTTCTTTTATCTGATGTGCACGATCTTTGCAGTCAAATGGCTCTGATTTGGAATCTCGGCTCTGCCTTGCAGAAAGAAGAACGTCATTTTGCCCCTTGGAGCTTCACCTTCCTCATCTGGAAACTGGGAATAATTGTAGTACCTATCTTATAGGCTTGTTCTGAGAACCCAGTTAGCTTGACAAGAACCTAGCCCAAGGCCTAGCATCTTGTAGGTGAATCGGAAGGGGGTTCTGTTGGGAATTGTAATTGTTGCGTTGTACCTGGAGTTGACACATACACTTCAAGAGGCAGCCTGGTGCTGGGGAGTGAGCCTTGGAATAAGAATCTAGAGGTGGGAGTTCAGCTTGTGTGATTCCTCAGTTTCCTCTGAGACCCTGAGCAACATACATTCCCTTTCTGAGCACTGATCTGCTCTCTTCCCTCATGTTCAGTTAATCCCCTAGGAGGAGGAAATTGGGTTGAGATAGATCCATATCCTCCAGGGGGCCTTGGAGCATCCCAAGCCAGCATGTGCCTGTTGGGAACCTGGTCAGGAGCAATGGTTGGTCACTGGGGTTCCAACCAAGCCTTCCACAGTTACTTCTGGGGGGCTGAGTGCACTCGTTCCACAAGAATGAAATGGTCACCAGGAAGAATTCTTCCTTAACTTTGTCACATTAGAGGGCTGGGAGGGCCTGATTCCCTGGAATCTGCCTTTTCAACCTGATTTCCCATACTTCTTCCCATGGGCCAGATCCCATGAATTCTCTCACTTCTCCAAACAGGCCCCTTGATTTTCCACCTTGGAACTCACTTTCTTCCTCCCTTCCTCCCTCCCTCCCTTCCTTCCTTTCTTCCTTTTGTTCTTCCTTTCTTCCATTTTTCTTCCCTCCTTTCTTTCCCCCCACCCCTCCCTCCTCCTCTCCCCTCCTCACTTCCCCCCACCCTTCCCTCCCCTCCCCTCCTCTTCCTCTCATTGCCCAGGCTGGAGTACAGTGGCATGATCATAGCTCACCACAGTCTTGAAGTCTTGGCCTCAAGTGATCCTCCCACCTCAGCCTCTTAACTAGGACTATAGGCATGTGCTACCATGCCCCACTAATTTTTTTCACTTCTTGTAGAGACAGGGGTCTCACTGTGTTGCCCAGGCTGGTCTTGAACTCCTGGCCTCAAGTGATCCTCCTGCCTGGGCCTCCCAAAGTGCTGGGAATACAGGTGTGAGCCACTATGCCTGGCCCACCTCAGAACTTTTGATTCTACTGTTCACCCTGAAAGGAATATAGATTTCCCCTCATTTCTACCTGAGGAAATTCAGCTCAGACCTTTCAGGGCCTGCCCTGACATGAGCTCTGCCTTCCAAGACTAGACTCTGTCCATCTCCCATCAGACTAGGAGTTTCCACCAGGCAGGGGTTGGACACATCAGGAAAACAGAGGCTTGGATGGATAACCCTTTCTTTGCAAATTGCATTATGCAGAACCAGCCATATTCTCTGGAGCTCTCAGGTAATTTCCATGGTGGTCCCCCCAACCCCTCATTGCTTTAGAGATTCTGCATACTTCACTAAGGAATCATTGACTCCTCTGAAAGATTTTCAGATAAAACTTGTCACTATCACTCTAAGCTGAGGTCACTAATTAATAGTCCTGGGACCAATAGCAGGGCATTGGTTTGATCAAACACTATGCTTCTCATGGTATTGAATTAAAGTACTTTGGGTGTGGTATGGAAGCTGCAGTTAGCTGCAGCTCCCACCACTGCCATCTCCCTAAACCCAAGTGCACTTAATCTCCCTGGCCCCTGAAGGTATGTGAGTTTGTGATCACTCCAAAGTGTTAGAACAGCAGTTCCTTTAAAATAACTAACAAGTTTAAAAACTTTAAAATTGTAATACAAGCACTATATATAAAATTCCATTTAAAGGGTATTCAATAAAGGAAAATTCCCCTCCTCCTCTCCAGGGCCACAGCAATAACCATTTCTGTGTGTCCTTCCAGAAATGTTCTAAGAGTATAGGCCCTTAAGATGCCCTTTATGGGCTTCATAAATTACGTGCAAAACTTTATTTTTATGTATTTATTTATTTGAGATAGAGTTTGGCTCTTGTCACTCAAAAAAAAAAAAAAATTAGCCAAGTTTGGTGGCACATGCTTGTAGTCCCGGCTACTTGGGAGGCTAAGGTGGCAGCCGTGACTGCACCACTGCACTCCAGTCTAGGTAACAGAGTGAGGTCCTATCTTTAAAAAAAAAAAAAAACAAGAAAAAAAATAGAAACAGAAAAAAAGAAGCCACCAGCCTGGCATTGCCCAGCTCAGTCAATAAAACATCCTTTTTTTTTTTTTTTTTTTTTTTTCAGGAAAAGTCATTACAAATGTTTGGCCAAGGGCAGGTCTAGCATGTCTCCCAGAAATGGGCCTGCCTTAGTATCCCTTATATACCCAGGAACTAGCTAGAAAAAGCTTGAAGGAAATCTGGTCTCAGTATAAACATGATGATGGATTTCACAGTGCAACAGTTGGGAGCCCGTAGTCAATTTTGCTTTCTGTAATTAGAGGTCTGTGGGGTGCATTCCTATGCACAGATGGCATTGTGATTCCCATTTTACAGAGTAGGCAGAATTTCAGAAAAATTCCAGGGTCTGCCTAAAGTCAAAGCCAAGTGGTGGAGCCGGGCGTGGTGGCTCATGCCTGTAATCCCAGCACTTTGGGAGGCCGAGGCGAGTGGATCACTTGAGGTCGGGAGTTCGAGACCAGCCTGACCAACATGGAGAAACCCCATCTCTATTAAAAAATGTAAAATTAGCCAGGAATGGTGGCGCATGCCTCTAATCCCAGCTACTCGGGAGGCTGAGGCAGGAGAATCACTTGAACCTGGGAGGCAGAGGTTGCAGTGAGCTGTGATCGCGACATTGCACTCCAGCCTGGGCAACAAGAGTGAAACTCCATCTAAAAAAAAAAAAAAAAGGCCAAGTGGTGGATGAGTCAGGATGAGAATCCACACCTCTCAATATTCATCCCAAGCTCCTTCCTAGGTGCTACTGGGCCACAATTCAGAGGTGGAGGGTAATGGATTCCTAGGACTTTTTTTTTTTCCTATTTTTATTTATTTATTGAGGCACCACTGCACTGTGTCTTTGGCAACAGAGTGAGAACCTGTTGCCAAGGATGCAGTGCAGTGGTGCCATCATAGCTTACTGCAGCTTCAACCTCCTTGGGCTCAAGTGATCTTCCCACCTCAGTCTCCCAAGTAGCTGGGACTACAGGTGTGCACCACCACTCTAGGCTATTTTTTTTTTTTTTAACTTTTTGTAGAGAAGGAGTCTCCCTATGTTGCCCAGGTGAAGGGGGCCAGCCCCTCCACACCTGTAGGTATTTCTCATGAGGTGGAACGAGAGACTGAGAAAAGAAATAAGACACAGAGACAAAGTACAGAGAAAGAGCAGTGGCCTAGGGGTCCGGCGCTCAGCAAACGGAGGACCCACGCCGGCACTGGTCTCTGAGTTTCCTCAGTATTTATTGATTACTATTTTCACTATCTTGGCAAGGGGAATGCGGCAGGAGGACAGGGTGATAGTGGGGAGAAGGTCAGCAGGAAAACATATGAGCAAAGGAATCTGTGTCACAAATAAGTTCAAGGGAAGGTACTATGCCTGGATGTGCACCTAGGCCAGATTTATGCTTCTCTCCACCCAAATATCTCAGTGTAGCAAAGAGTAACAGAGCAGAATTGCTGCCAGCATATCTCGCCTCCAGCCACAGGGCGGTTTTCTCCTATCTGAGAATAGAACGAATGTACGATTGGGTTTTACACCGAGACATTCCGTTCCCAGGGACATGCAGGAGACACAGGCCTTCCTCTTATACTAATCCTCCTCAGCACAGACTCTATGGGTGTTGGGCTGGGGGACGGTCAGGTCTTTCCCTTCCCATGAGGCCATATCTCAGGCTGTCTTAGCGGGGGAAAATCTTGGACAATACCCAGGCTTTCTGGGGCAGAGGTCCCTGCAGCTTTCCGCAGTGCATTGTGCCCCTGGTTAATCGAGAATAGAGAATGGTGATGACTTTTACCAAGCAACCTGCCTGTAAACATATTGTTAACAAGGCACATCCTGCACAGTCCTAGATCCCTTAAACCTTGATCCCATACAGCATATGTTTCTATGAGCACAGGGTTGGGGCTAAAGTTACAGATTAACAGCATCTCAAGGCAAAACAATGTTCTTAGTACAGATCAAAATGGAGTTTCTTACGTCTTCCCTTTCTACATAGACACAGTAACAGTCTGATCTCTCTTTCTTTTCCCTACACCCAGGCTGGTCTCAAATTCCTAGGCTCAAGTGATCCTCCCACCTCAGCCACCCAAAGTGCTGGGATTACAGAAATGAGCCACTGCGCTTGGCCTCTAAGGGCATTTGGATTTAACATTCCACGATAGGAAAGCAGGGCTGCATGCTTCAAGGTCAAGAGTTACCTGCCCCTGGGATTTGTAACGAGATCACCATTTCAACAGAGTTCATTCTGAGAAATCCTCAGGGCCAACATGTCCCTGTTTATCTGACAGTGTATTATAAACTTCACAGAAACTTCTCAAACCAAATTTAATTGACTTTGGAAAGAAAGTGATTCCTCACTTTTGGAGTGGAAAAGTTAAAGGTTCATGAAATCAAACAGAGGCCTAGAATCCCTGTTCCAAGCCAGGCTATTAGGCGATGGGGCCATTTCACTCTCCCCTACTATAGGACTGCATTCAAACCTCAACATGACCTTCTTCCTGGGTTGTCTGAGTAAAAGGCTGCTCTACTCTGAGTCCAAAAGAACAGAGTGAACTGTTTAGGAAAAGGATGTGGACCTCTCAAAAGCCCTCAACCTTAACTTCTCCCACTTAGGATATGAAATCCTGGTCACACCATGTCCAATTCTGAATATTTAAAAAGAGATTTAGGCCAGGCGCGGTGGCTCAAGCCTGTAATCCCAGCACTTTGAGAGGCTGAGGTTGGCGGATCACGAGGTCAGGAGATTGAGACCATCCTGGCTAACACGGTGAAACCCCGTCTCTACTAAAAATACAAAAAATGAGCTGGGCATGGTGGCGGGCGCCTGTAGTCCCAGCTACTCGGGAGGCTGAGGCAGGAGAATAGCGTGAACCCAGGAGGCAGAGCTTGCAGTGAGCAGAGATAGTGCCACTGCACTCCAGCGTGGGGGACAGAGCCAGACTCTGTCTCAAAAAAAAAAAAAAAAAAGATTTAAAAAGGAGCAAGGAGCAATGGCTGGGCCTAGTGGCTCAGGCCTGTAATCCCAGCACATTCAGAGGCCAAGGCAGAAGGATCACTTGAGCCCAGGAGCTCGAGACGAGTCTGGCCAACATAGCAAAACCCCATCTCTATTTTGTATAAAAATCTAAAAGAAAAAAAGTAATTAAAACTTTGAAAAGAAGGAGTGAAAATTATGTTTTCTCAACTATGGAAAAAAATGCTCAGGAGGAAGGAAATATATCACAGTACTAAGATGTTGACTAGGTTAGGAGGATGGGGATATTGTGGTTGGACTATATTTGTTTTCCCTTTTCTACAAATCAGCATGTAAAATAAATTTCTGACCAGGCGTGGTGGGTCACGCCTATAATCCCAGCGCTTTGGAAGGCCAAGGCAGGCAGAGCACTTGAGCCCACGAATTTGAGACCGGTCTGGGCAACATGGTGAGACCCTGTCTCTACAAAAAATGTAAAAAGATATAAAAAATAATAATTAGCTAAGCATGGTGGCCAGTGCCTTTAAGTTCCAGCTACTCAGGAGGCTGAGGTGGGAGGATCACTTGAGCCTGAGAGGTTGAGGCTGCGGTGGGCGGTGATCACACTACAGGATTCTAGCCAGGACAAGAGAGTGAGACCATCTCTAAATCAATAAATAAATAAATAACTTTCAGCCAGGCACGGTGACTCGTGCCTGTAATCCTAGCACTTTGGGAGGCAGAGGCGGGCAGATCACCTGATGTCAGGACTTCAAGACTAGCCTGGCTAACATGGCGAAACCCTGTCTCTACTAAAAATACAAAATTAGCCAGGCATGGTGGCATGTGCCTGTAATCCCAGCCACACGGGAGGCTGAGGCGGGAGAATCGCTTGAACCCAGGAGGCAGAGGTTGCAGTAAGCCAAGATTGTGCCATTGCACTCCAGCCTGGGCAAAAAGAGAGAAACTCCGTCTCAAAAAATAAATGAATAAATAAATAAGTAAATAAATAAATTTCTTGGGGTTCTAGTTCTAAGTAAGATAGAGTAAGCATAGTCTGTCTCTCCCACTGGCTGAAACTAAAAGCCCTGGACAGGATGCATGAAGCAGCCATCTGAGGACTCTGAAATATTAACAAGGCTGGTGCGGTTGCTCATGCCTGTAATCCCAGCACTTCGGGAGGCTGAAGCAGGAGGATCACTTGAGGCCAGAGGTTTGAGACCAGCCTGGGGAACAAAGTGAGACTCTGTCTCTAGAAAAAAATAATGTTTTTTGGCCAGGTGCAGTGGCTCACACCTGAAATCCCAGCACTTTGGGAGGCCGAGGCAGGCAGATCAGGAGGTCAGGAGATTGAGACCATCCTGGCCAACACAGTGAAACTCCGTCTCTACTAAAAATACAAAAATTAGCTGGGCTTGGAGGCACGTGCCTGTAATCCCAGCTACTCGGAAGGCTGAAGCAGGAGAATCGCTTGAATCAGGGAGTTGGAGGTTGCAGTGAGCCGAGCGCCGCTCTAGCCTGGCGACGGAGTGAGACTCCGTCTCAAGAAAAAAAAAAAAAGAAAAAATAATTTTTTTTGGTAGCAGCAGTATCAGTAGCGACAAGAAAAGCACCTAAAACTCTGACAGAGCAGAATCCTTTTATCTGACCAAAGGATCTGCGTTCTGAAAAGTGGAAGAGGAAAATCTCGATTGCCTTTTTTCTCTCTTCATCCTGTCACTTGGCCCAAGAGTACCCGTCGCCATGAAGCCACATAACAGAGCAGGGAGACTAAAGGCCCCAATTTCTAGCTAGAGGATCAGGAAAATGTCTATCAAGAATACTTCTATTTTTGTGCGCAAAAATTAGTTCTATCTAAATAGTAGGCCTTAAAATTGATTTTTAAAAAAATACTTGAGAATTTTGAAGGCGTTCGTGTATTTTACTGCTATATGTACAAGTCGATCAGAAGTGATACCTGTGCAGGCTACCCTGAAAAGAATCAGTTCCATTACTTCACTTTTGTAGTTTAGACTTGGGAACTGCTGATATACCCTATGGGGCAACACAGGCGCAGTTTTGAAAACCAGACTCCCCTGCTGTCTAATACCTGCATCTGAGGGCAGCACAGTGAGGGGACATCTTTGGTTTCAATTTTTACAGAAGGCTCCAGTAGGGACTGCATTTTAATAGGCACTGGTGTCAGGGGGACCTTGGTCAATCTTATCAGCTCTGAAGGCGGAGCTTCCTGAAACTGGATCCGGGCCCCAGGGGAAGCAGTGTGGAGAGTCCAGAGGGATCCTGAGGTCTTGCTGGTGCGGCCCAAAGGCACCGGACGTTGGGGCCAAGATGACCTCCGCGCTGCCACGAGCCGGGCCATTGGACGCGGGCTCCGCGCCGAGCCTGCAGTCCTCGAGGAGTCTCTCGGGTTCCTCCGTTTTGATCACACCTTCTCGGATGGCCGCCGAGCTTTTGCCTTCCCCGCCCTGCATCGCGTCCCTCATGACCTCTTCCGCCTCCAGCTTGCCCTTCTCGTTCCCTCGGAAGTAGTCGAGGGCCGGCCCGAGGCCTTCCAACTTGACCGCCCTGGAGGCTCTACGACCGGTCTCCACGGCCCCCCGAGGCCTCACCGATGCGTCCAGGCAAGCCCCTAGCTCCTACTTCTTGGCCTTGACGTGCAGCGCCCGGGGCTGCACCGGGTGTAACTCGGGCCTACAGGGGGCGCCCTCGGAAGAGGCGGGCGGCAGCAGGAGCCGCAGGTCGGGCCTGAACTGCCGCTGGGAGAGGAAGCGGCGCCCTTGCCAGGAACGTGGGGCTGTGGTAGCAGCAACACCTGCTCCAGCTTCACCTCCAGCAGCTGCTGCGCCGCACACGGCACCAAACCCTCCCTACACGAGGAGGCCACGGTCGCAATGGCGGCCGCGCACAGCATGGGCGGCGACGGAGGGGTCTTCACGGCCGCTGCCCAAAAGGAGGTGCCCTCGACCGGCAGCAGGGACGGAGCGGGACTCAAAGGGTGCGGCTGAGGCGGCGGCTCCAGCCTAGCTCTCTCCATGGAGGTTGGGGGACGCCCCGGCCCGGATTGTGAGCTCAGCCGTTTGTTGGCGACCTTCCCCCTCCCCCTTTCGGTTAAGATCCTTGCAAGGCCTTTGCTACCCAGAACCCTACGTGGTTCAAAACGCAGCTCTATGTCTCGGCGTCACCCAATCACAAGCGACCGATACCCCCATCCGGGCTAATCACAGGCGGGTTTTGTGGCTCTTCCCAGCCCATGCTCTCGCCTCTCGCCTCGTGCTGAGTCCTCAAATCACCCGTGATGGCGGGAGCCTCGAGACGGGTTGCCAGTTTTCGCTCTGACTTTCCCTCTCTTGTGGCGTTCTCTCCCTGCCGTTGTCTTTAGTCATCCTTTCCCCGCAGGGAGCTGTGACAATGGCGTTGTCCAAGAAACGTTGTGCTTCCAGTCCGCTGACCTCCAGGGAATAAAGTCTTGGGTCTCAAGACTCGCACGGCCTTGTGCACGGGCTTTGTGCGGCCTGAGTAATCTGTCGGCCCTGAGTATCACCAGGGCTTTTGAATCTTTGCCAAGGGAGCATGGGGAAGGTTTTGCAACTTATCAATAACCCATTAGCTGATCTTGCTGGGAAGAGTCTTCGACTTTGTGCGGTTCTTGTGCTAGTTAAGGTTTCAATTAATCGCCAGGCCCTGTGGCCCTACTTCCAAAATATTATACATCCCAAATTCATCCACTCCTTTGGGTCTCTACTGCCATTACCCTGTTCCAGGCTCCCACCATCATTCACCTGGATACTACCGAGGCCCTGTAAATAATCTCCCTGTTTGTCAGCCTTGCCCCACTACACTCCAGCTATCTTTTGAAAATACAAATCTAAGGTTGTCACACTTTTCCTAAAGCTTTCTTTCCATGGCTGCCCACTGATGTGAGAAAAGTCTAAAATCCTTGGCAAAGCCTTAAAATCCCCAAATGGCTTGGGATCTAACCTACTACTACTACTACTACTGCTGCTAGGTTGGTGCAAACATAATTGTGGTTTTTGCCATTAAACAGTTACCACTCTAACCCTGAGTCTTTGGGTTTCAGCCACATTGGCCCCATCATCATTCTCTTTCTACTGAAGGGTCTTTAAACATGCTCAGCGTGCTACTCTTTCCTTTGTCTCCTTAATTCCTCCTACACATTTTTCAATGCAGCTCAACTGGGACTTCTTCAGAGAAGCTTTTTTTTTTTTTTTTTTTTTTTTGAGACGGAGTCTCGCTCTGTCGCCCAGGCTGGAGTGCAGTGGCGCGATCTCGGCTCACTGCAAGCTCCGCCTCCCGGGTTCACGCCATTCTCCTGCCTCAGCCTCCCGAGTAGCTGGGACTACAGGCGCCCGCCACCACGCCCGGCTAATTTTTTGTATTTTTAGTAGAGGCGGGGTTTCACTGTGTTAGCCAGGATGGTCTCGATCTCCTGACCTCATGATCCGCCCGCCTCTGCCTCCCAAAGTGCTGGGATTACAGGCGTGAGCCACCGCGCCCGGCCATTCAGAGAAGCTTTTACTGACTCTGAAAATCAGATCAAATCTTGGTCTACTTATACCTCTGTCACTTCGTTTGCTTAACACAATTTGTAATTAGAATTTTTAATGTGTTGATTCCACTGCCTCTCCCACTTGACTATAAAGTCCTTGAAGGCAGAACTGTTTGTGTTTTGCCCATCACTGAATCCGCAATGCAGACCACTGAGCCTGGCATGTAGTACTCAATAAATACTTGTTGAATAAATAAATGAATAGCGACTGTGATAGGGTAATAATAAAACAGTAATAATCACTACCTGTGTTAAGGGCTTACTCTTACGCTGGACACTCTTCCAAATCTTTTCCATATTTATGCTTCTCCTTTTACTAGGATTGTGTTTATTTCCATTAAACATCACCAAGAAAAACAAAAAGGAATCCTGTATTAACATTTGCTGAATTTCTAAATGACATTCTGGCCAAAAGCTATAGTTTATCTTGACATAGATGATTTTTGCAGTCAAGACAAGTTATCACTCAAAGAAGACCAACTCCAATTCATTGTCTAATCCTGTGGTATCAAATGTGGTCAACAGGAGTTCTTATACCTGGCAGACAGACAAGGGCAATGATTTTTAAACTTTTTTTTAATCTCAAAAACTCTTTATATCCATAAAAACTACTGAAGATCCCCAAAGAGCTTTTGTTCATTTGGATTTTGTCTATCAATATTTACTATGTTATAAATAAAAACTGAAATTTTAAAAATAGCTATCAACTAATTTAAAACAATAATAAAACCATTATGTGGTAACACATTTTTATGGGGGGATAAAAACGGTATTTTCCCCCTACATTACACTCACAAGAGAACGAAGTGAAAAGAGCAAATATTGCATTAGGATTATTATGAAAATAGTTTTAACCTAGCCGACTCTCTAAGAGTGTCCATCCCCATACCCTGCTTTGAGAACCACGGTACTAAGGTTTAAATGGGAGAGTCAACTGTGTGCATGAGCAAAAGCTAATAAAAGAGGCAGACAAATAAATCAAGCTGTCAGAGGTGTGTGAACCACAGCAACTCCATCTTGAGTAGGTGCTGGGTAAAATGAGGCTGAAATCTACTGGGCTGCACTCTCAGATGGTTAAGGTATTCTAAGTCACAGGATGAGAGGGGGCTGGCACAAAATACAGGTCATAAAGACCTTGCTGACAAAACGGATTGCAATAAAGAAGCCAGCTAAAACCCACCAAAACCAAGATGGCAACCAGAATGACCTCTTGTCATCCTCACTGCTACACTCCCACCAGTGCCATTGAGAGGTGATAGTGTGCTGGCAGTCCTCACAGCCCTCGCTCGCTCTCGGCGCCTCCTCTGCCTGGGCTCCCACTTTGGCGGCACTTGAGGAGCCCTTCAGCCCACCGCTGCACTGTGGGAGCCCCTTTCTGGGCTGGCCAAGACGGGAGCCGGCTCCCTCAGCTTGCATGGAGGTGTGGAGGGAGAGGCGCAAGCGGGAAGCGGGGCTGCACGCGCGCTTGCGGGCCAGCTGGAGTTCCAGGTGGGCGTGGGCTTGGCAGGCCCCTCACTGGGAGCAGCCGGCCGGCCCTGCTGGCCCTGGGCAATGAGGGGCTTAGCACCCAGGCCAGCGTCTGCGGAGGGTGTACTGGGTCCCCCAGCAGTGCCAGCCCACAGGCGCTGTGCTCGATTTCTCGCCGGGCCTTAGCTGCCTTCCCGCAGGGCAGGGCTGGGGACCTGCAGCCCGCCATGCCTGAGGCTCCCACCCACTCCGTGGGATCCTGTGCGGCCCCAGCCTCCCTGATGAGCGCCGCCCCCTGCTCCACGGCGCCCAGTCCCATCGACCACCCAAGGGCTGAGGAGTGCAGGCGCACCACGCGGGACTGGCAGGCAGCTCCACCTGCAGCCCCAGTGTGGCATCCACTGGGTGAAGCCAGCTGGGCTCCTGAGTCTGGTGGGGACTTGGAGAACCTTTATGTCTAGCTCAGGGATTGTAAATACACCAATTGGCACTCTGTATCTAGCTCAAGGTTTGTAAACACACCAATCAGCACCCTGCATCTAGCTCAGGGTTTGTGAATGCACCAGTTGACACTCTGTATCTAGCTAATCTGGTGGTGAAGTGGAGAACTTTTGTGTCTAGCTCAGGGGTTGTAAACGCACCAATCAGTGCCCTGTCAAAACAGACCACTGAGCTCTACCAATCAGCAGGATGTGGGTGGGGCCAGATAAGAGAATAAACGCAGGCTGCCTGAGCCAGCAGTGGCAACCTGCTGGGGTCCCCTTCCACACTGTGGAAGCTTTGTTCTTTCGATCTTTGCAATAAATCTTGCTACTGCTCACTCTTTGGGTCCACACTGCCTTTATGAGCTGTAACACTCACCTCGAAGGTCTGCAGCTTCACTCCTGAAGCCAGCGAGACCACGAGCCCACCGGGAGGAATGAACAACTCCAGACGCGCCGCCTTAAGAGCTGTAACACTTACTGGGAAGGTCTGCAGCTTCACTCCTGAGCCAGCAAGACCACGAATCCACCAGAAGGAAGAAACTCCGAACACATCCGAACATTAGAAGGAACAAACTCCGGACACGCCGCCTTTAAGAACTGTAACACTCACCGCGAGGGTCCGTGGCTTCATTCTTGAAGTCAGTGAGACCAAGAACCCACCAATTCTGGACACACCATGACAGTTTACAGATTTCATGGCAATGTCAGGAAGTTACCCTATATGGTCTAAAAAGGAAATAACCATAAAAATGGGCAACCAGCAGCCCTTGGGGCTGCTCTGTCTATGGAGTAGCCATTATTTTATTCCTTTACTTTCTTAATAAACTTGCTTTCACTTTAGGGACTCGCCCTGAATTCTTTCTTGTGGGAGATCCAAGGACCCTCTTTTGGGGTCTGGATCTGGACCCCTTTCCTGTAACATCTTTCTGGTGACCCAGATGGGAATTTAGTGTGGAAACCCTGGGTAAGTGGTGGGGTACTGTAACATCTTTCTGTTGACACAGAATGGACTATACTGTGGAAAACCCCAACCCAAAGGCTAACTTTGGGTATGTGGTAGGGTCTAGTAACATCTTTCTGGTAAACCCTGAAGGCATGATACTGAGGAGACTCCCATCCCAAAGGAAATAGACTGCAGCACTGATTGGACGACTTTGGGCAAGTGGTGGGGTACCCAGATAAAGAGTGGGATTGGGTCAGAGGCCAAACTTAGAAGAATTAGAGCCTCTCCTAAGACAGAGTGGGTTAGAGGCCCCTCTTTATAAAAGGCAAGGACACTTGACCATCCTTGGGTTAGAGGCCTGACTTAGGAGGGTTAGACTCCCTTCTAAGATTTCGGGTGTTAGAGGCCCCTTTCGTTAAAGTCCCTTTTGGCTAAGAACAGGTTTGGCACTACGGGATGTTAACTGCTATTCTCTTTGAAATACTCTGCCTTGTACTCTTTGCTGACAGCTGTAGGTGACAGGGTTAGGCATGTACAAGATCGTGGGACACAGGGAGCTTTTTCTTCCCCTAAAGGGGACACTTGAGAGCTGATGGGACTGCTGGAAAAGATCCCTTCAGTACCGAGAAGAGGCCGCCTGAACTTTTCAGTTGCTGCAATGGGTGGGTCTTTCTCTGGCTTCCATGAGTGCCTCACCTTCCCCACCTTGCCTCAAGCAATGCTTTCCTCTCTCTCTCTCTCTCTCTCTGTGCAAACTGGTTGTAGGAATGGTAAAAATCACTATTTCCTGCAAAGTAATGGAAGAAAGGATTTGTGAGGCTAGTCTTAAGCTGTAGTCAATCTGGTGCATTTTGTGTGTTGTTCTGTATTGTTCTGTCATAAACAGGGGTACCTTAGGATAGAACATGGGCTTAGGACACCTATAAGCCTGCTGTTCAAGATGGCCTAGCAAACTGGTCAGTTACGAACTTTGCTGCAGGTCCCTGAAAAAAACTGGGTGAGGTTTCCCTCTTGTCTTGTATGTCCTTGGGAGCTTGACCTTGTAACCTAACCATGTGGCTGTGCTTTCTCTTTTCACAGTGGTGGCCCAGGTTCAGGGCTCAATTCATGGCTTAGGGAAAGAGTTGTTTATCATCTAACTGTCTATACATTTTTTTATTTTTGAGGTGGAGTTTCGCTCTTGTTGCCCAGGCTGGAGTGCAATGGTGCAATCTTGGCTCACTGCAATCTCTGCCTCCCGGGTTCAAGTGATTCTCCTGCCTCAGCCTCCCAAGTAGCTGGGATTACAGGCGCCTACCACCATGCCCAGCTCATTTTTGTATTTTTAGTAGAGGTGGAATTTCACTGTATTGGCCAGGCTGGTCTGAAACTCCTGACCTCAGGTGACCCACCCGCCTCGGCCTCCCAAAGTGCTGGGATTACAGGCATGAGCCACCGCACCCAGACTTGTCTATGTATTTATATGTATTATGTGTGTGATGTTTACATATGAAAGAGCTTTGATTAATTGGCTTAAAAATAATTAAGTGCACCAGACATGGTAGCCAACACCTGTAATCCCAGCACTTTGGGAGGATGAGGTGGGTGGATCACGAGTTCAGGAGTTTGAGACCAGCCTGGACAACATGGTGAAACCCTGTCTCTACTAAAAATACAAAAAATTAGCCGGGTGTGGTGGCACACACTGTAATCTCAGCTACTCAGGAGGCTAAGGCAGGAGAATCGCTTGAACCCAGGAGGCAGAGGTTGCAGTGAGCACAGATTGTGCCATTGCACTCCAACATGGGTGACAGAGCAAGACTCCATCTAAAAAGAAAAAATTATAATAATTAAGTGCTTAAATCAAATATTTTGTGAGAAAAGTAAAAAGTGTAATGCCCTTTATTTAGTTCATGTGACTTAAGTAACCTTAGGGAAATAAATACAGTTTTAAAGATTATTAGTAAAATAAAAATACCTTTAAAAATGTAAACATTTGTCCTAAATTATGCAGGCCAGATATTAGGTTTGCTAAATGCTTTAAGGTCATAAACTGCTTCTTCGACTTTTGAAAATTGTTCAATTTACCTACCTTGAAGACATTAAATTCCAGATAAGGTCTAGGGATATGTGGTGTTAGCCATACCCCCTAGCAATGCTAGAAAAAGTCAGACCTTGTCTTCACTTCTGTTGAGGTCCTAGGCTCCACACCTAGTACATAGTTAAAATTGCTTACTAACCAGGGTTTTCACCAAAAGTCATAATTGCTGAAAGTTATCATTGTAACATGTAATTGAGACTATTGAAGAAGTAGTTCTACATGTAAGGTGTGTAGGGAAAGTGAAATGTGTTTTTTTGGTAAAAGATTATAAGAAGTCATGTGACTAAATTTTCTTGCCTAGATTAAAGGGTTAAAGGATTGTTTTAAGTTAGGTAGAATAAAGCTGAAGTTTTAAGCAAGTTATGGAAAGTTGTGGAAAATTAATTGTAAGAAATTCTGTGTGTGTACATATTGGCTAAAGTTAAAGGGGTATTCAATTTTTCTGCAAATAAAACATTGGAATAAAAGCACAACAGGTTGTGGGTTTTTTGTTGTTGTTGTAGTTGTAGCTTGTTTTTCTTTTTTTTGAGACAGAATCTGGCTCTGTCGCCAGGCTGGAGTGCAGTGGTGCGATCTTGGCTCACTGCAACCTCCTGGGTTCAAGCGATTCTTCTGCCTCAGCCTCCCAAGTAGCTGGGACTACAGGCTCGCACCACCATGCCCAGCTAATTTTTTTGTATTTTTAGTAGAGACGGGGTTTCACCATGTTCTTAGAGCAAAAATCTGCTTATGATCTGCTCTTTAACGAAAATTTGTAAAGGGTTATAAAAGGTTTGTGAAAATTTTACTTAGTTGTCAAACTGATTAAGATTGAATACATTTGCCTATAAGGTTTTATAAAGAATTGGGTTTGTCATCAGTAATGCTCTAATGCAACAGTGACATTTGGCTTATTTGATACAAAAATCATTCAGGAAGCATTATCAAATGTAAAATGGTGTTTGGATTTCTTTGGGCTGTATTTGTGTAAATGTGTTATTGGTGTGTCTTCCACAATTATAAAAAACCTCATAATTCTGATATGACTTAGTGTATGTTATGAATAATTATAATTGTTACATAAAATTATTATATGCCACAGAAGGAACCAAATTTCCTTATCGATTGTGACTTTAATAGTGGCTGTCCTAAGACTTTTTATCATCCACACACAATTGTTGTCTTCTTTTAATCCTCTTCAAAAGATGGTTTGTTATCAACTATAGAACTCTAACAGGGGTTCTTAAATGCAGGTTTCTGATAACTTTGAAAATTTTGACAGTAAAATAAAACAATTTCAGAACTCTCATGGAGACCTGAAATGTTCGTGAATATCAAGCAGAACAGGAGTTAACTGAATTGACTGAACCAATAGAGGACTAATCTTTTTAACTTTGCTTAAAATGCTGCTGATCCTTTGTTTTGTTTTTCAGAGTCAAAGAAACTTTTCTTTTGAGCTGCTTGCAGCTTGTAGCAATTGAGTAAAGTATATTGCTGTGAATAACATTTGAGGCATATTTGTTTCTCTCTACCTAATTTCTCCAGAATTTGGAAATTATTTGTGAGTATTCTTACATTACGGCAATATAGTTATTTGCATAAGTGCAATAAGAATCTGTTTTCTTTTGCAACGGGACAAATTGGAAACACTGATTATTTTACCAACGATTTGACTGGAATGGGGTGTTTTCCTTTAAGGAATCAAACTTGACTTGTAAAGCCAATAAAAGCCCCTGGGGGAATTGGCCTCAGACCTTGTCTACAGCAGTCCCTGTACAGTGTTTCTGACCTATGGTAAGTACAAAAATGTCACTTTCTGACAGGTCCAGGATCCCCAAATTATCTTGGGACCACAAGAGGAGAGGAATTTACTCAACTCATAGGTATTTGAGAGTACAAACCCATGGGCTCAGCTCTAAAAAAGTCTTATCTAAGATACCTTCTATGGAACAGAGTTCCATCAAAGCCAATTTAAAAAGAGATTATGTAAAAAATAATTATTTTTGCTGCACTTTATACAAATAATCAGACCAAGCATAATAAAGCAAATCAGTCTTACCGTGATTTGTCTTTAGTAAAAATGGGAAACTGGAGACAGAACTTACGTTTCAAAAACTGGCTGGGTGCCTTGGCTTATGCCTGTAATCCCAGCACTTGGGGGGCACAGGGCAGATCACTTGAGGTCAGGAGTTCAAGACCAGGCTGGCTAACATTGTGAAACCCTGTCTCTACCAAAAATACAAAAATTAGCCAGGCCTTATGGTGGGCACCTGTAATCCCATATACTTGGGAGGCTGAGGCAGGAGAATCACTTGAACTTGGGAGGCAGAGGTTGCAGTGAGCCAAGATTGTGCCACTGCACTTCAGGCTAGGTGACACAGCGAGATTCTTTCTCAAAAAAAAAAAAAAAAAAAAAAAAGACAGCAGGCCAGTTCTCTATGAAATGTGCATACTGTGCCTTCACAGATCCAGGTAGTGTTAAGCTGTCCCTAGGTAGACACCTCTTTATCAGACAGGCAGTTAGTTGGCTAGTCTCAACTTTCGTGTATTTCTGGTTTGTATTTGATATAGAACTTTGGGCCTCAGAGATGTCAGAGGACATAGTTCAGGCTCTTGAGCTTATATTGAAGTGGGGAGCATCCCTTTGTGAGGGAGAAAGGTGGAAATTGTAAAGCACTTGAGCACCTCCCCAACGAAAATTTTCTCTTTCACCGACTCTTTGAGAACCTTGAGGGGCAGGGCATGGTGGCTCACACCTGTAATCCCAGCACTTTGGGAGGCCAAGGCAGGTGGATCACTTGAGGCCCAGAGTTTGAGACCAGCTTGACCAACATGATGAAACCACACCTCTACTAAAAAAAAAAGTACAAAAATTAGCCAGGTGTGGTGGCATGTGCCTGTAATCCCAGCTACTTGGGAGGCTGAGGCAGAATTGCTTGAACCCAGGAGGCGGAGGTGCAGTGAGCTAGGATTGCATCTTTGCACTCCAGCCTGGGCAACAAGAGGCAAAACTCCATCTGGGGGCAAAAAAAAAACAGAAAAAGAAAAAAGAAAACATTGAGGAAGGTGTTGGGCTGAGGTGCAAAACCATTTTTTTGGTACTTTGAAAATCTCTGCATGGCTGAGTGCGGTGTCTCATGTCTGTAATCCCAACCCTTTGGGAGGCTGAGGTAGGCAATTCACCCCAGGTCAGGAGTTCGAGACCAGCCTGGCCAACATGGCAAAACCCCATCTCTACTAAAAATACGAAAATTAGCTGCGTATGGTGGCACACTCCTGTTATCCCAGCTACCTGGGAGACTAAGGCAGGAGAGTTGCTCGAGCCCAAGAGGTGGAGGTTGTAGTGAGCCAAGATAGTGCCACTGCACTCCAGCCTGGATGACAGAGTGAGACTCCGTCTCAGGAAAAAAAAAAAAAATTAGCCAGGTGTGGTGGCCTGTGTGTGTAATCCTAACTATTCAGGAGGCTGAGGCTGGAGAATCACTTGAGTCCAGGAAGCAGTGGTTTCAGTGAGCTGAAGTTGTGCCATTGCACTCCAGCCTGGGCATCAGAGTGAGACCCTGTCTCAAAAAAATAAATAAAATAAAATGCCCTGACCCCTGAGGAGAGATCCACTTAGAATTTTATTTTTGGTTTACAATATCATATTTTTTTCCTTTTCTTCCAGATGGGGTCTTAGTGTGTTGCCCAGGGTGAATTAAAAGCATGAGCCACCATGCCCAGCTATATACCTATCTTTATGTCAATACCACAGTCTTGATTACTGTAGCTTTATGGTAAATTTTGAAATTTTGAAATCGTGTAAGTCGTTGAACTTTGTTGTTTTACAAAATCATATTGGCTATTCTTGGTCCTTTGGATTCAAACAATAAATTTTAGGATCCTCTTACCAATTTTTCTTTCTTTAGAAAAGCAAACCCTAATGACACTTAGATAGGAATTGCATTGAATCTATGGATCAATTTTGGGAAAACTGACACCTTGAAGATACTGAACTTTCCTATTCACAAACATGGAACATACCTTGATTTATTTAGGTCTTAATTTCCTTTGACAATGTTTTGTAATTTTCAGTGTACTGTCCTGTACTTCTTTCATTAACTTTATTTCTGAATGCTTTATTCTCTTTATACTATCGTGAATGTAATTGTTTTCTAAATTTCCTTTTTAGTTAGTTGTATGTTTATTTTTGTATTTTTATTTTCTTACCTTATTGCACTGGCTGGAACCTTCAGTCCAAGGTTAAATAGAAGTGGTGAGAGTGTACATCCTTTTGCCTTGTACCCAATCTCAGGAAGAAAGCATTCAGTCATTCACCTTTAAGCATGTTGTTAAACACAGGTTTATGTAGCTGCCTTTTATCAAAGTAAGAAAGTTTCCTTCTATTCCTAGTTTATTGAGAATTCTATGGTGAATAGTAGTTCAGTTTTATCAAATGCTTTGTCTGTGTCTATTGAGACGATTATATGGCTTTTTCTTTTAAGGGTCAGCAACATTTTCCAGAAAAGGCTATATAGTAAATATTTTTGGTTTGAGCCATATGAGCTCTGTTGTAACCAATCAACTCTGCTTTTGTAGCAGAAAGCAATCATAAACAATTTGTAAATGAAGGGGCTTGGCTTTGTTCCAGTAAAATTGTATTTGCAAAAAGAAAAGTCATGCCAAATTTGGCCTAGGGACTATAGTTTGCTGACCACTGCTTTATTCTATTAATATGTGTATTACACTAATTGATATTCAGATGTTAAGCTAAAGTGTCTTCCTGTAATAAACTGACGGCACTTGGTAATAGTGTGTACATTACTGGATCTAACCTGCTGTTATTTAAAGAATTTTAGCATTTACATTCATGGGCAGTATTGGTCTATAGTTTCCTTGTGATATCTCTGTCTGTGGCTTCCAGTATCAGGGTAAAATGAACTGTAAGGTGTCCCCTTCTATTCTATTTTTGAAAAGATTTGCATTAGATTGGTATTACTAATTATTTAGATATTGATACCATTCCAAGTAAAACCATCCAGGCCTAGATTTTTCTTTGTAGAAAATTTTAAAATAATTTAGTAAATATTTTAACATTTTTTGCTGATATATATCTATGTAAATTTTATAATTTCTTTTTGAGTCTACTTTGATCATTTCTGTTTATGAATTTGCCCCTTTCATCTAAGGTGACAAATTGTTGGCATAAGGTTGTTCAAAATATTCCTTTATAAGCCGTTTAATTTCCATAGGGTTCAGAATGCTTTCTCTTTTATTCCCAGTTTTGGTAATTTCTGTCTTCTCTCTTTTTTTCTTGGTCATTTGGCTAAAATGTTATCAATTTCATAGATCTTTTCAAGGAATCAACTGTAAGTTTCACTACTTTTCTCTATAGTTTTGCAGTTTTCTTTTTGTTGATTTATGCTATGGTCTTTAGTTCTTCATTCTACTTTGTCTCTTCTTTTTGTGGTTTCTTAAAATGGAAACTTAATTAATTTTTTTAAATTTATCAGAGACTTCCTTTCTAATATTTATTTATTTATTTGAGACAGAATCTTGCTCTGTGGCCCAGGCTGGAGTGCAGTGGCATGATCTCTGCTCACTGCAGCCTTCACCTACCATGTACCAGCGATTCTCCTGCCTCAGCCTCCCAAGTAGCTGGAATTACAGGCGCATGCCACCACGTCTGGATAATTTTTGTATTTTTAGTAGAGACCATGTTTCACCATATTGGCCAGGCTGGTCTCATACTCCTGACCTCATGATCTGCTCGCCTCGGCCTCCCAAAGTGCTGGGATTACAGGTGTAAGCCACCACGCCCGACCAGATTTTTGCTCTCTTCTCTCATCCTTCATAGAAGGGCATCAATAATAATTGTTAAATAACATAAGGTATATATTTCAGTAAAGGCTTCCTTGGTGATTTACATAAGTTATAGCAGGAGTTATTATTAATTTGTTTCTGTAGTTAAGATGGAAACCTATGTGCAATAATCATTTTCATCTGATTCCTTGTAGTGGGTTGAGTAACATCCCCAGAAATTCATACCCAGAAGATTAGAATGTGACCTTATTTGAAATACGGTCTCTGGAGATGTAATTATTTAAGAATCCAGATGGGATCATACTGGATTTGAGTGGACACTAAAGCCAATGATTGGTGTCCTTATAAGAAGAAGAGAGGATACAGCAGAAAAGATCATGTAAAGACAGAAGCAGAGATTGGAGTGATGTATCTACTATGAGCCAAAGAATGCTAAGAATTGCCAGGAGCCACCAGAAGTTAGGAAAGAGGCATTGAAGCCTCTTTTCCTCAGAGCCTCCAGAAAGAGCCAACCTGTCTACACCTTGATTTCAAACTGCTGGTCTCCAGAACTCTGGGAGAGTGAATTTCTGTCATTTTAAGCTACCCAGTTTCCGGTACTTTGTTACAGAAGCTCTAGGAAACTAATACATTCTGTTTTCTTCTTTCTCTTTCTTAATAGAAATGTGCAGCAAAGAATTCTGGGATTAGTTCTTTCTTAAGACTGCACAATCTCAATTACTAAGGCCGGGAAGAGAGTTTCCATTCACTGATTTATTCATTTATTCATTCAGTTAATGTTTACTGAACCCCTAGAATGTGTCAAGCCTTGTATTAGGCTCTAAGAATACAACAGTGACTAAGACAAATGAGGCTTCTTTTCTTATACAACTTACGTTTTTACAAAGAAATCTTAAATTCATATGAAAACTGTCCAAAGTCACAACAACATCTCCTAAGAAGGCTCTGAATGTGATCTTATTAAATCAGCGTTATGGACTGAATGTTTCCTCCCAAAATTCATATGCTGAAGCCCTAACCCCCAGTGTGGCTGTATTTGGAGATGAGACCTCTAAGGAAATAATTAAGGTTAAAATGAGATCATAAGGATAGGGCCCTGATAGGATTCCCGTCTTTATAAAATGAAACTCCAGCTCTCCTCCCTGCAACCCCAATATGCACCAAGGAAAGGCCATGTGAAGACACTGTGAGAAGGCAGACATCCAAAAACCAGGAAGGGAGCCCTCTTTAGAAACCAATCCTGCCAGACCTTCAGTGAAAAAATTAATTTCTGTTGTTTAAACCACCCCGCCTGCAGTATTTCAGTATAGCAGCCCATGCAGATTAATACAAATAGGAACCAATTCAGAGTAATTGGTGGAAAAGGGATATTTTGTATCCTTAAAACATTATGAAATCAATTTAATTAAGCTTATATTTAAGAAATTTGGGGTTATAATTGCCACTACGTGCTAATTCTTAGAACAAACGAGGTATTAATCAATTCTAATTTGTGTGTGTGTGTGGTGGGGAAGGGCTAATTCTCTCTAAGGCTAATTTTCGAGGGTAGAGGGACTTTTTTTTTCCCCTCTTTTTGGACTTCTGGTGCAGAGAATTGATTTAATCATTTTCAACAGTTTCAACAGAGCATTTTCTTTGGTCTGCACAAGTTCTTGTACTAGTTTCTTATTGTTGTTGTGGCAAATTACCAAAATGTAGTGGCTTAGAATACCACAAATGTATTATCTTACAGTTCTGAAGGTGAGACGTTCGAAATGGTCCTTACGGATCTAAAACCAAGGTATCCATAAGACAACTTACCCTCTAGAGGCTCGAGGGAAAAATCTGTTCCTTGACTTTTAGTTTCTAGAGGCTGCGTGGCTCATGGAACTTTTGCTTCTTCAAAGCCAACAATTTCATCACTCTGACCCCTGTTTCCATCCCTGCATTTCCTGCTTTGGCCCATCTATTTCCATTTTCCACCTTTTAAGGCCATTGTGACTGTATTAGACCCACCAAGATAATCCACAATAGCCCTCCTATCTTAAAATCCTTATCTTAATCCCAGCTGTGGAATCCCTTTTGCTAGTAAGGTAATGTATTCACACCTTCCTAGCATTAGTATATGGATATCTTTGGATGAACCGTTGTTGTGCTTTACAATCCCCATTCCTGTTTTATTATTTTATGATTTTTCCCTCCATTTACCATTTCTGTTCCTATTCTAATTCTACTCTCCCTCACCCTCATGCTCCAGGCACCCGCTTTAATATGCTTAATATGTGTCAGTTACATATGTATCACGGAGTGAGTACAGTATTTGGTGGATGTATGTATTTGTGTTTTAATTTACCCATGTCCTCTTAGATGTATACAATCTGTTTCTTATCTTTTCCACATATTTTTTTTTCTTATCTGTATTTTTCTACAGTGGGTATGTTCATTACTTTTTTTAGTTTATTTATTTATTTTATTTATTTTTTTGTTTTTTGAGATAGAGTCTCACTCTGTGGCCCAGGCTGGAGTACAGTGGTGCGATCTCGGCTCACTGCAACCTCTGCCTCCCGGGTTCAAGCGTTCTCCCGCCTCAGCCTCCTGAGTAGCTGGGATTATAGGAGCCCTCTACCAGGCCCACCTAATTTTTTATATTTTTAGTAGAGACTGGGTTTTGCCATGTTGGCCAGGCTGGTCTCAAACTCTTGACCTCAGGTGATCCACCCGCCTCGGCCTCCCAAAGTGCTGGGATTACACACATAAGCCACCACAGCAGGCCTAGCTTTGTTTTTAATTGTACAAGTTAGTGGTTTTTTGTATGTTCACAGCATTGTCAAACGATCACCACTATCTGATTCCAGAGCATTTCACGATCCCAAGAGGAAACCTCAAATCCATTAGTAGTCCTCATTCCTCTTTACTCCTCACCCCACCTGCGTCCCTAGAAATCACTAATCTGCTTTCTTTTTTTATTTTTATTTTTTTGATACAGATGCTCACTCTGTCACACAGGCTGGAGTGCAGTGGCATAATCTCAGCTCACTGCAACCTCCGCCTCCTGGGCTCAAGCGATTCTTCTGCTTCATCCTCCCAAGTAGTGCTTTCTGTCTTTATGAAGCTCAATTTTTACTCCTCCATTCCTCTAATAATGGATTCCTAGGGTGCCTCCAGTGAGCTCTTACTAGAAGCAGCATTGTCAAGGACATGTGCCCTATAAACTTGTTTGACAGTTTCTCAGGAGATCTACCTATGAGTGGGATTGCTGTGTCATGGGCATGCACATACACTTTCACTAAAGGACAGATTCACTCCTACATGGCTGTTCCTCTTTAGACTCCTAATAGCAGCACAAGAGGATTTGCTTTTTCCCACTCCCATACCAGCACTTGGTTTAACTCAGTAAGTTTTGCCAATCTTATTGGTACATAGAATTGTCTGGTGTTTTTTTTTAAATAATTTGCACTTCTCCGATGATTGGATAGGTTGAGCACCTCTTCATAAACTTAGTTTTTTAGGCTGGGTGCTGCTGCCCATGCCTGTAATCCCAGCACTTTGAGAGGCCATGGTGGGTGGATTCCTTGAAGTCGGAGTTCGAGACCAGGCTGGACAAGATGGTGAAATTCCAGCTATACAACAAATACCAAAAATAAATAAATAACTAAATAAATAAATAAAAGAAAAACAGCCGGGCATGGTGGCGAGCCTGTAGTCCCAGCTACTCGGGAGGCTGAGGTGGGAGGATCCCTTGAGCCCAGGAAGCGGAAGTTGCAGTGAGCCAAAATCAAGCCAATGCACTACAGCCTGAGTAACAGTGAGACCCTGTCTCAAAACAAAAATGATAAAATAAAACAAACTTAGTCTTTTAGCTTTCCCTATCTGTGATGTTTACTTACATTCAAATCACTTACAATTTAATTTTTGTGTTTCCTGCTTTTTACATGTTGATTTGCAAGAGTCTATTTATTATAGATATTCAAACATTGCAAATATCTTCTTGTCTGTGACCCATCTGTTAACGTGTTTCTGATATCCTCTGTTGTACAGAAATTCTTAATGTGGTCAAATTCATCACTTTTTCACCTTATATTTTGTGCTTTTAGGATCTTGTTTAAGAAATCCTTTCCCACGCCAAGTTCTCAAAGACATTCTTTTATATTTTTTCTATTACTTCTATAATTTTACCTTTTATATTTAGATCTTTAATCTATATGCTGTTTTCCTTTACATATGATACAAAATTGGGATCCAAGTTCATTTTATATAGCGATCTAGTTATCCTATCAGCCTCTAACAATCCATGTTTTCTCTGCTACGTTAACCTGCCTGTTTAGAATACCTCAGGTACCCTATAAAGAGGTCACATGGAGAGGACCGCAGCCTCTGCCAACAGCCATCAGAGTGATCATATTGGACGCAGATACTCTAGCCCCAGTCATACCTGCAGGTCATGGAAGCCCCAATGGACATCTTAATTACAACCTTATGAGAGACCCTGAGCCAAAACCACCTAGCTAAGCTACTCCTGAATTCCTGAATTACAGAAACTGTATGAGATGATAAATGTTTATTTTATTTTATTGTCATTCTTTTTTATTTATTTTTTGAGACAGAGTAGTGCTGTGTTGCCCAGGCTGGAGTGCAATGGCGTGATCTTGGTTGCAGTGAACCAGGTTCAAGTGATTCTCCTGCCTCAGCCTCCCAAGTAGCTGCGATTACAGGCACCCACCACCACACATGCTAATTTTTATATTTTTATTGGAGACAGAGTTTCACCATGTTGGCCAGACTGGTCTCGAACTCCTGATCTCAGATGATCCGCCCACTTTGGACTCCCAAAGTGCTGGGATTACAGGTGTGAGCCACCATGCCAAGGCTATTTTATTTTATTTTATTTTATTGGGAGTCAGACTCACACTCTGTCACCCAGGCTGGTGTGCAGTGGCGCAATCTCAGCTCACTGCAACCTCTGCCTCCTGGGTTCAAGTGATTCTCCTGCCTCAGCCTCCCAAGTAGGTGGGATTATAGGCTTGCACCACCACACCTGGCTAATTTTTGTATTTCTAGTAGAGACAAGGTTTCACCATGTTGGCCAGGCTGGTCTTGAACTCCTGACCTCAGGTGATCCACCCGCCTTGGCCTCCCAAAGTGCTGTGATTGCAGGTATGAGCTACCTACCGTGCCCAGCCAATAAATGTTTATTTTTGTTTTTATTTTTATTTTTTGTTTTTTTGAGATGGAGTCTCACTCTGTTGCCCAAGCTGGAGTGCAATGGCACAATCTCAGCTCACTGCAACCTCCGCCTCCCAGGTTCAAGCAATTCTCCTGCCTCAGTCTCCAGAGTAGCTGGGACTACAAGCACGTGCCACCACACCTGGCTAATTTTTGTATTTTTGGTAGAGACAGTGTTTCACCATGTTGGCCAGGCTGGTCTTGAACTCCTGACCTCAGGTAATCCACCCCCTTCAGCCTCCCAAAGTGCTGGGATTATAGGTGTGAGCCACCGTGCCTGGCCTATTTTTGTTTTAAGCTACCAACTTTTGGGATAATTTGTTACACAAAAAACAATAATGAATACAGTTTTAATACTGAATAAAGAGCAAGTGGAGCTCTTGTCTCTATCACATGGTGTCCTACAGTTTTATTACAGTGCTACCAGAAAAATCAAAGTAAGTTATAGTTTTTCAGTGTTGGCATTCCTTAAAATAAGAGAATAACATAGTTAATAAAAGAGAAGGATGAGAAGAGGGAGAAAGGTATCTGGAAAAGGAAAAGATATTTGAGGCCCTATACAGTGTTTCTATTATGTCTTTTGCTATCTCTTTTGATCAAAAGAACATTTAATCAGCTAGCAAAAATGTGGTTCTTGTATTTATATTATCTTGGATCTCCTAAGCATGTCTAATCACTGTTGGCCAAAGCAAGGAGACTAGGCATTAAATGGCTCTGAGTTGGCTGGAGGCCATAGAAAGGAATATGTCAGATTTGGAAATGACTATGAAGGAAATGCAAGTGTTGAACGGAATTTGTACTAAACACTTTTTAAGGTCCACTCAGCCCTGATTTCTGAGATATTTGTCCTTTACCTGATAAACTCTTACCTATCCTTTAAGGCCCCAGCTTAAATGTCACATTCTCTAAAATGCTATCTCTGGTTATCCTAGGCAGAGTATAACATTTCTTTATGCTTTCACAGCACTTTCTATATACCTCTGTTTTGGCACTCATATTGGAAGAGGGGTAGGGCCATTGTTGCCTACCTGCTAGCCATCCTTCCACACTTTTCATTGCTAACAGAACTCTGATTTTGTTTAGAAGGCATTGTGCCAAGTACTGTTCCCTTTTGTCAGAAATTGCTATGGAGGTGGGCATGTGACTCAAGTTTTGTCCACTGAGACATAAGGAGCAGTCTGTTAGATGCTTCTGGTGAAAAAAAAAATTTCCCTAATAAAAGAGAGAGCAGATATAAAAAGAGCACTCTTTTCTGTTTATCTCTTTCCTTTCTGTTTTAAATGCTGTAATGTGAGAACTTGCTGGTTGCTACCACAGCAGCCATTTTGTGATCATGAGGACAGATCTCTCTGATATGCTATGGATAGTGAAACAGAAGAACTAAAAGTGTTCCAATTTTTAATGACATCACTGAGCCCCTGAAGAGGTCCTGAAATTAACAAACTAAATTTATCTATATGATATTAAATTTCCATAGTGTTTAAGATTTCATTAGTGAGGTTTTCAGTTATTTGCAGGTAAAAACATCCAAATTTACGGAAAAAGGAACAGAAATAACATTCCTAAAACACTTATATCATGCTTTAATTTTTCGTTAATGTAATTTGCTACCTCAATTGTTAGAGCAAGGACCTTGTCTTAATCAATTCCTAGCACTGTCTACAGTCTCTGATTTGAAAATGATTGCTTAAGAAGCGTTTGTGTGGAATGTGAATTTTGTTGCAATGGAAAGTAAAATTTTTTTAAAAAGCGTTTGTGGAATGAATGAATCAATTAACAGATGAATGAATAAATGAATCTATAGATCAATATGATGGTGTTATTGAGAGGTAGAACAGAAAAATGAGTTAAGCACATAAGCTCTTGCATTGCATTCCTGGCTTCCTATCCTGGCTCCCCCACTATGTGACCTTGGGTAAGTCACTTAATCCCTATAAGACTGTTTCCCCAGTTATAAAATGTGAATAACAGTGCATACTTAAAATAATTTTTGTGAGGTTATATTTTATGTAAAGGCTTAACATATAATTTGGAACTGAATAAACACTCAATATGTTGACCATTATTTTTGGAGAATGAAGAACAGCCAGTAATTATTCTAAATTGTCAAACCTGGTTGACCGGGAAAATTAAAATAAATCTGACCAAAACTGAATGTGTAGATGGAAAAGATGATGTTCAACTTCAGACATGTAAAATACAGCCTAAATATAGTTAGAGAGTGAAGACATGTGGGTTATGCTTATATAGATATATACATAACGTTACTCTATCTAGGTTCTGATTTATACTACATTTACTCATCCTGAGATTCTATATTTACAGAATTGTTCTTTACAAATATAGTAACTTAAAAACGAAGGTAACTTTTGGATTATATCCATAATGAGTCAAATCCAATAGGCCAGGAGTTGCTGAAATTTTGCCTAAAAATGTGTACACAGGCAGTAATCTTCAAAAACAAAATATCATGGATAAAAAAGATTTCTTTTTCAACCTAAGAAAGCAGGTTGAAAAAAGGAAGGAGAAAAAGGTTTCCTTAAATAGTGTAAATATGTCAGTGATGTGATGTTGCTCAGTCTTTGAAATTCTTTGAATTCTCTTCCTAATTTAACGTTTCTTCACAGACTACTATGCAACAGAAGAAAACTATGCCTGAAATATCTACAGGAGAAATTCTGTGTATGAGTGTTTAAGGAACCTCTTTTGTTACTCAAGTAACCAGAATGAGTAATAAAAATCAAGCATGAGTAGTAGTATTTGTCATGCACTTTTTTTTCTATTGCTAAAATGAAAGCTATCATTGAACTCAGATTAGGAAATAATTCTTCCCAAGCAAAAAAAAAATCATGAATTATTTATTAGATTTTCTTCTACCGTTAATTTTTAATGCATGGGAATGACTAATAGTATAAGCCAAATCAGAAAGTCAATTCACATTCCAGATTCCATTTTTAGATGGGCATGAAGAATTCAAATTCTTTTATTCGATAAGCCAGCCCAGTCACTGGAAAAAATTAAACTGAAATATCTGCCTGCATCAATCTCTCTACCAACGTATGACCCTTTCAGGACCAAATGATTATGGGCCACTCTATATGCAGCCCTATAACTCATAGCTATGTAGTGAAATTTACACTTCAGTGAATATGATTCTGTCTCTGTATCAATAATAATATCTTTATATTATATCAAGATGTCTTAATACCTTGCCTTTTCTAAAAAGTATTAGAGTTCTTTGTGATATAGGGCCTCAAAACATTTTATGGACACCAAATTCTATTCTATTCTTTTCTTTCTCTTTCTTTCTTTCTCTTTCTTTTTCCTTTCTTTTCTTCTGTCTTTTTTTCTTCTTTATCCACCTCTTCCTTTTAATCGGTATTGCATCTGAAATAACAAAATAAATTCTCAGTAGCCTAGCCACCTCCAGGTTTTCTTCACCTTTGTTTATGTTTCAAACCACAGCCGGATTCTTTTCTTTTCTCTCTTTTTTTTGCTGGGGGGGACAGAGTTTCCCTCTGTCGCCCAGGCTGCAGTGCAGTGGTGCAATCTCGGCTCACTGCAGCCTCCGCCTCCCAGGTTCAAGCGATTCTCTGCCTCAGCCTCCCGAGTAGTTGGGATTAGAGGCATGTGCCACCACACCCAGCTAACTTTTGTATTTTCAGTGGAGACAGTGTTTCATCATGTTGGCCAGGCTGGTCTTGAACTCTTGGCCTCCCTCAAGTGATCCACCTGCCTCTGCCTCCCAAAGTGCTGAGATTACAGGCATGAGCCACCGCACCTGCTAACCAATCTTGAACACAAATACTAGAACATTTTTCTACCTGGGAAGCTGTGGGATCTGTTCAAGATTCTGGGTTTTTGTTTTTGGGTTTTTTTGTTTGTTTGTTTTCTTTTTTTTTGGAGGTGGGGAGAGAGAGAGGATCTCGCCACATTGTGCAGGCTAGTCTCAAACTCCTGGGTTCAAGCAATTTGTCCACCTCAACCTCCCAAAGTGTTGGGATTACAGGCATGAGCCACCGTGCCTAGCCATGCTCCAAGGAAATTGCTAACCAGTAAGAAAGGAGAACATGAGAGAACAGTTACTGGGAAAAATAAAGTTACTTTTTATTTATACTCCCCAATGAATTGAGACTTCCAACAAACCAGTTACATATACAAAAAAGAAAAACAAAAAAGGAATTTATCAGCTCAATTATTCAACAGATATTTATTGATTGCTTCCTTCGTGTCAGGCACTGTTCTAGGCATAAGGGATTCAGATTTGAAAAATATTAAGCAAAGTCCCCCTCTCCAGGAACTTATGAGTCCAGGGGTAGCACTGGCTCCAAGTGTGGTGCTCAATGTTATCACAGTTTTTTTCTCCCTCTGTCATATTTTCTTTCCTTTCTGTAAACTGAAATCTTGGGTGGTCTCTTCCCTTTTGAAGGCAACATGGCCACCAGTGTTAACAATTCTAATGGGAAGAGAGCCTGTCTTTCCTCGTCATCCTAGCAAAGGGCCAGACTGTCTCATTGACCTGGCTTGGGTCAGATCCACATCTCAGAACCTTACTGGCTAGGTCTCAGTCATTAGGAAGGCCACAAATATTTGTGCAGGTTGTTCATTGTAAAAAAGGACAAGCAGGGGCTGAAATCCAGCGAAGGCTGCATTCACCAAGCCTTTATCCTGGTGCAGGACTGTGTGTGACAGGAGAGAGGGATCTTTGTCCAGTTCACACTAGGACATGACAGTGTCTTGGCCGTGTGCTCACCCTGGAGCAACAGGTGAGGAGGGATTATCTCCACCTGGACTACATGGCCTGAAGGTGGGGAAAGGACAGTTGGGCTTCCCTGGTCCAAAGTCAGAAAAATGAAATGCTGGGCATGCAAAGACAACAGCTATCTACTTCATTCCTGACAGGCATGGAAAGGCAAGGTGGCAGAGTGGAGGGGACCTTGGATTTGGTGTCAAAAGGCCTAGGTTCTAATCCTAGTTTGGAAGGTTGTGGGACATTGGGCAAATCACTTAACTAATCCCCACAACATTTGTTTCCTTTCTTATAAAATGGAGAAAACTGTTGTCTTACCTGCCCTACAGACTCATTGAGAGAGGAAAAAAATGAATAACGTATGAGAATATGGTTTGGAATAAGTTTCTTATGTCCAGAAGGTATAATTATTATCAATGATATCCTCCTAGTCAGTACCTATGGACACAAAAGTTCTTTTTTTTTTTTTTTGTCTTTTGTCTATCTCTTCCATTTAATCAGTCCTGGATATCTGAAATATCAAAATGATTCTCAGTTGGCCCAGACACCTCACACATCATCCAGTGCCCTCACACTTTGAAGGTGCTCAATCAGTGTTTATTCATTGGCTGACCCATGATATAGAAATTCACACTACTCAGGGTTCCTTTCCAAAGTCTTATACAAGCAAAATGTTGTGGCAAAACATTCACCCAACATTACAATTCAAATATTCCAGAAACCTGTAAGCATGCTGTCTTATGATCTCATTATTGGGTCTCAATTTAAGTACTGCTTCCTCAGGGGAAACTTCATGGACTATCCCCAGCCACACCTGCCCCCAGCGCCAGGCCTCCAGCCTGATTCACAACACTTCACACAATTGTCATCAGGTCTGTCTTTCCCAACTGACCGTGTACCCCACCAGGCAGGCAGCATGGCTGTCTTGTTTGCTGTTGCGTGATAGCCTTGGTGCATGGTACATAGAAATAAATCAAGAAATACTTGTTAAATGAATGAGAACATTTGTGGAATTAAATGGAACAAGGTCAAGTGGGACTAGGCAACATACATTTAATTTCCTCTTTCTCTTTTCCTAACATCTTTTTCCAAGCCCTCCATCAACCACATCCTCTGACTTCTGGAACCCCTGTTAAGTAGAGAAAGAATGAGTAGTTAACTTGAACGTGTCCTTTTAAGGACACACAATCAATGACTCTTTAGAAATAAAATCCATTCACCCTGACCTATGTAAGCAATGCCTAAAAAATGCAGGACAAATATAATAATTATAACTCCCTGTAATCATAAACTTATTCTGGAATAATAGTTCTAAATTTTATACCCTTGTATATCCTGGTATGTCCTAATGCTTATATCTGCCTCAAAACCAAGACAGACCTAGGCAGTCATTCCTGGAATCACATACATTACTCCAAGCCAGAAATTAGATTAGAGTGGTTCAGAGGAGAAAGGAGATTTTAGACACAAATTATTCCTTCTTCTTTCCCCTCTTCACCATCCATTATGTAAATTTCATTTACATAATGCAGCTTTTAGCACAAACCAAATGAGTCAGCATCAAGTCAAATGAAAAATGACTTCTATGCCAAAGGAAATTATTTTTCTTTGTGTCAGCCTGCAGTGAGCAAGTGATCTTCTAAGTAACAGAAAATTTATAAAATAAAAATAGAGGTCCAGTTAGGTCATAAATACCTGTTGTGTGAAGATTTTTAATTTATTTTTAATTATGCTAAGATACACAGGATATAAAATTTACCATCTTAACCATTTTAAGTATACAATCCAGTAGTGTTAACTACATTCACATTGTTATGAACCAATCTGCAGAACCCTTTTCACCTTATAAAATAGAAACTCTGTACCCACCAAGTAACACCTCCCTATTCCCTTCTCCCCAACCCCTTGGCAACCACCATTGTACTTTCTGCCTCTATGAATTTGACTACTGTAGGCACCTCATATGAGTGCAATCACACAGCATTTGTCTTTTTGTGACTTGGTTATTTCATGGAGCATAATGTCCTCAAGATTCATTCATGTGGTAGCATGTGTCAGAATTTCATCCCTTGTTAAGGCTGAATAATATTTCATTGTGTATGCATACCACATCTTGCTTATTCACTCATCCATTAATAGACACTTAGGCTCCTTCTTCATTTTAGCTATTGTGAATAAAGCTGCTATGAACATGGCTGTACAAATATCTCTTTGAGACTGTGTTTTCAATTCTTTTGGCTATGTACCCAGAAGTGAAATTGCAGGACCAATGGTAATTCAATTTTTTGTTTGTTTGTTTGTTTGAGATGGAGTCTTGCCCTGGCGCCCAGGCTGGAATGCAGTGGTGCGATATTGGCTCACTGCCACCTTCGCCTCCCGGGTTCAAGCAATTCTCCTGCCCCAGCCTCCTGAGTAGCTGGGATTACAGGCATGCGCCACTGCACCCAGCTAATTTTTGTATTTTTAGTGGAGACGGAGTTTCACTATGTTTGTCAGGCTGGTCTCCAACTCTTGACCTCGTGATCTGCTGGCCTCGGCCTCCCAAAGCGCTGGGATTACAGACATGAGCCACCGCACCCAGCGGTTGTTTTTAATTTTTTTTTTTTAGAGATGGGATCTTGCTATATTGCCCAGGCTGGTCTTGAATTCCTGGGCTGAAGTAGTCTTCCACACACGACCTCCCAAAGCACTGGACTTACAGGTGTGAGCCACCATGCTCAGCCCTATATTTAATTTTTTGAGGAGCTGCTATACTGTTTTCCATAGCAGCTACACCATTTTATATTCCCTGTGTGCAGAATTTTACAAAAGGGTTTGTGAGTTTCAAAGAAATTTAGGGTTTACTTTTCCCCTTCAATAACATTCTTCCTGGGGATTCTCATGGTACTTTGTCTGTGGGAACTCTATGACACCCACCATGTTTTCCCTTGCAGTATAATCGTCTTATCTTCTCCACCTGTCAGAACCCTGAGAGTAGGTAGGATCTAGGTAGAATTCACCTGTAAAGACAGTGATCTGGATGAGTCTCCCAGCTTCCCTGGTTCCCATATATAGTACTGCAGGAAGTTATTGTATCTCTTGTAGGTATCTGATAAGTAAGGAGAATAATGCTTCTCAACAAGGCGGCTGAGAGGATGGGTCTAGAAAATGTATCCTGAGTGCTTAACACAGCACCAGGGACATAGCATGTGCTAACTATTTTATTGGAGCAGGAGAGTGTTGTGGCTAAAAGTGCAGACTTTTAATCCCTATAAGCCTCTGTTTGTTTTCTCATTTGTAAAATGGATTATTCTGAGGATGAAAAAGGATGACCTGTACAAGGTTTATGCAGCATCACATAGCAATTTGCGAGTGCTCAAAAAAATGGCAGTTATCTTTACCATAACCAGTTTCCTGATTCATCTTAGTTCAATATTGATCTATTATGTTTATTCTATCAGTTCATTCAAATATGCCCTGTCAAATCATTCTGGTTCATCCTTAACGGACATTTGGCAGATTTCCTAATCTTCCTGTCACTTTGATAATTTAAAGCTCAGTTTCTGCAGTCCAAATCTGTGATCTCAATTATTATTATTATTATTTTTCAGACAGAGACTTACCCTGTCTCTGTGCGGTGGCACCATCTCAGCTCACTGCAACCTCCACCTACCAAGCTCAAGGGATTCTCCTGCCTCAGCCTTGTCAAGGACAATCCTTGACCTTTCTTGGCTTGTAGATGCATCACTCCAGTCTCTGCTTCCTTCCTCAGGTGCCATTCTTCCTCTCTGTGTGTGTCTCTGTTTTCTTATAAGAAAACCAGTCATAGTGGGCTAAAGGCACATCCTAATGACCCCATTTTAATTGCTTACAGTAGCCAATAGGGCAAAGACCCTACTTCCACATAAAGTTACATCCACAGATATATGGGTTAGGACTTCAACATATTTTAGGAGAGTCACAATTCCACCCAGAACATGTAGAAAAGTTAAAAAAATATATAATGGATACCCATAAAACCACCACTAGATTCAATAGTTGTTAACAGTTTGCCACTTTTGCTTTTACTACCAATCTACTTTTTTACTGTTACTATCTCATCCCTAAATACTTCTTAGTGTGTCTCCTAAGATTAGTCTTTTACACACTACATTATCATACCTGTAAAATTTAAAATTCCCTAGTATCCACTAATAAAGAGTGGCAATAGATTATATTATTACTCAAAAGTATTCACTTTCCTCTTCTCTATGGGAAGATGACACACTCTTCCCCTATAATCTTAGCGCTTGGCCATATTGCTTCAGCAAACATATTGTGAGCAGCAAGATGCACATTGTGCGGTGTAGAAGCTTTTCTAATCATTTCCTGGGTTTTGGGGTAAGACACAGGGATCAAAACAGCTATCAGGAATATAACCATAGTCAACTGGCAGTACAAGTGACTTGAACAGGAAATAAACTTTTGTTTTACAAACCACTAAAACCTAGGGTTGTTTGTAATTGCAGATTTCCCCAGTGAATTTAGAGCTGTTTTTAATGGTTTTTAGGCCAGTATCCAGTCAAGAGTTTTGCATTGTATTTGGTTGTTATGTCTCTTAAATCTCTTATTCTGGAACAGTCCCCACTTACCTTTTCTATTTTTTTTTTTTTTTTTTTTTTTTTGAGACAGTGTTGCTCTGTTGGCCAGGCTGGAGTGCAGTGGCACAATCTTGGCTTGCTGCAAACTCTGCCTCCCAGGTTCAAGCAATTCTCCTCCCTCAGCCTCCTGAATAGCTGGGATTACAGATATGAGCCACCAAGCTGGCTAATTTTTATATTTTCAGTGGAGACAGGGTTTCCCCATCAAGGCCAGGCTTGTTTCCAACTCCTGGCCTCAAGTGATCCACCCGCCTTGGCCTCCCGAAGTGCTAGGATTACAGGCGTGAGCCACCATGCCCAGCCCTCCACTTACCTTTTCTTTCTTCCCTGTTTCTCCTCCTTTTTCATTTTCCTTTTTTCTCCTAGGACACATGTTCAAAGATATTGTTCTTCTTGATAAAATTTACTTTTGAAGAAGCCAAGTCAGTGATCTTACATAATACCCTGCATCCTGAATATGTCTGATTATGTTCTTTTGGCGTGTGTGTTTTTGTTTTGTTTTGTTTTTTTAAGATGGAGTTTTGCTCTTGTCACCCAGGCTGGAGTGCAATGGTGCTATCTTGGCTCACTGCAACCTCTGCCTCCTGGGTTCAAACGATTATCCTGCCTCAGCCTCCCAAGTAGCTAAGATTACAGGCACTATCAATACAATTGCAATACAATTGCAATCAATTATAGTTATTATTTTTATCAATGCCCAAATTATCGCATATTTGGCCAGTGGGAACCCCTTTAAGCTGGCTCATCTTTTTTGAGATACACTCATTAGTCTGAGCATTTCCTTCCTTTCTGGGACAACACAGTGTCCCAGGCTCGCCTAGAATTTCCTCTGCCACAATGTGGAGCCAGCCATTTCTTCAAGGAGTTTATTTTCATTTTCATGGGGAATGGTAATTTGAAGTTAAGATCTGGATGCTTACTGCTTCTGGAGTGTCATTTTATCTCCACCCAATGGACAGAGCTGGGAAATACACTTTATTTTTTTGAGACATTATCTGGATCTGTCGCCCAGGCTGGAGTGCAGTGGTGAGATCTCAACTCACTGCAAGCTCCTCCTCCCTGGTTCAACCGATTCTCATGCCTCAGTCTCCCGAGCAGCTGGGATTTACAAGCATGCCCCACTATGCCAGGCTAATTTTTGTATTTTTAGCTCAGAGTTTCACCACATTGGCCAGGATGGTCTCAATTTCCTGGCCTCAAGCAATCTGCCCGCCTTGGCCTCCCAAAGTGCTGAGGTTACAGGCATGAGCCGCCGCACTGGGCCTGGAAAATACATTTTTAAAAATCATGAATTCAGGGCCGGGCATAGTGGCTCACACCTGTAATCCCAGCGCTTTGGCATGCGGATAGCTTGAGCCCACAAGTTGGAGACCGGCCTGGTTAACATGGGGAAACCCTGTTTTTTCTTTCTTTCTTTTTTTTTTTTTTGCTTTTAAGGAGCGGAGAGTTTAATAGGTAAGAAGGAAGGGAGAAGACAGAAGAAAGAAGCTCCCCCATACAGAGACACAGGGATGGGGGCTCCAAAGCTGAAAGAGGAGGTCCCCACCTGGCAGGGACACCAGCCAGGTATATATGCAGAGGCTGGAGGTGGTGTTTGATTTGCACAGGGCTCAAGGGATTGGTTTGACTAGGCATGACATTCACGTAGCCTGTAAAAAAGCTGACCCTCCCACCCTAGCCTTTTAATATGCAAATGTAGGGCGCCATGATGTTCTACACTCCTGGGGATATTTGGAGGTGGCCATGTTGCCAGGAACATGTGGGGAAAGGGCAGGAAGGCCACAGGAATCTCCATGTTTGGGTGGGCCCACTTTCTAATGGTCAGTATTTGCATATCAAAGGTTGGTGGGCTGCTGCTAAGAGCCAGGGATTTAAGAGAAACTTTTCCAGAGATGCTTTAAAAAACAAAAGCTTCCCTTGGCCAGGCACGGTGGCTCACGCCTGTAATCCCAGCACTTTGGGAAGCCGAGGCGGGAGGATCACGAGGTCAGGAGATAGAGACCATCCTGGCTAACACAGTGAAACCCCGTCTTTACTAAAAATACAAAAAAAAAAAAAAAAAATTAGCCGGGTGTGGTGGTGGGCACCCGTAGTCCCAGCTACTCAGGAGGCTGGGCCAGGAGAATGGGGTGAACCTGAGAGGCGGAGCTTGCAGTGAGCCGAGATTGCGCCACTGCACTCCAGCCTGGGCAACAGAGTGAGACTCTGTCTCAAAAAAAAAAGAAAAAAAGAAAACTTCCCAAGGACCTCTCTTCCTACAACATTCCCCGCTATGGAGATGCCACACTAACTGCTGTTAGAGGGTTTTGGGTTATGGTTCTTTCTGGCTACTTTCTGCTGAAAAGGGGAGTCACATGGGGGAACAGCAGCTAGGGCTCCTCCTGGGGTGGATCTAAGGGTCCTCAGAAGAATGGCATCTCCATGTGTGTTTCAGTTTACAGCACCGTTTGGAGTTTGATTGCTTCTAGGTGAGAAGAAACAATTTGAGTTATAGTATTGAGTATATAGGCTCCAAATATCAATACAAGACATATAAGCAAGAGAGTGCTTAAAAAAGGGGTTAACCAATTCCATAAAGAAGACTGGAATTTATTAAAAAGGGATTGTAGCCACTCAGAGCTGAAGCTGTCATTTTTCCTGAGCCTGTCAATAATTATGATTTGATTTTTTTTTTTTCTGAGATGGAGTTTTGCTGTTGTTGCCCAGGCTGGAGTGCAATGGTGTGATCTCGGCTCACTGCAATCTACGCCTCCCGAGTTCAAACAATTCTCCTGCCTCAGCCTCCTGAGTAGCTGGGATTACAGGTGCGTGCCACCATGCCCGGCTAATTTTTTGTACTTTTAGTAGAAACAGGAATTCACCATGTTGGCCAGGCTGGTCTCGAACTCCTGACCTCAGGTCATCTGCCTGCCTCAGCCTCCCAAAGTGCTGGGATTACAGGCATGAGCTGCCATGCCCAGCTGATTTGATTTTTAAGTACCTGTAGATTTTCCTCTACTTTACTAGCGGTGTTAATCCAAAAGCAGCATGTTTCATTTAAAACTGCATTACTAAACCCCAAAAAAGGCCTAGCAGACTCAGTGATGGTAAAACTTTCATGCTTCCTTTTTGTCAACTATTATCCCTGCTATAAAGATAATAATTAAGCAAAATACTACAGCAATGGAAACTCTCTGTCCAATATTTCAGTTTAAAGATGCTACCATGGGAGGTCTGTTCCAAGATGGCTGAATAGGAACAGCTCTGGTCTGCAGCTCCCAGTGTGATTGACGCAGAAGACGAGTGATTTCCCACTAAGGTACCTGGTTCATCTCTTTGGGACTGGTTGGACAGTGGGTGCAGCCTACAGAGGGAGAGCCGAAGCAGGGTGGGGCGTCACCTCACATGGGAAGCAGAAGGGGTCAGGGGATTTCCCTTTCCTAGCCAAGGGAAGTCATGATAGACTGTACCTGGAAAAACAGGACACTCCCGCCCAAATACTGGGCTCTTCCCATGGTCTTAGCAGCTGGCAGACCAGGAGATTCTCTCCCGTGCCTGGCTCAGTGGGTCCCACCCCCATGGAGCCTTGCTCACTGCTAGCGCAGCAGTCTGAGATCCACCTGCCAGGCTGGAGCCTGGTGCAGGGAGGGGCGTCCGCTATTGCTGAGGCTTGAGTAGGTAAACAAAGTGGCCTGGATGCTCGAACTGGGTGGAGCCCACCACAGCTCAGCAAGGCCTACTGCCTCTATAGAACTCCACCTCTGTGGGCTGGGCATAGCTGAAAAAAAGGCAGCAGAAAATTCTTCAGACTTAAACATCCCTGTCTGACAGCTCTGAAGAGAGCAGTGGTTCTCCCAGCACAGTGTTTGAGTTCTGAGAACAGACAGACTGCCTCCTTGAATGGGTCCATGACGCCCATGTAGCCTAACTGGGAGACACCTCCCAGTAGGGGTCGACAGACTACTCATACAGGTGGGTGACCCTCTGGGACGAAGCTTCCAGAGGAAGGATCAGGCAGCAATATTTGCTGTTCTGTAATATTTGCTGTTCTGCAGCCTCCACTGGTGATATCCAGGCAAACAGGGTCTGGAGTGGCCCTCCAGCAAACTCCAACAGACCTACAGCTGAGGGACCTAACTGTTAGAAGGAAAACTAACAAACAGAAAGGAATAACATCAACATCAACAAAAAGGACATCCACACCAAAAACCCCATCTGTAGATCACCAACATCAAAGACCAAAGGTAGATAAAACCACAAAGATGGGGAGAAACCAGAGCAGAAAAGCTGAAAATTCTAAAACCAGAGTGCCTCTTCTCCTCCACAGGATCGCAGCTCCTTGCTAGCAATAGAACAAAGCTGGATGGAGAATGACTTTGATGAGTTGACAGAAGTAGGCTTCAGAAGGTCGGTAATAACAAACATCTCTGAGCTAAAGGAGCATGTTCTAATCCATTGCAAGGAAGCTAAAAACCTTGAAAAAAGGTTAGACAAATGGCTAACTAGAATAAACAGTGTAAAGAAGATATTAAATGACCTGATGGAGCTGGAAACCATGGCACGAGAACTTCGTGATGCATGCACAAGCTTCAATAGCTGATTCGATCAAGTGGAAGAAAAGATATCAGCGACTGAAGATCAAATTAATGAAATAAAGTGAGCATACAAGATTAGAGGAAAAAAGTAAAAAGAAATGTACAAAGCCTCTGAGAAATATGGGACTATGTGAAAAGACCAAATCCACGTTTGATTGGTGTACCTGAAAGTGATGGGGAGAATGGAACCAAGTTGGAAAACGCTCTTCAGGATATTATCCAGGAGAACTTCCCCAACCTAGCAAAGCAGGCCAACATTCAAATTCAGGAAATACGGAGAACAGCACAAAGATACTCCTCGAGAAGAACAACCCCAAGACACGTAATTGTCAGATTCACCAAGGTTGAAATGAAGGAAAAAATGTTAAGGGCAGCCAGAGAGAAAGGTCAGGTTACCCACAAAGGGAAGCCCATCAGATTAACAGCACATCTCTCAGCAGAAACCCTACAAGCCAGAAAAGAGTGGGGGCCAATATTCAACATTCTTAAAGAAAAGAATTTTCAACCCAGAATTTCATATCCAGCCAAACTAAGCTTCATAAGTGAAGGAGAAATAAAATCCTTTACAGACAAGCAAATGCTGAGAGATTTTGTCACCACTAGGCCTGCTTTACAAGAGCTCCTGAAGGAAACATTAAACATGGAAAGGAACAACTGGTACCAGCCACTGCAAAAACATGCCAAATTGTAAAGACCATCGATGCTATGAAGAAACTGCATCAATTAACAGGCAAAATAACCAGCTAACATAATAATGACAGGATCAAATTCACACATAACAATATTAACTTTAAATGTAAATGGGTTAAATGCCCCAATTAAAAGACACAGACTGGCAAATTGGATAAAGAGTCAAGACCCATCAGTGTGCTGTATTCAGGAGACCCATCTCACATGCAGAGACACACATAGGCTTGAAATAACGGGATGGAGAAAGATCTGCCAAGCAAATGGAAAGCAAAAAAAAGAAAAAAAGGGGGGGTTGCAATCCTAGTCTTTGATAAAACAGACTTTAAACCAACAAAGATCAAAAGACACAAAGAAGGCCATTACATAATGGTAAAGGGATCAATTCAACAAGAAGAGCTAACTATCCTAAATATATATGCACCCAATACAGGAGCACCCAGATTCATAAAGCAAGTCCTTAGAGACCTACAAAGAGACTTAGACTCCCACACAATAATAATGGGAGACTTTAACACCCCACTGTCAACATTAGACAGATCAACGAGATAGAAAGTTCACAAGGATATCCAGGAATTGAACTCAGCTCTGCACCAAGCAGATCTAATAGATATCTACAGAACTCTCCACCCCAAATCAACAGAATATACATTCTTCTCAGCACCACATTGCACTTATTCTAAAATTGACCACGTAATTGGAAGTAAAGCACTCCTCAGCAACTGTAAAAGAACAGAAATCACAACAAACTGTCTCTCGGATCACACTGCAATCAAATGAGAACTCAGGATTAAGAAACCCACTCAAAACCACACAGCTACATGGAAACTGAACAACCTGCTCCTGAATGACTACTGGGGACATAATGAAATGAAGGCAGAAATAAAGATGTTCTTTGAAACCAATGAGAACAAAGACACAACATACCAGAATCTCTGGGACACATTTAAAACAGTTTGTAGAGGGAAATTTATAGCACTAAATGCCCACAAGAGAAAGCAGGAAACATCTAAACCTGACACCCTAATATAACAATTAAAAGAACTAGAGAAGCAACAGCAAACACATTCAAAAGCTAGCAGAAGGCAAGAAATAACTAAGAGCAGAGCAGTACTGAAGGAGATAGAGACACAAAAAAACCTTCAAAAAATCCATGAATCCAGGAGCTGGTTTGTTGAAAAGATCAACGGAATTGATAGACCACTAGCAAGACTAATAAAGAAGAAAAGAGAGAAGAATCAAATAGACGCAATAAAAAATGATAAAGGGGATATCACCACTGATCCCACAGAAATACAAACTGTCATCAGAGAATACTATAAACACCTCTATGCAAATAAACTAGAAAATCTAGAAGAAATGGATAAATTCCTGGACACACACACCCTCCCAAGACTAAACCAGGAAGAAGTTGAATTCCTGAATAGACCAATAACAGGCTCTGAAATTGAGGCAACAATTAATAGCCACCAACCAAAAAAAGTCCAGGACAAGATGGATTCACAGCCGAATTCTACCAGAGATACAAAGAGGAGCTGGTACCAGTCCTTCTGAAACTAGTCCAATCAATAGAAAAAGAGGGAATCCTCCCTAACTCATTTTGTGAGGCCAGCATCATCCTGATACCAAAGCCTGGCAGAGACACAACAAAAAAGAGAATTTTAGACCAATATCCCTGATGAACATCGATGCAAAAATCCTCAATAAAATACTGGCAAACTGAATCCAGCAGCACATCAAAAAGCTTATCCACCACAATCAAGTCGGCTTCATCCCTGGGATGCAAGGCTGGTTCAACATATGCAAATCAATAAACGTAATCCAGCATATAAACAGAACCGAAGACAAAAACCACATGATTATCTCAATAGGTGCAGAAAAGGCCTTCAACAAACTCAACAGCCCTTCATGCTAAAAACTTTCAATAAACAACTCTCAATAAAAACTTTAAATAAACAAGGTATTGATGGAACGTATCTCAAAATAATAAGAGTTATTTATGACAAACCTACAGTCAATATCATACTGAGTGGGCAGAAACTGGAATCATTCCCTTTGAAACCAGTACAAGACAAGGATACCCTCTCTCACCACTCCTATTCAACATAGTGTTGGAAGTTCTGGCCAGGGCAATCAGGCACAAGAAAGAAATAAAGGGTATTCAATTAGGAAAAGAGGAAGTCAAATTGTCCGTTTGCAGATGACATGATTGTATATTTAGAAAACCCCATCGTCTCAGCCCTAAATCTCCTGAAGCTGATAAGCAAATTCAGCAAAGTCTCAGGATACAAAATCAATGTGTAAAAATCACAGGCATTCTTATACAACAATAACAGACAAAGAGCCAAATCATGAGTGAACTCCCATTCACAATTGCTGCAAAGACAATAAAATACCCAGGAATCCAATTTACAAGGGATGTGAAGGACTTCTTCAAGGAGAACTACAAACCACTGCCAAACGAAATAAAAGAGGACACAAACAAATGAAAGAACATTCCATGCCCATGGATAGGAAGAATATTGTGAAAATGGCCATACTGCCCAAGGTAATTTATAGATTCAATGCCATCCCCATCAAGCTACCAATGACTTTCTTCACAGAATTGGAAAAAAGTACTTTAAAGTTCATATGGAACCAAAAAAGAGCCTGCATAGCCAAGACAATCCTAAGCAAAAAGAATAAAGCTGGAGGCATCACGCTACCTGACTTCAAACTACACTACAAGGCTACAGTAACCAGAACAGCATGGTACTGGTACCAAAACAGATGTATAGACCAATGGAACAGAACAGAGCCCTCAGAAATAACACCACACATCTACAACCATGTGATCTTTCACAATCCTGACAAAAACAAGAAATGGGCAAAGGATTCCCTATTTAATGAATGGTGCTGGGAAAACTGGTTAGCCATATGTAGAAAGCCTAAACTGGATCCCTTCCTTACGCCTTATACAAAAATTAATTCAAGATGGATTAAAGACTTAAATGTTAGACCTAAAACCATAAAAACCCTAGAAGAAAACCTAGGCAATAACATTCAGGACATAGGCATGGGCAAGGACTTCATGACTAAAACACCAAAAGCAATGGCAACAAAAGTCAAAATAGACAAATGGGATCTAATTAAACTAAAGAGCTTCTGCACGGCAAAAGAAACTACCATCAGAATGAACAGACAATCTACAGAATAGGAGAAAAATTTTGCAATCTCCCCATCTGACAAAGGGCTAATATCCAGAATCTACAAAGAACTTAAACAAATTTACAAGAAAAAACAACCTCATCAAAAAGTGGGCAAAGGATACGAACAAGACACTTTCAAAAGAAGACAGTTATGCAGCCAAAAGACACATGCAAAAATGCTCATCATCACTGGTCATCAAAGAAATGCAAATCAAAACCACAATGAGATACCATCTCACGCCAGTTAGAATGGTGATCATTAAAATGTGAGGAAACAACAGATGCTGGAGAGAATGTGGAGAAATAGGAATGCTTTTACACTGTTGGTGGGAGTGTAAATTAGTTCAACCATTGTGGAAGACAGTGTGACAATTCCTCAAGGGTCTAGAACTAGAAATACCATTTGACCCAGACATCCCATTACTGCATATATACCCAAAGGATTATAAATCATGCTACTATAAAGACACATGCACACATATGTTTATTGTGGCACTATTCACAATAGCAAAGACTTGGAACCAACCCAAATGTCCATCAATGATAGACTGGATTAAGAAAATGTGGCACATACACACCATGGAATACTATGCAGCCATAAAAAAAGATGAGTTCACGTCCTTTGCAGGGACATGGATGAAGCTGGAAACCATCATTCTCAGCAAACTATCACAAGGACAGAAAAGCAAACACCGCATGTTCTCACTCATAGGTGGGAACTGAACAATGAGAACACTTGGACACAGGGTGGGGAACATCACACACTGGAGCCTGTTGGGGGATAGTGGCCTGGGGGAGGGATAGCATTAGGAGAAATACCTAATGTAAATGATGAGTTGATGGGTGCAGCAAACCAACATGGCACATGTATACCTATGTAAGAAACCTGCACCTTATGCACATGTACCCTAGAACTTTAAGTATAATAATTTTTAAAAAAATCTATCAGAAGGATCAGTTAAAATTTAAAAAAATAAAACAAAAAAAAGAAGGTGCTACCATGTATAACCCTAATGCAAATAGTAGAGTGAGGACAGCAGTTCCCACAAGTGTGGTGTGGCAGGTAATTTCCATCTAAAATTTTACTTGCCAAGATATAGAATTCCCCTTTGGGGGTCTATGAAGTTCCTTGGTTTTATTTTCGCAAACAAAGAAACCTCCAGGTTATGGGCACCTTACTCACTTTCATTACCTGGCAGAATTTGCAAGATAATTGCCCAGAACTAGCATATTGATTCACATTTTTATGTTACCCATCCCTTTTTTTTTTCCCCAAGCTGCAGAAGATCACCACTTGATTCACAGGAGTAAGCAGGGCTAAATTGTAGGCAAAAAGCTTAAAAACAATAATGAGACTAGGATTTAATGACAAATGTATGATAAGCTTTGGAGCAAAGTTTTTCTCTCCAGTCCTCATTTTGGTAAAAACTAATTATGAATAAACTTTAGTCTTATACTTGGCCTGATTATTTGCCTAAAGTGCAGCAAGAATGGTTATTTTGACATAGGCCTTTTGGATTGGCTTTGATAAAACTCTGTTCCTCAAGGAATTTTAGGTAAGACTTTTGTTTGTTTGTTTTTTGAGATGGAGTCTTGCTCTGTCACCCAGGCTGGAATGCCATGGTGCAATCTCGGCTCACTATAACCTCCGCCTCCCGGGTTCAAGTGATTCTTCTGCCTCAGCCTCCCTGGTAGCTGGGGCTACAGTCGCCTGCCACCATGCCCAGCTACTTTTTGTATTTTTAGTAGAGATGGGGTTTCACCATATTGGCCAGGCTGGTCTTGAACTCCTGACCTCAAGTGATCCACCCACCTCAGCCTCCCAAAGTGCTGGAATTACAGGCATGAGCCACTGTGCCTGGCCTTCAGATAAGACTTTTAAAGCTGAGCCCAGCCATGGGTTTTTATCCTCTAATACCTGTGAGTTGGGTGATCCTCCCCTCTTGAGGTCCCAAGATAAACTCAGAGCTTCCAGACCTGTTAGAAAGTGACATTCTTTACTGACCACAGGTTAGGAACCCTGTGTGGGGACTGTGCAGACAAGGTATGAGGCCATTTCTCCCCAAGGGGCTTTTATTGGCTTTGCATGTCAAGCTTGATTCCTTAAAGGGAAACACACCCTTTCAGTCAAATCCCTGGTAAAATAACCAGTTTTTCCAACTGTGTCCTGTTTACAAAGAAAAATGGATTCTGATTGCACTGAGATGAACAACTATATTCCCATAAGTTAAGAGTACTCACAGATAATTTCCAAATTCTAGAGGAACCAGGCAGAGAAAAATAAACATGCTCCAAGTTTTCTTCACAGTATAACTTACTCAATTATTAAAGTCCATAAATAGTTTAAAATAACTTTCCTTGACTCTGAAAATCAAAACAAAGATCGACAATATTCCAAGCAAAGGTTAAAAAGGTTGCTTTAACTTTCTGAGTGTAGTCCACTTAGTAAACTTTTATTTTGCTTGACATTTGTCAATATGTCAGTTCTTTCTGAGTCCCTACATTCTTTATTTCAATGTTACAATCTTTAAAGCTATTAAAAACCTGCATTTGAGAACACCTGTTAAATTCCTTCACATAGCTTGATTATAAACCATCTTTTGAGAAGGAACAAAGCAAGACAACAATTGTCTGTGAATGAAAAATTTCCAGGATAGTTAAAAATATGACTGACGAAGTTTACTTATCTTCATGGTTTACAATAACTTTACCCTTAATTGATTGAGGGTAATATGATTGATAGCTATACTTAGACATTAGAATTTTAGAAATCCCATACAATTTTGGAACATATATTAGTATTATTCATCAAAATATAACTTAAAGAAGATTGGACATCATTTTGGCAATCTCTTATGACTAAACATGTCAAATGATCCTATTTATCTCTTTTCTGAATGTTTTGGGGCCCTCTGAACCAACCAAAAAGTCAGGTATCCGGAGGGACAATTTCCAGATTGCCATAAATTATTTTGCCAAAATGATGACTCAAAAGGCAAAAACCTTTCATTAGCCTTTACTATGACATGAAAATTTTGTTCAAAGCAAAATTTTACCCTTGCATTAATTTATTAATGTTAACCCCAATTCATTTACATGAAACCTTATAGATTATTCCATTTAATCCTAACCAATTTGACCATGAGGTGAAAACTTTACAAACCTTTTATAACCCTTTTACTAAAGGGCAGATTAGCATCTTAAGACCTCCTTGCTATGCTGTTATTTTAATGCTTAATTTATGTAAAGACCATATAGATGCTATGGGAGAAGACAGTGTAGTACTTCTACTATGCATTTCACTGCAAAGCAACCCAAAGCCAATTGGCTTATTTTATATTCAGCCCATCCCTGATAGGAGTCTCATCTCCCAGTGTGGGATGTGGATGGGGAAACCCTGTTTCTACAAAAAAAAATACAAATATTAGGTGGGCATGGTGGCACGCACCTGTAGTCCCAGCTACTAGGAAGGGAGGTGGGAGGTTCACCTGAACCCAAGAGGTCTAGGCTGCAGTGAGCTGAGATCATGCCATTGTACTCCAGCCTAGGTGACAGTGAGACTCTGTCTCGAAAACATACACATAAAAAAAATAAAAATCATGAATTCATATTGATAAGTAATTTTGAAAAATTCACCTAATGAAAGTAGGGCTCCTAGAGGAGGCAAGATTTGGTTGTCTCCTGGTCAGCTTGGAGAGAGGAGTTTGTGGAAGTAAAAGGTGAGGAATGATAACCTACAGAAAACTGACTTCACAGCAACAGAAACAAAGAAAAGATGCAGGATGTCATAATTTATGTCTTGGTCCTGCCACATATGTGACCTTATGTAAATTATTTTTTTCTCTTTGAGTCTCAGATTTCCCCTTTGTAAAGGTGAAATCCCAGTTCCTCTTTTGCATCCCTCTGATGTTACTCTGAGCATCAAAGGAGTGATGACTACCATTTGTGGTACTATTATGAGGATATACACACATACTGATATAGATCCCTGTATGGATACACAAAAAACTGGTAACAGTAACTGCCTAAAGTATGTTGTTAGGAGTCAGTGAGAGACTTTTTGCTACATATAAAAGGATTTATATTGTTTGAATATTTTTCTTTTTCTTTAGAGACAGATTCTTGCTCTGTCACCAAGGCTGGAGTGCAGTGGCTAATGATGGGTCACTGCAGTCTCGAACTCCTGGCCTCAAGTATCTTCCCACCTCATCCTCCCATAGCTAGGACTACGGGCATGGGCTACTAAGCCTGGATAATTTTTTTTCTTTTTTGTAGGAACAGGGGTCTTGCTACGTTGCCAAGGCTGGTATGAATCTCCTGAACTCAAGCAATCCTCCTGCCTCTGCCTCCCAAAGTGCTGGGATTACAGGCGTCAGCCACCGTGCCTGGCCTGAATATCTTTCTTGAGGATGGAAAAAAAAAAAAAGTAAGTAAGTAGGTAATGAATTTGAAAGAGCTTTGTAAATCACAAAGTATGACACAAATATTAGGATTTTATTTTTACTATTATCCACCAGCAACAAGATATCAAACACTGGTTCTGTGATTATTTAATGGTGAAAAAGTTGAATAAATCAATTTAGTATACCCATATGTTGGAATATTGAGTCCATTTTTCTTTTAAAAATCACACTTTGGAATAATTGATGATACTGGCAAATGCTCAAGCTGAGTGGAAAAATATATAAACATTGTATAGGCGAATAATTCCAATCTTGTGCATTCCCTGTGTAAACCTACATACACAAAAAGAAAAAAGACTGAAAGGAACCATCCACAATGCTTTGATGGGAAAGACGGAGAAACAAAGTGTTAATTTTCTTAACTATAGTTTTGGTGTATTCCAGATTTTCTACAAGTTAATAAATGCCACTAAGAAAAGGGGAAACATCACAGCTACACCTTCAAACACCAGAAAAAGAATTTTTTTTTTTTTTTTTTTTTTTAGGTTGGGGTATGATTTTGATCTGGGCACTAACGGGGACACTGATTGCTTTTGCCAGTAAGTCAAGACCAGCAGATAAAAAATAATTTTTAAAAACCTCGTGAGACTGATTTGCCGCAGGACGGGAGGAGGAAGAAGCAAGCGTGGAAGGTGCTAACGGAGGAACCTAAACCTCCATCCTCTTTGCCTGGGAGGTTAAGAACTACAGGGAGAGGCGAGAGAGACTATGACTGCCCTACGGCTAGAGTAGCCGCGAAGAGAACACTTCCGGGGCGGGGCTATCTGGCCCTTTCCTTTCCGCGTGTAGAATGTGGGGCGCCTGTAAAGTTAAGGTTCACGATTCCTTGGCCACCATTTCCATCACTCTGAGACGGTACCTGAGATTGGGGGCGACCATGGCAAAAAGCAAGTTCGAGTACGTGAGGGACTTCGAGGCTGACGACACCTGCCTGGCACACTGCTGGGTGGTAGTGCGGCTGGACGGCCGGAATTTCCATCGGTGAGCGAGCTCGACTCGGGGCGTCGCGATGCGCCAGCGCTTCCGGGGAATCCAGCTTCTTCCCTTGCAAGTCCTCCCGCCCGCTCCAGTCACGGTTACCAGGGTAACGCGGTAGCCAATGAGTGCGCAGCATGGAGCATTGCCCCGCCCTGCGTGTTGGCTAGGACAGTGCCTGAACGCTGGCTGTTAGCGTAATTGAATGGGCGATGTGCTCCCGTGATGAGGATCTGGCTTGGAGTGCCCGTGTTAAGTGAACAGAGACTTGTTAGCAAGGACCTGTTGTTAAAAGTCACTCTCATGCACAATATTTAAGCTCTTAAGCCAATTGCCTAGCTATTCTGTTAGATATCTTTGAATGCTGACTGTTCAGAAGTCTGTGTAAGCCTTGCTTGTGGGCAATACTTAACGTCTGTGCTTCATTATCAGTAACAGGCCACATGGACTAGATTCAACAGAGAGTCAGAAAAAAAGAGAAGGCTGGGCGCGGGAGGCAGGAGGATCACTTAAGGCCAGGAGTTGGAGACCAAGTTTTTGTTTTTGTTTTGTTTTTTCTGTGGTTGTTGTTTGTGAAACTCCGCCACTACAAAAAAAAAAAAAAAAAAAAAAAAAAAAAGAGAGAGAGAGAGAGAAAGAAGGAAGAGAGAAAGAAAGAAAAAGAAAAAATTTAATTTGCCCGGCGCAGTGGTGCACACATGTAGTTCCAGCTACTGGGAAGGCTGAGGTGGAAGGATCGCTTGAGCCTGGGAGGTCAAGGCTGCAGTGAGCGGTGATTGGACACTGCACTCCAGCTTGGGTGACAGAGCAAGACCCTGTCTCAGAAAAAGAGGGAGGGGGAGAAAGAAATATAACAGAAAGATGGGAATTTAATCTTTGAAGAGGGCTGCATTGTTAATGATTATTATAACTAACATTTATTGAGCACTTACTAGGAGCTAGGTATGATTACTTTTATCTTCTCCCTAATCTTCAGGACAACCCAATGAGGTAAATATTCTTTTATTCCCATTTCACAGAAAGGAGAGTTGAGGCTTAGCATTTCTGTCTGGCTTTCTCAATTTCAGGGCAGGAAAAAAACTAAGTTCTTAAGAAAATGGATCAGGTTGTGGCTAGTTGAGCATTTGAGTTCACAGTGCTATTACATTATCTTCCTCCAAACAGCCTCTGTTATCTAGCAACAGAGCGTGTTGTTAATGACAGGCTTCCATCCATGCTTTCTTCCCTTTTTCCCCTGTGAAGGTTTGCTGAGAAGCACAACTTTGCAAAACCCAATGACAGCCGTGCTCTCCAGCTGATGACCAAATGTGCGCAGACTGTGATGGAAGAACTAGAGGATATTGTGATCGCGTATGGACAGAGTGATGAGTACAGCTTTGTGTTCAAGCGGAAAACCAATTGGTTTAAAAGAAGAGCCAGGTAATTCCATGACCTAACTCCTTTCTTCAGAATATTTCCTCCCAGCATCTGGTTTTCTGTTTATCTTAATCGCAGACTTACAGGCTACAGATGATGTCTGCAGTATTTGTAACTGCAGAGTACATGTATATTTCCTGTTTAGATTGTTGTACTTCCATCTGATAGCCGAGCATTCTGTGTGCCTCTTTTATCTGATTCTTTCCCCACATGCCCCATAAGATTGGTTTCTAGACTGACCTGGCATTGAACATTAAGATTAGAAACAGAGACTATAAGAATGTAATATTAACAATTCATAGGTTGGCTTTAGCCAGTGATAGTCTCTACGTGCATTGCATTACACTGTTCCTCAAGACAGATCTCATTATAAAATACACAAATCTGATATTTGATTTGGCAGTATTTTGAAACGCTGTATGGGAAACAAATCATATAATGAATTGGTTTTTTCTTTCTTTCTTTTTTTAATAGAGGTGGGGTCTCTCTGTGTTGCCCAGGCTGGTCTCAAACTCCTGGCCTCAAGCAGTTCTCCTGTCTTGGCCTCTCGAAGTGCTAGGATTACAGACATGAGCCACCACGCCCAGCCTGAATTGGCATTTTTTTTACAACAATGGTTTCTCTCCTTTCATGACTGTAAACACAAACAGATCAGGCGTGGTGGCTCACGCCTGTAATCCCAACACTTTGAGAGGGTAAGGGAGAGGATTACTTGAGCCCAGAGGTTTGAGACCAGCCTGGGCAAGATGGTGAGACCTCATCTCTACAAAAAATTTAAAAATTAGCCGGGCTCAGTGGCATGTGCCTATAGTCACAGCTACTAAGGAGGTTGAGGCAGGAGGATCCATTGAGCCAAGGAATTTGAGGCAGCAGTGAGCTATGATTGTGCCAATCCACCCCAGCCTGAGGGACAGAGAGATTCCATCTTTTAAAAAATAAAATAAAATTTAAAAATACCCCTTGAATCATAAATTCGTATCACATCCTGTAGGGAAAGGTTTAGTATCAGTAGGTTACTTAATAGAACTGGAAGGAGAGGCAGGCTGCATTTAAAATACATAACTGGCCAGGTGTGATGACTCACGCCTGTAATCCCAGCACTTTGGGAGGCTGAGGCAGGCAGATGACTTGAGGTCAGAAGTTTGAGACTAGCCTGGCCAACATGGTGAAACCCCATCTCTACTGAAAATACAAAAATTAGCTGGGCGTAGTGGCCTGCACCTGTAATCCCAGCTACTCGGGAGTCTGAGGCAGGAGAATCACTTGAACCCAGGAGGCAGAAGTTGCAGTGAGCCAAGATGGTGCCATTGCACTCCAGCCCAGGCAACAGAGCAAGACTCTGTCCTAAAAAAAGAAAAAAAAATACAGAACCAAGGTATTAAAATAGTGTTTCTTAGCCAAATGCATTTTATCTCCTGGCTTTCTGGGCAGTTTGTGTACTCTCTGTGGTACCCACAGGTCTTATCATGGTGTTGAACTAATTCCGTGTATTTTTCTTTTTCTTACTCCACCCAATGTGCGTTACATTTTCAAGTAAGTTCATGACTCACGTGGCCTCCCAGTTTGCCTCCAGCTATGTGTTTTATTGGCGGGATTACTTTGAGGACCAGCCCCTTCTGTATCCCCCAGGCTTTGACGGAAGAGTCGTGGTGTATCCCAGCAACCAGACTTTAAAGGACTACCTCAGCTGGCGACAAGCAGATTGTGAGTGGCACCAAATAAACACATGTAGTTAAACCACCAATTCCATGTCTTACAGGTGTTGATCTGATACAGGATTGGCTCACATATACTTTGTTTCAACATATACGTTGTACAGAATGCAGTATTTAAATATTTTTTCAATTAGTTAAAAGTATTTGAAAAATTAAATTTTACGTAAAAACTCCTTATCTCTATTTTTTTTTTTTTTTAAGACAGAGTTTCGCTCTTGTTGCCCAGGCTGGAATGCAGTGGTGTCATCTTGGCTCACTGCAACCTCCACCTCCTGGGTTCATGGGATTCTTCTGCCTCAGCCTCCCGAGTAGCTGGGATTACAGGCATGTGCCACCACGCCCGGCTGATTCTGTATTTTTTAGTAGAAATGGGGTTTCTCCATGTTGGTCAGGCTGGTCTTGAACTCCTGACCTCAGGTGATCCACCCGCCTTGGCCTCCCAAAGTGCTGGGATTATAGGCGTGAGCCACCACGCCCAGCCGCCTTATCTCTATTTTTTAAAAAAATCAGATGTGGCAATACTGGATCTGCATTCTTACTTAGTACTAGACAAAGCCTGTTCAGTGGCAGCTACCTTTACACACACACACACACACAAATGCCAGTGTGCCATAGTCTCTGCCATTCCCTGTTGTTCCTCTGGGGTCACCCACTGCTTTACACATTTATGTTCATGCTGGCCTCAGTGGGTATTTGAATTGTGACCCTTGCCTTATGTGACTGTGATGATGTTTGTGAGGCTTTTACTTGCTTGTTCTAGTTTGAATTTTCCAGAAGAACTGGAAAAGAGATTGAAATAATATAAATCAAATAACTTCTAAAGTATTCCTAGGATTAACACACAAGTTAACAGATTTGTATAATGTGTAACTGAAATGACCAAATAAAACTGTTGTTAGGGATGAAGTTTTTTCCCTACTGCTCCTTCCCTCCATGTTCCGTGTGTAGGACTTCGGTCAAGTCACTGAATGTCTCTGAGATCTCTTTACTATGAAAGAGGAGAGGGTCAGGGCTCTAGTATTCCTTGAAGAATGAATATTCAATAAAGATTTTATGTATATAAACATTACTATTTTGTTCTCCTCACAGGTCACATCAATAATCTTTATAATACAGTTTTCTGGGCACTTATACAACAATCTGGACTAACACCAGTACAAGCCCAAGGGAGATTACAGGTATAAAGATCTTACTACATTAATACTTAACTGGGGACAGTTCGCTGTAGGCTCTCCCATAACTTTTTTTTTGTTAAATTTACATTTCTTTCTTTTAAGATCCCTGTACAGCTTTGTTTTGAAAGGATATAAAAATCATAATAGGAGCAGCTCTGCTGCCTGCTTGGTCTGTAATCCTGGATGAATTACTGCTTCTCCCTGAGCCTTTGTGTTCTTAGTGGAAAATGGAATTGACGGCACTGGCTCTGCATTCCCACGTGCTAACACTTGCCTGAAGCCGTGTATGACTGTGTATGACTGCCGTCTTCAGCACTGACTTTTTTTTTTTTTTTTGAGACACAGTTTCACTCTGTTGCCCAGGCTGCAGTACAGTGGTGTGATCTCAGCTGATTGCAACCTCCACCTCCTGTGCTCAAGCGATTCTCGTGCCTCAGCCTCCCAAGTAGCTGGGATTACAGGTGCATGCCACCACACCCAGCTAATTTTTGTATTTTTAGTAGAGACAGGGTTTCACCCCGTTGGCCAGGCTGGTCTTGAACTCCTGACCTGAAGTGATCTGCCTGCCTGGGCCTCCCAGAGTGCTGGGATTACAGGCGTGAGCCAGTGAGCCACCACACCTGGCCAGCACTGAATTTTTGTCAGTCCCACCACGCCTCTTCCCTCATTGCCATTTTCCCTGCTGGGCACCTGTAGTTTCTTGGGTTTATGACCTCTGTGTATAGGAAGAGTTCGTGCTGAGTTTGTTACTTTCATAAATGTCATAATAACTACTCACATCATGCTTCTGTGTAATTTTATCCTTTCTGCCTCAGTTCTTTATAGGTAAAATGTAGAAAATAGTAGTTTCTACCTCATAGGTTTATGGTGAGAATTAAATGGCATGATGCACGTAAAACACAGAATCGTATGAAGCACATTGTAAGTGCTTAATAAATACTGGTTTTTGTTATAACAGTGCTACTTGTAGGATGACTAACTGTGAAGTGAGGTAATGTGTTGTAACAGATCTTTTATTTGTATTTTATTTTATCTATTTATTTATTTTTTGAGATGGGTTCTTGCTATTTTCCCCAGGCTGGTCTTGAACTCCTGGGCTCCAGCAGTCCGCCCACCTCAGCCTCCCAAGTAGCTGGGATTACAGGTGCATGCCACTGTGCCCAGCTGTAACAGTTACTAATACAATGCCTGGTACATTATGTTTGCTCAATAAATGGTTGTCATTTTTAATAATAGTAATGATAGAGATTTTTATATAGCAATAATAGGAAAACTGGGGCCTGGTGTGGTGGTTCACGCATGTAATCCCAGCACTCTGAGGAGGCCAAGGTAGGTGGATCACCTGACGTCAGGAGTTCAAGACCAGCCTGGCCAACATGGTGAGACCGCTTCTCTACAAAAATTAGCTGGGTGTGCTGGCACACACCTGTAATCCCAGCGACTCAGGAGGCTGAGGCATGAGAATCGCTTGAACCTGGGAGGTGGCAGTTGCAGTGAGCTGAGATTGCACCACTGCACTCCAACCTGGGCAACAGAGTGAGACTTTGTCTAAAAAAAAAAAAGGCATACTGGTAGGTATATCCAGGTTTGGAAGAGTCAAGTTCAGATTTCAATTCTTCGTAGAAGAATAAGGACAACCTTTTAACCTTGGGGAATTTATATAACCTTTCTAAGTTTTACTGGACCAAATACATAATATGTATTCAGTTAGTATTAATTCTCCCCACTCCCTTTCAGTCTTGACTTGTGAAGCCAGTGTTTGGTATAGGAGAGAATTTTATCTAAGTAAGATCATAATTGCCCTTAAGATGAAAATTTACTAATAACTATAAGATGTTTGATAAAATCCTTCCACTTCTTGATTGTGGAAATTTAGGTTGTGGGTCGAATGGATAGTAGCACTAGGGGAGAAAGAAGACATGCAGAGCTTTTAATATCTATTTTTATTTTCTCAGGGAACTCTTGCAGCAGACAAGAATGAGATTTTGTTTTCTGAATTCAACATCAACTATAATAATGAGCTGCCGATGTATAGGAAAGGGACTGTGTTGATATGGCAGAAGGTAATGCTGTTATGTTCAAAGAAAAATGGAAGTCAGGAAAAAAGATAGCCTGTGCCCATTCCAAGCTGTGCCCTCCCTGCTGCCTGTATGCTGATGTTACTCCAGTTGCTAATGCAAACCTTTCCAAGAGGAGAGGCCATAGATTCTTATTTTTAATGTGCATTTTGTCAGTAGTGGTCCGAAATCTCCCATACATAAGCAGAATTACAGAATTTTAGAATTAGTGCCTTTATTTTTCTGTGTTGTAAGCTGTCCCTGTATCCGATAAAATCCTTTAAAAAGGATACAGTACAGATATGAGGATTTGTGCATTAATAAAATACTTAAAAAATACTTTCACACTGGATAATACCATTAAATGGTCTCTCCATCCCATGACAACTGTAATATGAGGCACTAAGAGACAATGTATATGAGGGTTTGTTATTTTCGTAAATGTCATGAGATTCCCTTGACATTCATACTTAGCTTAATATTCTGTAATAAGTCTGTACATTTACCTATATCCTTAATTTTACCAATATTTTCTCTCTGTACCAGCTGTTAGGCATAATGATTTCTCTAAATTTATTTCCTTCCATGTAAAGTTTTTTTGTTTTTTTTTTTTCTGAAATGAATGTTTTCAAGTACCAAGGAGTACCTTGAGAGCTAGTCATTCCACTGGCAACTCCAGCTCTTTGAGTTGTTCAAAACATTTATTCTTTGGTACAGACTTGGATACTTCTTAATGCAGGTGGAAGGTAAGAAATACCTTTAATTCTATAGTTATTGCTAATGAGGAACATGGAATCCTTTCTTTGTTCCTAAGATTGCTTCAGAATAGTATAACCTTTTTTTTTTTTTTTTTTAAGACAGAGTCTTGCTCTGTTGCTCAGGCCGGAGTACAGTGGTGCCATCTCGGCTCACTGCAACCTCCCCGTCCTGGGTTCAAGGGATTTCCAGCTAATTTTTGTATTTTTGGTAGAAGCAAAGTTTCACCATGTTGGCCAGGCTGGTCTCGAACTCCTGACCTCAAGTGATCTGCATGTCTCAGCCTCCCAAAGTGCTGAGATTACAGGCGTGAGCCACCGCGCTCGGATAACATAACCTTTTTAAAACTATTTTTAATTATAAAGAACTTCATGCATACTGAGATTTTATATATATATGTATATATACACACATACATATATGCGCATATATATACACATATTTATATCTATATATATCTCAAATCTGGCAGTCGGAAGTATATGAAGATAAAAAGTGAGCTATCCCCACATCTTTCCTTTCTCTCCCAAACCCACTCCTGACTTAACAATGTCACTACTTTATTTTTACCTGTAGGTGGATGAAGTGATGACAAAAGAAATTAAGCTGCCAACAGAAATGGAAGGAAAAAAGATGGCAGTGACCCGGACCAGGACAAAGCCAGTGCCCTTGCACTGCGATATCATCGGGGATGCTTTCTGGAAGGAACATCCAGAGATTCTAGATGAAGACAGCTGACCCTTTTGCGCTTCAGTTCTGGTGTGCTTAACCATGCAAGCCCTCCCACCTCCCAGGGCTCCTTGCCTTAGGTGGCTGTAGCATCCCTACCACCCAGGACACTGGTGCGAATGACACAACTCAAGTTGGGAGGGGAACAGGGAAGGAAGGGATGGATGGGGGTGGTGTATCTTACTCTGTTTAAGCAGAACACCTTGTTTGCGGTGTTGGAACATGGTTCCTTTGGCAGAAGTGCTTTTTTTTTAATCGCAGTACTATTTTTATAAAGCAAGAACTATTCCATGCCTTGGAGAATGAATCATTTTTAGATTGTGACATAAATCTTGTAAAAACCTGTCAGTTATTTTCATCTATGAGAGAAGAGGAGCCCAAACTCTCGCCCACCTGTTCTTAACCAGAAAACCCACTGACTTTGAAAATCTCACCTCTGCCACCCATCTACTTGCATTCGTCTTTGGCAGACCTCAAGATAAATATGGGTTAATGCCTGCATGATGCCTCTGAATTCAGGAATTGCAGGGAAAACTCGGGGCTTTGTGCCAGTCTCTAAGTTGGCAACTTTGGCTGAACAAATGAGTAGTGGCTTCAGTGTCCTTGCGTACACATTCTGTGGATTGATTTAATGGAGTTGTCAGCATGATCATCATCTTCTAGCCAGGGGCATAGTTGCCAAGGCCATTTACCTCTTTCTAAGAAGAAACAGAATTATGTGTATATATGAGAGAAAGAAACAAGAATGCGTGAATGAGGATGAAGAAACATTTACCCCATGTACTCAAGACATTTCAGTTTTAAAAGTCACTTTCCTATTAGACTTCTTGAAAAACATTCTCACATAGCCTCTATGTAATCAGACAAATGACATTTGATTTCAAGAGCAGAGGGGTAAACATCCTCTGCTAATCGACAGGTAGCAGGTGTCAGAGGAGGCATAATATTAATAGCGCCACCTTCTGTTGGGTCAGTGGAGATGGGTGAGGAACAGCACAGAGCAGCAGGGATCATCACATGCAGCCAAACTTGGCCTCTGAAGGGGGAAGGTAGTGGGAATAGGTGGTGAGAGAACTCACATTTTTCTCTTGTCCTGGTTTTATATTTCGGAGGGAAAGGATTATTTGGCCCCATTAAGAATTAAGAGGCTGGGTGCGGTGGCTCACGTCTGTAATCCCAGCACCTTGGGAGGCCCAGGCAGGCAGATCACCTGAGGTCGGGAGTTCGAGACCAGCGTGACCAACGTGGAGAAACCCCCGTCTCTACTAAAAATACAAAAAATTAGCTGGGCATGGTGGTGCATGCCTGTGATTCCAGCTACTTGGGAGGTTGAGGCAGGAGAATCATTTGAACTCAGGAGGCGGAAGTTGCGGTGAGCCAAGATTGTGCCATTGCACTCCAGCCTGGGCAACGAGCGAAACTACATCTCAAAAAAAAAAAAAAAAGACATGGCTGGGCATGGTGGCTCACACCTGTAATCCCAGCACTTTGGGGGGCTGAGGCAGGTAGATCACTTCAGGCCAGGAGTCCAAGACCAGCACGTCCAACATGGCAAAACCCAGTCTGTACTAAAAATAGAAAAATTAGCTGGGCGTGGTGGCGTGTGCCTGCAATACCAGCTACTCAGAAGGCTGAAGCAGGATAATTGCTTGAACCTGGTAGGTGGAGGTTGCAGTGAGCTGAAATCATGCCACTGCACTCCAGCCTGGGTGACAGAGCAAAACTGCCTTAAAAAAAAAAATTAAGAGACAGCCCGTGTCCCAGTCCCTCGTCTTGCACTGCAGAATTTACATCTAAGAAGAAAATGTATTTTTGAAAGGGTGATGGCTGGCCTCATCCCTCACTAATTGACAACCCATCTGTCGATGCCATTTTTTCCCTTCCTGTTCTCACTCCACAGAAAGAGGAGATACGGTTCTTGTTTGGTAATTGCTAAAATCTCTTTGAGGAAAGAAATAAAGATGTCAACTCCTTTGGCCTGCTTTTTCATTTATTTTTCTTAGACAAATAGACTATATGAAATCTAACTTTTGTGTATATCTCTGGGTAGCCTAGGATACACATGCCCTCATCATAGCAGTGGTTCACAAACTTCTGGATGCAAAAAAAAAAATTACTTGGAATGCTTGTTTAAAATGCACATTTTTGGCTCCTCCCAGCCCCCAGAAAGGTTTGAAGCTCAACAATCTTTTTTTTTTTTTTTTTTTTTTTTGAGATGGAGTCTCGCTCTGTCAGCTCACTGCAACCTCTGCCTCTCAGGTTCAAGTGATTCTCCTGCCTTAGCCTCCTGAGTAGCTGGGACTACAGACACGCACCACCATGCCTGGCTTAATTTTTGTATTTTTAGTAGAGACGGGGGTTTTCACTACATTGGCCAGGCTGGTCTCGAACTGCTGACCTCGTGATCCGCCCGCTTCAGCCTCCCAAAGTGCTGGGATTACAGGTGTGAGCCATCACGCCCAGCCAGCAATCTGATTTTTAGCCCCAAAGGCTTCTGATATGTGTGGTTGTCAATATACAGCAGCTTCGGCAGCAAGGCCCTCGGTATACTGTGATAGGCTGGGTGGGAAGGAAGTAAGATAATGTAGCTGTTGATTGGCAATTTTAACTTAATGGTAAGTTGACAGCATTTTATATCAAAATACAAGTAGGCATTAGAGTACAAATTTTCAAGAAAACCACCCAGAGAAACGTGCTTTCTGTGGGTCTTAAATGACACTATAAAGGCTATCACTCAGTTTTGCCATATGATGTGGGGATGAGCGCTCATTTGTTGAATTGCCAGCAATTCTGCAGCTTTGAGTTTTTTATTCAGGCAGGGGGTTTTGAACAAAGTGATAAGCTGGGTTCAAAACCTGTGCCATAAAGAAACCTGTACTGCTACCAATTAGAAGCCACTGTTTGATGGTTTTTGTTTTTTTTTTTTTTTTGAGATGGAGTCTCCCTCTGTCACCCCAGCTGGAGTGCAGTGGCGCGATCTCAGCTCACTGCAACCTCCGCCCCTCCAGGTTTAAGCAATTCTCTGCCTCAGCCTCCAGCGTAGCTGGGATTACAGGCGCGTGCCACCACGCCCGGCTAATTTTTTGTATTTTTAGTAGAGACGGGGTTTCACCATCTTGGCCAGGCTGGTCTTGAACTCCTGACCTCGTGATCCACCCGCCTCGGCCTCCCAAAGTGCTGGGATTACAGGCGTGAGCCACCGCGCCCGGCCTGCTTGATGGTTTTGTCTTCGCTGTAGTATGCATTCATCCCAAGGTATATTTCAGAGTTGTATATTAATTTTCATCTTGCTCTCTAAGGTACTCTCCAGTATTCTCTTGGACTTCCTAAGTCTTAAGGAAACTGAAATGTACACAAAGCAACTAGTACAGAGAATACTAGTTGATGGCAGTTTGAGAATGTGGTGACGGGCAAGTGATGTGTGGCCTGTAGGTGAGTGGAAACATTTTGGCTCTGCTGGATGAGAAGGTTATATCTGGGCCTTCCGCGAAGAGTAGACTGTCATTTTAAAATCAACCAAAAAATATTTTGCCGAACTGAGACTATAAAGTAGCAAGTGGTATGATCAGGTCTTGGGAATTTTCCATAGTTTCCTCCAAGAGCTGGATCTTCGTTTCTTCCAATTGGTTAGCAATGCTTAGAAAGACAGTGATATAATGAATTTTCTTTGATACTAAGCACAAATTTGTTTATGCACAGGGTATAGGAAATGGAGGACAGACACCCAGTATTGGCTGACATGCATCTATTATGAGCTCTGTAGGCAGTATCTCTCCATCCTGAGGTCAGTTCTATAAGGTAGGTGCTATTTATATCATATTTCAGACGAGAAACACGCTAAATACTTTGAGCCCAGATAGGCTATTCTTCCCACCCTATCAGTAGTACTCAGCATGGAAGCAAACTGAGACATTCATTGCCTTCCTCCAGACGCTTCCTGCCAGCTCAAGCTAGGATGCGATCCCGAGCTCATTCCCGGGGAACCCAGAGTATTAACAAACACCCTAAGTGATAATGATACAGACGGGGAAACTGCGCTGGAGCAGGTCAAGCAGCAGTCGACAGCGTTAACCTGTCAGCTATGGGAGGAGGCGGTGCGAGGCGCGGGCTGGTCGGAGCCGCGTACCACGCCCCCCGGCCCGGGTGGAACGAGGACAGGTGCTGCCCTCCCGCGGCCGCTTCGGCGCAGTGCAACCCCGCGCCGCGGCTGCGCAGTGCCGCCCTCTGGCGGCTTCGTTCCTTCTTCCCATCGGCCTCGGCTTGCGGGCCTTTCAAACATGGAGGAGCGGGAGCGGGGGGCGAGGTCGGCTGGCGCCGGGAGCCCCGCGCGCCCGCCCAGCCCGCGGCTGGATGTCAGCTCTGACAGCTTCGACCCGCTGCTGGCCCTGTACGCGCCCCGCCTGCCTCCCATTCCCTACCCCAATGCCCCCTGCTTCAACAACGTGGCGGAGTACGAGAGCTTCCTCAGGACCGGAGTCCGGGGCGGCGGGCGCGGGCGCGGGCGGGCTCGGGGCGCGGCCGCGGGCTCTGGGGTTCCCGCCGCACCCGGGCCCTCGGGCAGGACTCGTCGCCGCCCGGACGCGCCCGCCCCGGACCCCGAGCGCATCCAGCGCCTCCGCCGTCTCATGGTGGCCAAAGAGGAAGGGGACGGGGCCGCAGGAGCGGGCCGGAGGGGTCCGGGTCGGAGCAGGAAGGCGCCACGCAACGTGCTCACGCGAATGCCCTGTGAGTCCGCGGGCCGGGCGGGAAGCGGGGCAGCCGCCGTCCGGAAGCTGGCTGCCGAGGGGGCGTCTGCGGGGCGGCGGTGGCCGGGCGCGGGTCTGCACGTATTGCGGGAGCGCCTTGGTGAAAATTTGCGGGGATCATCAGTGACTATGGGGTGGATCTGCTTGAGTAATGTGGGTAATGAGGGCGTGGGGAGGGTCACCCTGAGTAAGAAAAGGGGCTGTAGGAGCAACAGAGGGAGAGTGGTAAGGCTGTAGTGGTCATAAGAAGCCGTGGGAAAGGTCTTCAGCGGTAATCGGGGCCCATGGAAGGGTCACAGAGGTGATGAGCCTGCCGAGAGGGTCTACAGGATTGATGGAGGACCTGGAGAGGTGGCGGGGCTACAGAGTTTGGGGGACATCATAGGGACGTCTACAGAGGTGATGAGAGGTCTTAGAGACCACAGTGAGAGGTAAGGTGGGGCGGAAAACGGGAGACGTGGGGGAGCGCACAGCCAATATTAGGGGAAGGAGAGTATTTGGTCAGTGGGATTTGAGGATGATCGGATGGAGTGTGGGGAGATTTGTTCAGATAGCACAGGCGCATAATCCCATAACCCCTGTACATTGACAGCTCCTTCTCGAGTGCGATAAGCAGAAGGGCTGCAGAGTCTTGATACACATATGTTCACATTACTAAGTCACAAGTGCTGAAATGCAGCAGGCACAGAATGCCACTAAAACACAGACGCTGTTTTACAGCCACTCTGCCTGGCTGGGTGCAGGACTGTGTCTGTCAGGCTCATATTACCATATGTGCAGGTTATTTTAAGTTCTAAAGGTGTAAATGGCACAAGGGAATTTCTTGGAGCCTCCTCATAGATCCTTAGAGTAAAGCTGTAAACAGCAGAGGCTCTAATGTGTGAGTTAGGTCTTGTATAAATGGAATAAAAACAGCCTAAGGTTATCTCTTTTGTCATCTGGCAAGCAGTTCTGACATCTGCCCTGTGAACACAATGACCTACTTAGCCATTCAAAGCATCTGTATCCTGATAATTAAATTGTTACCTTATTAAGTCACTGTCTTTTGGATGGAGAGGTGTGCCAAGCAAGGGACTGTTTTGCTTCATTCCTAGAAATTTGTTTATTAAGAGAGAACATCCTGAAACGCTCTGTGCTGTTCCGTGTGCCTTCGTTGGATGTCTTACCATGCCACAGCATCCCTGCCCAAGCTAGGATTTACCCCGGCCTGCTTGCCTGGCTGTAACACAAAGACAGTATGCTTGTTCCCAAAATGAGAGCAGTTTGGGGGACCTTAATTTGCCTATGCAATTTGCCACCATTAGGTAGTTGAAATGCACTCCAAGTCTCATTGCAACATTTATTTCTATTTTACCAGTTATTGCTTTGCTACCAAGATTGTCAAGGGAAAGGAATATTCCTGTGTATTGCTATGTGGTGGGTGGTTTTAGCTTTCCCTATAGAGCACTTTACTGTAATGGTATGACAGTGTGTGAAGACCAGCTTTGTCAACTTCTTATGATTAAGTATATATCCCTGGAATCAAGATCTCAGAGAATATGCCCTACATACTGAAAATTTTCACCATGGCACTGCAGACAGTTGAGTGTACATGAGAGAAAGGCATTGACGTCGCACAGAGTTGATGACCTTCAGAAAGCAAGAAAACAACAGAAACATGGGTGAGGATTGGATTCATTCAAGAAAGAGTTCCTACTTGAGGGTGAAGGGTGGGAGGAGGGTGAGAATCACAAAACTACCTATTGGGTACTGTGATCACTACCTGGGTGACAAAATAATTTGTGCACCAAACCCCAGTGACACACGATTTACACCTGCAACAAACCTTTCGTGTACCTCCTGATCCAAAAACAAAAGTTGGAAGGGGGGAAAAAAAAGAACTAGGTATGTTTTATATGTATGCCACAGTTTTAATTTAAAAAAATATATGCCTACTCTAAACTCTGATTGGATACAGTTGCTCAGGAAAATCAAAATATAGATACCAGTAAGATAATACTATTTGTGGACATATACAAATGCTTTCTGGAAAAAAATGCCTATGCATTTGAGAATGCATAATCCTTTGCAAAATATTCACATAAAATGTAAGTTCCATCAGGCTGTAACAGCAAGAAGAAGCTTTGTTAGGTCATATCATCAGTGAAACATAATGAAGAATACATGAGGAGCTACATTTTGTCGCTGACTTTAAAATGATGTATTTCATCAATTCAGATCCAAGTTACCCATCCAAATTCACAGAGAGGACAGTGTGGAATGTTTATGAAAAAACAAGGAGTGCAAAATTAAGTGTAATGGTGTTTTAACTGTAAAATATTTCACTTTGTATCTCTGTCATAGAATCTCTTTGAATTCCCTTGTGGAGCAGTTGTATTCTTTTCCTTGCAGTAATAAAATTTTAAAAGTAGCCAGGCACAGTGGCTCACACCTGTAATCCCAGCACTTTGGGAGGCCGAGGCGGGCAGAACACTTGAGGCCAGGAGTTCAAGACCAGCCTGGCCAACGTGGTGAAACCCTGTCTCTACTAAAAATACAAAAATTAGTTGGGCATGGCAGCATCTGCCTCTAGTTCCAGCTGTTCAGGAGGATGAGGCACGAGAATCGCTTGAACCCTGTAAGTGGAAGCTGCAGTGAGCCGAGATCATAGGGACATCATAGAGACCTCTACAGAGGTGATACGAGGTCTCAAAAAAAAGTAATAATAAAAGTATAGGAGGCTGTTGCAATACTGGGAATACTAAAGAAGAAAAAAAGCATAGGAGGAAAGGTTTTTCGTCATCATTAAGCCTAAGCCATCACTGATACCAACAAAGAACTCACACACAAGCTGTACTTGCAAGTGGAATGCAATTGCTTTTCCTCCTTTTTAATATTGACATGCCTATAGAGATGGTAAGACAAGACTAAAGAGCATTATCCTCTTTTCCACATAATTCTAGTGTCTATATTTCTCCTTAGTATCGCAGCACCATACCTAGCCCACGGTGGTTCTGGTTTATAATTGTGCTTCAAGCAAGCTTTTTCTAGGTATATCTGTCACTGTGAAATGAACTGGTGTGTTCAAGCTCACGTCTTGACATTATAAAGCTGTAAGAAAAAGTGTTATCATTACTTTGTTTTAGCTACAGGTGTGTTGGTGTGCAGCCTGTGCCGGTGTGAACAAGTGTGTGTGGTCAATCCAAAATGCATATGACATGCAGGGTTTGGCTCCTAGACCATTGTCTAGGTGAATGGCTTGTCTCCAGTTCCAAATTCAGTTTTCCTGCAGGGAGCCTACACAGTCCTTTTACTCGCACACATCCTGCTGAGAAGGATTTCAAAACAAACCTGATTTATTGGGCCTCTGACGTGATACCATGATTGAAAATTTGTTTGAGTCCTGTTGTTGTAGTTTACTTTGATTGCTGAAATAATTTCCCACAATATGGTGTCTTGATGTTTTCATTTTAATAAAGTGATATTCTTTGGATAACTTTGACTTCACTTCCTGCAAATAAAGAGCAAGAAAATAGGCAAAATCAAGAACATCTGAGCCCTGTGTACAGCAGTAAAATGAACTCTCAAATTTGAACAGCATCTCTGTTACACAGAGGTTGCCAAAAGGGCATGAGTATGACTTACATAAAACCGAGAACAGCGGTACTTAGGCTTCAGAAAAGGCCAAGCTTAAAATTCAGCCTTGTCACTTTTCTCAGCTCATTGCAGCTGTTTCCAGTCAGCTGTCTCCAGTGCAACTAAGGAATAGTCTCAGATGATTTCTGCACCACACTGCTGTGTGTGTGTGTGTGTGTGTGTGTGTGTGTGTGTTTAGGCCAGTTTGACATAGCATCACAATAGGGAAGACACTGATGTGCCTTTGCCGGGTCACTGATTCAAACATTGTACTTTCAATCTGTCATGGCACCCTTCTATAGAATGGCAACTAAAACTATTTTCAGAGAAAAGAGAAAATATTTTTCCATTGCAGACTCATAAGGTGACTGTTACAGTTTGTGGTTTCATTTCTCTGGGCCCTTAATAGGTTATGGAATCTGGGGAGCTGCCTTTGCCCTAATGAGCTAATAACTTTGTATATTTGGAGATATATATGTAGATACAGTTTTGTCCTTAAATCTTTGAATAGGTAGTTGTGGAGGCTAAAGCAACTCCATCTTGAATGCCAGTCCACCATGTTGACTTCTGATTAAACCCAGTTCTGGGAAGGCCTCTAAGATTTCCAATTTATCTGTTGTTTCTTGTGTAAGAGCATGTACTTACTGTAATTCCTGTCCTTACATGAGAACAACCTTGACGTTATCTTACTTCAATTGTCCTACACATCCCTTCTGAATCACCCTTTCCCTGTAGCATATAAGCCCTGCATCTGGGGGTCATGGCACGGGGATCCACCATCTTGTTTTGCCGCCACCTGAGACGCAGACGTGGCTTCTGTTCCTACATTCCTATTAAATATTTCTTTCTAAGGAAAACAAGAGTTACTGTAAGAGGCAAGTTTTAGGTCTTTAAAGAAGGGCATGATTGAGAACAGTTATTTTAAAATCAGGCTGTGATGGTATAATTTACATGTAGCAGGAGAAGGAAGAGTGGAGCTGAAAATGACCTGGATCTGGAAGGATGTGGCAATAGAGAAGGGGATTGGAAGAGTAACTTTCTCCAAAGATAAGGCATATGCTTTTTTGTCATATTTGGTCATAGAAACCTGACTCATATCCATTTGGAGCTTGCCACAGAGACGGCTGGAAAGAGAATGTGCACTCTGATTCAGAATGGGGAGCTCATTTTTGCCTTGGCGGTTTGCTCTGATAGGTGGTGCTAGTGTCGTACTTTTGATCACACAAGGATACAAGGAGAGCAATGCTTCCTGGAATTACACCTTATTAAATCTTTGGAAGAAAAAAATTAAAGGTACACGTTTGAGAAAGACCAATTGAAAGACCTGAATTTGCCATCTATTTAATTAGAGTAAGAGACTGTTGCTAAGATACCTGCTTGCCCTTTCTATTTTTGGAGGTGTGGGAAAGAAGTAATGTCCCTGTTTTTTTCCAAGTTAGAAAAAAATAGTCTTTCCACTCTTTGTATAAACATACATCATAGGGCAGGGGGCAGTATATATGTATGTGTAGGAAAAGAAATAATGCAAGCATGTGATCAGTTTCTAAGAAATTGAGTTATTGGGACTTAGTCCTGAAATAAATCTACAAGTTAACTATCTTAACCTCATTTTATGAATGAGGAAATTTGGAACTTAAAGAAAAAGTTATTCATCAGGTTCACACAACTAGTTATAATGACCTGAAAATTGTTTACAATGCTTGAATGCTTGATTTAATATGGCCTATAACACATATACACGCGCGCGCACGCGCGCACACACACACACACACACCCACACACCCATACACACCCTTAGCTAGCAAATGTACAAAGGACTTTAAAATACTGCTAGAAGAGAGGTAAATGATGATGGTCAGACCAGAATTCTCATGGTCTTTTCCAAAGTCACTGCTTCGTGTCGCTTCCAACTCCGAGTTATTCTCACACCGTTAATCTGACATAAACTCCTGCTAGTCTGCTAAGTCATTTTCTTCTAAGAATCTTTTATTAATTTATCACAGCCATCATTTATAAGCCAATCCATGACAGAGGGATAAGGTGGCTTCAGGAGGAACCAATTTAGTTATCCAAACTGAAGTGCAGGACTGTTGTTCTCCTTTATGTCACTAGAAACAAAGCAGGAGAGATTTTTCATTTGTCTACTGTCAATGCCAAATACTCTATATATCCAGACTTCTAAGACCTGACCAAAAATAAACTTTCTACAGAATTTTGCGTTGCAAACTTGGGAAAGAGTGAGACTGTGTACGCACGAGAAAGAGAGAGAGATTGGGGGTGCGTAGTGCGTGCCTGTAGTCCCAGCTACTCAGTGGGTTGAGCTAGGGGGATCGCTTGAGCCAGGGAGGTCAAGGCTGGAGTGAGCTGTGATTGTGCCACTGCACTCCAGCCTGGGTGACAGTGAGACCCTGTCTCAGGAAAAAAGAATGTGTACGGCTTTCTTTTGGGAGGTTTTATATACCATAGCCAGCATATTGTGAGAGCTGAGTTAACATGAAATAATAAAAATAAAATTCATCTTTCCTCCCACGCTCTGAGAATCCTTCATAATAAAAGCTGAAATTTATAGTCTCAATATTCTTCCTATGAGTCATTATCCTGCTCTCTTCACATGATGCTTATTAGTAGTGTCATAGGAGCCAGATACTCAGCCAGGTGCCTTTTACACTGTCAGGGCTTGGGCCAGAACCAGTGCTTTTCCTCCCAGAAACACCAGTGAGTCCAGAAAGCTTGTGCATGGAGTAGCTTTGGTGGGGTCAAAGGCCTTTCTTTCTGACAGGATTGTACATGTTTAAGGGCAGAGTGCAGTTTGTTTCCTTTGAACATGTAAACAAGGTTTTTGTTTTTTTGGAAGACTCAAGCTGGATATGTGATTCATGAATTGTCTTAAGGCACAGAATTGAGAAGGATCTCGCTGTTAATGTATACATTTAATGTTTGCGTGCCCGTGTGTGTGTGTGTTTCTCAAGATGGAGTCTTGCTCTGTTGCCCAGGCTGGAGTGCAATGGTGCGATCTCGGCTCACTGCAACTTCCACCTCCTGGGTTCAAGCCATTCTCCTGCCTCAGCCTCCTGAGTAGCTGAGATTACAGGCATGGGCCACCATGCCTGGCTAATTTTTGTATTTTTAGTGGAGATGGGGTTTCACCATGTTGGCCAGGCTGATCTCAAACTCCTGACCTCAGGTGATCCGCCCACCTCAGCATCCCAAAGTGCTGGGATTACAGACGTGAGCCACCACGCCCGGCCAACCCCAAAAGTTAAGTGATAGTGCATGTTAAAATCAGTGACATCGTGGAATAAGAGATATACCGGTAGTGAAACATTTGGCTGATATTCATACATATGGATGATCCACATTCTGTTGGAATCTAGTCTTGTGTCAGTGTGTGTTGGCCGTACGAGCCATGTTGCCCATTGGACCTTCCTGTTCCAATAGTGAGATTGTCACTCTACCATGGGCCACATGTTGCTGGCCGAAGTTGGGTGGTCGTGGCTTAATTCTGGGAATGAGGGCAGATATTAAAACTGTCCTGACTGTTCTTCTCTTGTTTCAGTGCACGAAGGCAGCCCTCTGGGTGAACTCCATCGCTGTATCCGTGAGGGGGTGAAGGTGAATGTTCACATCCGCACTTTCAAGGGACTTCGGGGCGTCTGTACAGGCTTCCTTGTTGCATTCGACAAGTTCTGGAATATGGTAATTAAGCCTTTCTCAAGGGGCTGGAGAACCTCCTACAGATTATATCTTCTATAATATTTAAAGGACCTGAGTAACTGCATTAAGTAAAACCCAAAAAATAACTTCTTAGAAGAACTAGAATTTTTGCATACTTTTGGGCAACAACAAGAAAAGGTCTTTTTATTGCTTCCTTCTCCTTAAGGCAGTGGCTCTTAACCAAGGTAATTTTGTTCTTCCTTCACTCCCAGGAACATTCATCAATGTCTGGGGACATTTTATTGTCACCACTATAGGAGAGGGTACTACTGGCATCTAATTGGTAGAGGCCAGGGTTGCAGCTAAACAGTCTACAACACACAAGATAGTCCCTCAACAACAAAGAATTATCCAATCTGAAAAGTCCTTAGTGCCAGGGTTGAGAAACCCAGCCTTAAGGACCAATTATTTTATCGGTTTAGTAATTTTTAGTTGATTTTCTACCAACCATTCTTTCATTAATTAAGAAAAACATTTATTGACTTCCCATTTTGGCTGAACCCCATGCTAGGTGCAAAAGTTTCAGAAAGGAACTTGCACTTTACAGTACATGGGAAGGTAAATAAGGATAGAGGTGAAGCAGACATCAGTAAACAAAGCATTTTGCATGATGTCTTTTTTTTTTTTTTTTGAGACAGTGTTTTGCTCTTGTCACCCAGGCTGGAGTGCAGTGGCACAATCTCAGCTCACTGCAACCTCCGCCTCCTGAGTAGCTGGGATTACAGGCCCCTGCCACCATGCCCAGCTGATTTTTGTATTTTTAGTAGAGACAGGGTTTCACCATGTTGGCCAGGCTGGTCTTGAACTCCAGACCTCAGGTAATCCGCCTGCCTCAGCCTCCCAAAGTGCTGGGATTACAGGCATGAGCCACTGCGCCCGGCCACATGGTGGTTTTATAATGAGGGAGTGTGCCACACTTCCTAGCCTTCTAGAGGCTTACTTTTTTTCTAGACATTTGTAGGAGAGAAGGGATATGTAATAGCACAACTATAATTTGAGGTAGTTAAGAACTACTAGGCTGCACGCGGTGGTTCACACCTGTAATCCCAGCACTTTGGAAGGCCGAGGCAGGCGGATCGCCTGAGGCCAGGAGTTCAAGACCAGCCTGGCCAACATAGGGAAACCCCCATCTCTACTAAAAATACAAAATTAGCCAGACATGGTGGCACAAGCTTGTAATCCCAGCTACTCAGGAGGCTGAGGGAGGAGAATCACTTGAAGCTGGGAGGCGGAGGTTGCAGTGAGCCGAGATCATGCCACTGCACTCCAGCCTGGGTGGCAGAGCGAGACTCTGTCAAAAAAAAAAAAAAAAAAAAAAGAACCACCAGAGCTTTCTGGTGTTTCTTTTCCATATGGTCTTCTATCTCCAACTTTCCTTTTCCCTGTGCTTTATCCCCATCCACGCATCCTCCTGGATAAGAACAGTAGCTGCTAACATATATTGAGTACCTGCTATGTGCCAGGTACTATACTGAGGGCTTCATATATTATCTCAATGAATGAGTTGTGGGTACTATTACTGTTCCATTTCACAAATGAAGAAATTGATTCTAGAGAGATTGGAATGTTGGTCGCAGATCACACTGTTAGTAAGTGGAAGTGCCAAACTTTTTCCTCGGCCTAACTCCTAAAACCATGTTTTTAACCATTAGGGAATTTGAATCCTAGCATCATCACTTGGTAACTGTGTGACTGTAAGCAAGATAATTTCTCTGAGCCTCAGTTTTCTCATTTCCAAAATGCAGGGAAAAATGTTTTATTATGATCTTTTTACCTTTGAAGAATTGAAGAGAATGTGTTAGATGATAGTGGTGATTATAACAGTACTGTCAGCTTCTATTTGTAGGGTGATTTACACTTTTCAAAGGAATTTGTCTTGTACTTCTCATTTGGTCCTAACAGCTGTCCTGTCGAGGTTGCTCTCGGTGATGAGAACTCACCAGCAATTCTGTGTGTAACCCTGGTTAATCTCTGTTAATTGCTTTCATAAGACATAGAAACTGAAGCGGGTAAAGAAGCAGTAATGTTCCTCAAAGTGGGATCTAAAGCCATCCTGCATCAGAATCACCTGGGGCTTCTGGTTGAAACAAAAGGTTCCTGGGCTTCATCCCAGACCTACCAAAACAGAATCTCCAGCAGAATAGCTTTGGGTTCGTATTTTAATAAACCTCCTAGATATTCTTGCACACTGAAATTTAAGACCTTCTACCATGCAGTCATAAAGGCCCTTACCATCCATAGGTGAAACCCATCTTATATGGTGATAGCAGCTTAAAAATATTACACAGAAGGTACCAGGTGTCACCATTTTCTTCTGCCTAGGAGCTGAGTCATCTGTTAAGTGTAGTTCTGCTCTGAATAGATGTTACTCTGCCTTTTTTTTTTTCCCTGAAAAAGCTATACAAATAATAATTTTAATTCTGTCTAATGTTTTTCCTTTTGGGCTGTTCCTCTAGGCACTTACTGATGTGGATGAGACCTACCGAAAACCTGTCCTAGGCAAAGCATATGAACGGGATTCTTCACTGACTCTCACTAGGGTAGGCAGTTTTCCCCTGACCTCCTGAGTAGCCATCATGCTTTCCAGCTTAGGAATTAAGATCCCTGAGCCCAGTGACTAGGATTTCCTAGAGGGAAATCTCTGTTGCTATAAACCAGCTGTGCCTGTACCAAGGTATTCCTTAGTTCCTCTTTTCATGCTTCCAGTGAATCTCAAGTGAGTCTGTGCTTGTAACCTGCATATTATTTGAGGAGCAAGTTGTCTCTTACAACACCTGAAAGTCTTTCAGCTTTATACCACAGAAATAAGCCTTTTCTCTTGACATATGTATTATGTGCATTATAGTTAGAAATAGGAAATTTATGGCCAGGCGTGGTGGCTCATGCCTGTAATCCCAGCACTTTGGGAGGCCGAGGCGGGTGAATCATGAGGTCAGGAGATCGAGACCATCCTGGCTAACACGGTGAAACCCCATCTCTACTAAAAATACAAAAATTAGTTGGGCAGGGTGGCAGGCGCCTGTAGTCCTAGCTACTTGGGAGGCTGAGGCAGGAGAATTGCTTGAACCTGGGAGGTGGAGGTCGCAGTGAGCTGAGATCGCACCACTGCACTCTAGCCTGGGCGACAGAGTGAGACTCCGTCTCCAAAAAAAAAAAAAAAAAAAAAGATTTATTACTAACTTTTAAAAAATTGCAAAGCAAGGAGTCCACAGAACATAATTAAAGAATTTGGTCTTTTTCTGTATGTTGAAAGAGGGTGATGAAGGCTAAAGAGAAGGCTAATATTTATCATTGTTTGCTTTATAGCTATTTGATCGGCTGAAACTTCAAGATTCCTCCAAGAAGGAAGCAGATTCTAAGTCTGCAGTTGAAGATTCCACTCTGTCTAGATACTCACAGACATCCACTTGGAAGTTGGCTTCAGTGTGGGGAAGAGCAGACACTGGCCGGGGCTCACACAAGCGTTCCCGCTCTGTCCCTTCTTCCCTGCAGGCCTCTGCAAGGGAGGAGTCCAGGTCAGAGCTGTCAGGGAGGACTACACGGACAGACGGCTCCAGTGTGGGAGGTACCTTTTCCAGGGCTACCACCCTTTCCAGAGGCCAGTCCCGTAAGAAAAAGCGAAAGCCCAAAGTGGATTACCAGCAGGTATTCACTCGACACATAAATCAGATTTTCATTCGAGGCGAGAATGTCCTGCTGGTTCATCTTGCACAGTGACCAGCTCAGCCTGAGCTTTGGTTTTTAGAAATAAAGTGCATGAATTGCTGCTATGCTGTATCCTAGTATCCCAGTGAAACTCTGAGTTGGAATGATTCCCTCTGGTCCTGCATATGCAGAGGACGGAGCAGGCTCAGCCCCCTGGAAGATGAGCTCAAGGGGAGGACAGGCCTTGGGAGGGCAGGCGTTTGCATTAATATCAAGGCAAAAAGCATTCATAGATACATGCATCTGATTTGGTATTGTGATTTACTTCAGACCCTGAAACCAAATATCTGATCTTCCATTAGACTTAGGGGTCATGATATGAGTGGAATTTACATTTTAGATACTATAGGGGAAAGAAAAGTCTCAAAAAGAAGTATTGCATGTCTAAAAGCTAGTGCCCTGAGTACTCATGAATTCGATTCCAAGAGTAGTGGTGTAAATTGCCTTGGAGCCCTGCATCCACGTCTTGTAACTAACTTTTGAATTTTGCCTGACATGATTCTCTCTTGATGAAGAAATGACATATATTATCTTTGAATATCTACAAGGAAAGTTACCAACTTATGTAGGGGTGAAATTTGGATAGGCGGTATGCTCAAAGCAGCCAGCAATGAGTGCTCTGTTTTGATCCTTCTTCTTATTATGGAAAGGAGTACAGGACCTCTTCAGTCTTCCCCTTACCAGAGGTAGCCTCTGCAAATGGCATACCAGATGGGACTCTAAGATGCTTGTGTGGTGGCTTCTTGTCCTTCTCTTTGACTTCTGTGGCATGGTGCTAGTGCATGTACCCTGTGGTATTGCCCCTCTGTCCGTAGTGTGAACTGTCCTGTGAGCTTTATGTCAGGAGACTGTGACCTTCATGTCCAGCTTCAAAGAGTTGTGCATGAACTCGGTAATACACATCACACGGCTGAGAGTCCCCTTTCCAGGCAGGGCCAGCATGTGTAGAATATCTTTCAGAATATGGTTTCACCATGAAACAGGGGTGGTAGATTTATTCCCTTGTGTCAGGCCAAAGAAGTTCTTACAAAGTACAGTGGGTAGTGTCTAAAGCGACACTTTACTCACAGCCTGGCTTGAGTCAACAGGAACACCATAGCACCCACAAATACTTCTACTTGAATCATATTCTGTGCTTTTTCAATCACTAGTGCAGAATAGGCTGCATTTGACACAGACTGTTAGGCAATATTGATTTTTTTGTTTTGTTTTTATTTGGTTTTATCTGAGATAACTTATGTTCAAGGTGAGAATAAGAAATAGCCAACTAGTTAAAATGTATGAAAAGAAAACTTTCCCCTGCTGTATTTGTTGTGTAACATAAATAAGCCTTCTGAGAAGCAGGGTGAATAAAGTTTAGGGAGCTGGGACACCTGGTCCTGCTAGCTGGACCACTGGCTCATCATGCAATGAAAAGGTGAGCAGACTTAACCCCTCCGTGCCTCAGCTTTTTCCCCACAGACACCTACCTCACAGGGGCATTGAGAAAAAAAAAATGAAGGCATTTTACAGTCTCTAAACATCTTTAAGTGCCATGAGTAATTTTTCCTGACTCTGTTTCATAGCTTTGTAAGAATTCTGTGTCTTTATAAGACACAGAAGCAAGGCAGGTGCTACATAAAAAAGTAATCTCAGCCAGGCACGGTGGCTCACGCCTGTAATCCCAGCACTTTGGGAGGCTGAGGCGGGTGGATCACAAGGTCAGGAGATCAAGACCATCCTGGCTAACACGGTGAAACCCTGTCTCTACTAAAAATACAAAAATTAGCCGGGCGTGGTGGCGGGCGCCTGTAGTCCCAGCTACGTGGGTGGCTGAGGCAGGAGAATGGGGTGAACCCGGGAGGCGGAGCTTGCAGTGAGCCAAGATTGCACCACTGTACTCCAGCCTGGGCGACAGAGCAAGACTCTGTCTCAAAAAAAGGAAAAAAAAAAAAAGTAATCTTAGGGTTCATAGTTATGATCCTGTTGTAACTATCTTCGGAAGGCAGCAGTATCTTCTGGAACTTCCATATTCCATTCCTTCCTCCTAAGGGACAATGGAAGTTCTCAGAAGAGTATCTTCAGTAAGAGGAGAGTAACTTTTTTTTTGCTGCTCCCGCTATATCCCAGGCCTCACCCTTTTCTGATCATTATCAGAAAGAATCCCCTGAACTTTTCAAGGGGTTTATATGGTAGCACCAAATGGAGAATGAGCATCTAAAAATGACACATCCCGAAAGGGCAATCTGTGGAAGTTTGTTGTTTGTTTGTTTTTATTTTTAAATGCATTGTAAAGTGTACTCTAGAGCCAGATCAGGTGCACTAAAGTTTATAGAGGTTCCAGTTTACAAACTCAAGTGAACAGTAATCTTTGGAAGCTGCCAGTCTAAATTCTAAATAGTGTATCTGAAATCTCAGTTCCCAAAATAGTTGTCAGGTTTAATCATCAGGCAACACTGCGTATACCTGTGTGGCTATCCTCATCTGCCTGCCCTCTCATCCCTCGGCTAGAATGATGTACTCTACTTTCCCAATAAGGTAGAAATTTGGAATCCAACGGAATATAATCAGTTTTCATTCATTCCAGTGCCTAGTTAAATCTAACCTGACTTAAACATATGCCTGTTTTTATGTTTACCTATAATTTTCATATAGCCGTATAAGGATTGATTTACCATTTTTTGCCCAACATGACAATTCTGGCTATGAAAATTATGTTTAAACTGTGTATGATCTATTTTATGTGCTCTATGTTCCCATTTGTTTGTTTGGTCTGGACAGTGGTTCTGGAATGAATTCTATCTAGTAAATTAGTAAATGTGCTGTTTTGTATAAAGCATGATAATTACTTTTTAACAGAAGTTCATTTTTAAAGATTACTCCCTTTTCTTTCTCTCTTTTTTTTGAGACAATTTCTCTCTTGTTGCCTAGGCAGTGCAGTGGCGCGATCTCAGCTCCCTGCAACTTCTGCCTCCCAGGTTCAAGCGATTCTCCTGCCTTAGCCTCCTGAGTAGCTGGGTCAGCCACCATGGCTGACTCATTTTTTGTATTTTTAGTAGAGAAGGGGTTTTACCGTGTTAGCCAGGCTGGTCTTGAACTCCTGACCTTGGGTGATCCACCTGCCTCAGCCTCCCAAAGTGCTGGGATTACAGGCGTGAGCTATCCCGCCCGGTCCCCTTTTCTTTATTATCGAAGATATTGTTTAAAAGAAAGAAAAAGTAGGTCCCAATAATATATGTGCTATTCAAAAAATGTGATCATTTAGGACATTATCACAAGTTGCTATGGAAATAACTGAAGACTTCCTCAGGAGAAGGAAAGAAAATGAGGAACATAATGATAGAGTCGGGGAACTCCCACTAGCTCACCTGAGGGGGGCTCGATGCAGCTGAAATACTGAATACTGAAATACTAGAAACCAACAAAACTGGTTTCTAGAATTCTCCAGGGATTTGGGCTTGGGAAACTTGGTAAGAATAGTTTTTATTTTTGAACATTCAACTTTGGTTCTTCAAAGTAATCTTTAAACATGGGAATATGTTTTCAAGACAATTTATAGGACATACTTATGTAGTTGGTGAGGTCTTCTCAAAAGTATCTACCTTTGTTAGATAATAACAAGTGATTAAGAAAGGGGAGATATGGTTTTATACTCATAACAATTTCCTGTGCCATTCTCTGTACACAGAGGTGATTCATTTACTCTCCCATTAGTAGAACTTGCACTTTGGGCTGTCTGTTCTAGTATTTGGGAAGTGTTTATGCTTCCTTCCAGGGACCATCTTATGATCAGAGGCAGGATGTCTGTGAGATGGTTAGCTAGAGTTAGCAGTGTCCGGGGAGAGTGGCTTTAGACCAGTCAGTACCTTGCTCTTTGTGCATGGTGCATGTCAAGTCAGGAAGCCAAGAAACCGTTGGCATTAAAATCTAGATGCATAGAGATCCTTGCTATGAGTTGTGGATAGGAGTGGCTCCATCTATCCTTGTGGTGAAAGAGTCCAGGAGCTCCTTTAGAGATTGTCAAGTCCTGAGCGATGAGCTGCCCTTAATCCTCAGAAGCCTTACAAAAATTGAGATGTACCATTTCTACCCTTTGAGAAAAAAGAAATAGAAACTTACTTGATGCAGAATGGATATTTATATTTCTGCTTGCACCATTTCCATAGCAGCTGACAAAGGCAAAATCATGAAATAGAATCATTTCTATAAATTGCTTCTTTAAGTTTTCTCTAAATTTTGCCTCTAGGAAAAAATTAAAACTATTCAATGACAGCTAGCTGTCACTGGTGCTACCCCAAAGCTTTCCAATCTTTTATGTATTTTTTGTGAATGAAACTGTTGCTGTAGGAAAGTCAAGGTTCATGTAAGAGTATCGTGGTGTAAATATAATGGTTTCACAGCTGTTTGAATTTTTCTTTTCCTGTGCCAGATATAGAATGCAGTCAACCCTTTTTCAGTAACTTATGTTCACCAGTCTGTGCTTTTCTTCTCCCAGAAGGCTTTTCTTAGTGGTTGTAAATGCAAGAATCCTGAGCCCTGTGTTGCAAAGGTGGGTGGTCTGTCAGCACTTTCTGGCAAATTGAGTTGATGGATTTAAGATAAGCCTTTGGGGTTCCTGTCAGTTTTCTGGGCCCTGAGGAAGGGTTGGGCCTCCTTTACTCTCAGTATTTTGAGTGTTTTTCAAATGTTTGTACGTTATCTTGCACTGCTCTAATAAAAATGAAAGCTCTCTGACAAGAAATAGTTCTGGATGGTTTGAAGATCTGCGGGGAAAAATAAGTGTGCACCTGAGACCTTCAGTTAGTCTTTTATTTATTTAGAATAAAAAATAGTTTGATAACCTACCAGAGTTAGTGCTTCTTTAAAAACACTCCTTGGAAAGATGGGGACTGTCCCTTAGGAAAGCCATAAAAGTGATTCCCAATACTTTGCAATTGCTTTTGATTTTTAGTCCTTTGGAACAAATGTGTGATGTTATGTCTGATGTTGTGTTTTTAGAGCTGTGAAAAGTCTGAAAAATTTCAAGGGGTATTATTTAAATGATGATTATCTGGCTGAATTATGTGTGAGCTAGAATCTAGGGTAGCTGTCCACTTCTTTTTCTGTTGTCCTGACAGTAAAGCAAATAGTAAGCCATGTCTTGAAAGTGATTTGCTTGTTTCATACTGACATCTAAAGACATCAGCCTTCTCTTTGGCAACCCTGGGGATACTCCTCTGCACCATAACTTATTAATGTTTTTTTAGACAAGGCTAAACCTGAATGACTCTACGTATCTATAGTTTCACTGCTCATATACCAGCTGCTACAAGAAAAACCATGACTTGTAAGTTTGTCTTTACTCCTAATTGCTAAATTAACTGAAACCCTTCCTGTCTAGGGAGAATTGCTGCTAGTAAGGTCAGTTTGCAATGTTCAGCTTTAGATATGTGTCGTAATGGGAGTCTGAAAACTGTAATAAACTGTATTCATATCCTGGCTGCTTTGTCTCTGTTGATTTAGGGGGGTGGGAGAGAGGAGGCAGGGGAGTCTGTTACCAAGTGAAGACACCTGTCTAGAAAGTTAGACCATCTCAAGCCTTCTGCATTTACATTATTGTAACCTTGTACCTTTTCTTTACCAAAGTCCACACATCTAAGTCACCACTCTTGCCGGGCGCAGTGGATCACGCCTATAATCGTGGCACTTTGGGAGTCCGAGGCGGGTGGATCACCTGAGATTGGGAGTTCGAGAACAGCCTGGCCAACATGGTGAAACCCTGTCTCTACTAAAAATACAAAAATTAGCCAGGTGTGGTGGCGGGCACCTGTAATCCCAGCTGCTCGGTAGGCCGAGGCAGGAGAATCACCTGAACCCGGGAGGCAGAGGCTGCAGTGAGCTGAGATCATGCCACTGCACCCCAGGTTGGGCCACAGAGCAACACTCAGTCTAAAAAAAGGAAACAAAAATAGCTGGGCATGGTGGCAGGCACCTGTAGTCCCAGCTACTCGGGAGGCTGAGGCAGGAGAATCACTTGAACCCAGGAGGCGAAGGTTGCAGTGAGCTGAGATTGCACCACTGCACTCCAGCCTGGGCGATAGAGCGAGGCTCCATCTCAAAAAATAAAAATAAGTAAAATAAAAATAAAACACCACTCTTGAGGTGGCTTTTTTCTTCCAAGTTTACTTGAAGTTCATGCTTAGGAAAGGAACTTGGCCCACATTCTGAATTATCTCCTCTAAGCTGCAAGCAGTGGTAATTGCCCTGTGAATTTATTCTACCTAATAGCTCACTGGCACTAGTCCATTCTGTTCATGATCTGCTGAAATCACCATTCATTCTGCTCCCTCTGAGTGTTTTACCACATTTGGCAAATCAATCTTCACATTCTTCCAAAAATATTTAAATTTTCTACCAGCTTTCCACTGTGCATGTACAGGAAGTTTAGCTGTCCCAGATTTGCCACATTGATTACTTGGATCTCTTCTGTGTGCTTCCAGAACTGAATCACCTGGTAAGGTAGACAAGAAAAGTCACATTTATTCTTAGAGGGGGAAACCTGAAGTTAACTGTCAAGACCCAGTTTCTCACTTTAAAGGATCCATTAACTTGAGCCCAGCTGACACACACCAAGTTGCTAACTGCTGCAGTAGAAAGGGAGGCAAGACCCGTGTGCTGTATGTCTGGTCCTTGCCTGTTTGTTTTGAATCTCAGATACTTCTGATTAAATGAGAATGTCCTAATTAATCAAAGTAATGGCAAAAGAGTCAGCTAGCTTGACACTGTAAATGTACAGTGACAGTTAAATGTTGGCAGGGAGTGGAGGCCAGTGGAAAGAGACACATCGATCACTCTCCCTGTGCTTCCAAGATAGGAGTGGCAAGCAGAAAAAAATGCCAACCGTTCTCTCCTTGGTTATAGATGAAGAGTTTTTCAGTCTGCTCAGTTACCACTAGGTGGCAGTGGGTTAAAGAAAACTGCTTACCTAGAGGTCCCAGAAGGACCGGAGTCTCTAGTCTCCAGTCACTGCTACAATTTATCGTTAAATGCTCACCAGTCAGGACTGAGTTAATTAAGGAAAAACAAGCTATAATCAACCCAAGTGGCAATATAAACGTTTCTTTTCAATATTGAATTTACCTAATTCGAAGCTCGGGAAGCCTGACTGATGGCGTTCAGGTAGTGAATGTGCTTGGGGAAGAGTGGCAAAGCGGGATTTCTCAGTGTCTGCTGTTTAAGGGGTCTCTCACTACTCTTCCATCCTGAGACTCCATCTCAGAAACTGTCAACTCCATCCAGCCTCTTCCCACCTGCTGCCAAGGGATTGCCCTGGGAAGCCTCTCTTAAAGCCCTTGTTTCTTAGCAACTGTCTCACTTTGAAACAATTCAGTTCTACCCAATGTTGCCTGAAAGCCCATTTGTGAGAGAGGTTGCAGCTCTCTTATGATTCTATGGCCAGAATTGAGCCTCCACTCCAAGATCGTGAGCAAATATGCTCGAGCCAGAGGGAACTTTCTAATAAACAGAGGAAAACCTGTTTTAGGTTGAGATACTGGCGGGCAGAAGTGGGGGGTGGGCAGTGCTAGTCAGGCTCCTCGCACATCACACCAAGACCTTCAAAAAGCCTTTCCCTCCCTACCTCAAGCATAATTTTTCAGCAGCCTATTCCTGTGGTGTAGAGGAATAACAGTATGTGAGATAATAGTAGATACTGGTCTTCAAATGTTTAAAAATAAGGTTATAATAAAGAGCCATTTTGATCCTTGGCAACTTGCACCACATTTCACTTAGTCACGCTGTGTGAAGAGGCAGAAAACAGATCATGCAATAAGAGACACGGTCCGTTTATAACATTTCATCCCTGCATTAAGCATATTACATGCATTACCTTGTTCAGATACCACCATGAGAGGAAGACTCTATCCCCTTGATATATGTGAGGAAACTAAAGCTCAGAGAGGTTATGTAAGTTGCTAAAATCTCTCTACTAATAAATAGTGAATTGAGGGGTCTATCTAGGTCTCACTGACTCTTAAGTTTATTGCCAGCCAATTTCACCTTTAAAATATTAAGTTTCTCAGACATTAACCAGAAAAATTTGAGAGTAAGCTGAGCCATCTCCCTAAACTAATCAGAAATCAGAAAGCTGAATTAAAATGCAGCATGGCTGGGTGCGGTGGCTCACGCCTGTAATCCCAGCACTTTGAGAGGCCAAGGCAATCAGATCACAAAGTCAGGAGTTCAAGACCAGCCTGGCCAACATGGTGAAATCCTGTCTCTACTAAAAAAAATACCAAAAAAAAAAAAAAAAAAAAAAATGCCAGGTGTGGTGGTGCGTGCCTGTAATCCCAGCTACTCGGGAGGCTGAGGCAGGAGAATTGCTTGAACCTGGGAGGCAGAGGTTGCAGTGAGCCGAGATCATCCCACTGCACTCCAGCCTGGGTGACAGATCAAGACTCTGTCTCGGAAAATAAAATAAAATGCAGTGTGGTGGTTTACTACAAGTGTCTAGTCCCTTCTAATTCACGCTACTCTTTGGCTGGGAGTGGGCACATGCACCCAGGGCTTCCTGGCTTCTAGAGAGAACCAGGGTGGGGAGCACCCCCAGGGGCAGCAGGCCAGCTGTGGCCCTAGGAAGAGTGGCTGCCAAGTGAGTGCTAGGAGGCCTTTGCCCACTAGTTAGTTTGGTCCTGGAAGGGGTATTGATCCCATAATCTTGTTGAAAAGAAGATGGAGTGACTGGTGGTCTCCCCAGCTCTTCAGTATACATTGAGAAAGTTCACCATCCCTTTCCAATCTTCCCCAACACTTGGGAAGGATGCTTTGTCCCAGCCTTGACTAGAAAATCGTCTAATTAAAGAAACTCTTCTCATGGCTAAACTATGGAAGTGCCTAAGCTACAGAAAAAAAAAATTATTACTTGAAGGACTGTATCTTTCTCCTTAGAGCTAAAGGAGGCATTTGGCAAGCTGTCTGTCCAGCTTGTAAAATTGCCCTTCAACTTGTATTAATTTCCATAGGATGGCAATCCTGGGAGGATCCCCAGCTCCTTCTCTTATTACCTCAGGAAACTCCTGATCCCTAATATAGCGATAATGCCACCTGCTTCATAGGTTTGCTGGTGTCAAGTGCTCAGGCCATACAGCAATCCCCTAATATCATTTATGCTCGATGAACATGCTGTGCCATGCTCAACGGCTTTCTTAACTTCCCTGTGCTTCCATTCTGTGTCCTGAGACCAGACCCGGCAAACAGATGGACAGAGTTGGATGTTTTCCTCCTTTTTTCCCAGCACGCAGGTGTTTGAAAGATTGCTTCTAGGCTTCCTGAGTTCTCCATGCTTCCTCAATTGGCTCTCCCCGGGTTAAAACTTCAGAATGCTATCAGCTTCTCCACTGCTGGGAGAGCTGTGTGTTCCCCCAGGAATGACATTAGGCTCCACGGGACATTCATTAGTTGGGGTTACGAGGGGGCCACAGGGCACTGGAATGGTAATTTCCTACATGGGACCCCAGTGACCCAGAGTGAGCTAGCTCAGCTGGTCTGAGCATGTGGCTAATGAGGACAAGGTCATGGTTTCTCTCCTGTGTGGGCCAATTAGTGTCACGTGGAAGGCGCGCTCCTGGGGCATCAGGCAGCAGCAGCCTTACACATGTGGCACTGGTCACTAGGATGGCTCAGTGTAGCTATCATCACTATCACAAACCCAACACAAAGCCTACATCTTCTTATTACGTAGCCCATTGTGTCCAAAACTTGGTCATTGACAGAGCACCTTCATGATTTTTGCCTTATCCTAAGCAGACCAGTACATTTTTATTTATTCAAGATTGTTCAATAAATTCTATAAATTGACTCACTTTTAAAAAGTTACCAATTTAAACAGTGACTCACTTTTCAGAGTAACCAGTGCCACACATGTAAGGCTGCTGCCTCACTTACAAGGAAGCTGTACGTCACTACCACCAATGGAAAATTGGGAATCTTGCCCTACATGAAAGTCCACGTTAAAATAAATACGTAACTATTGACATTAAAATGTCTTTGTGCCATTTGCAAACAGTTTCTAGGCCACGGTGATCAATGCACTGCGTGTTAATAAATGTTGCATGTATATAATCTGCATATGTTACATAATATCCACACTGGCAATAAAACGGTACCATCCACAAAAACAATATTATAAAACACCTGCTTTAGTGGGAAGAGCTGGGATCAGTGACTGGGGAGTTTCACACTTGAAGCAATGAAATTATTATTCTTAAAGCAATTTCAATACCAAGAACCTTTCTACTAGCCATAGATGTGTACCTATAAAAACTAAACTCTGAACAAATCCAGGGTTTAATTTACCTCTAGCTTTTGCTCAACAGTCGTGACTTTTGTTCACACCCTCCACTGGCACTATCATTAACATGGTGCTTCTTACACGTCCTATCATTATCATCTGTTTTGTGATAAAGCACAAACATGCAAAGCAGATGTTGACTGCACAACACCTCTGTTCTCCTTCAGTCATAAGCCAGTTCACGCTCATCTCCCCTGGTCGGCCAGTTCCTTATGGAGATCAAGATATAACCAAGAGTGGCGTTGGTAATAAAAATGTATTCCCTAATTAACTGGGCATGTTACATCCAATCCCGTTATGAAAATGTGCCCTGGAAGATGAATAAACATGAAAACACAGACACGAGGTTGAGAGACAGCCTAGCCACTTCCATTATTTCAGATTTCCAATACATTAAAAAATGAAGACATGTCAGAGCAGAGTTGTAAAAGTTCTGGTATATTTTTAAAATCCAACTGGAACAATGGACAGCGTTCAGTCCTCTCTGCGTATGTGACTGGTGTGCAGCCTCATTTGGAGCCGAGCCACAGTCTGCATATGAGGTCTCGGTGAATGTGAGGTCCCAAGGGTCCTCCCCTCCCCACCCCAGGCCCAGAGATGAACCCTGCCAGGAGCTTTGCCTCCTATAAAGATCTGGGCTCGAATATTCCATAAGACAACATTTGGCAAGAAACACAAAGTGGTCTGGGGAGTAGAAAGGCCAGAAGGTGAATCACTCCACTTTCCTTCTTGCGTCTCCTCTATCTTGTTATTCCCACTGCAGCCACTCCTGTTATTATCCCACTTTTATAGCTTTCTCATCATCCTTGAAAAGCCACTAATTGGTAGCAAGAGGGCCAGGCTATTGTATAAGTGCCAGAAGGACTTAGGTAGACTAGAAAATCAGAATGTTAAGAAGTGGGAAAGTAGTCATAGCTTTTCTTTCTTTGCTCATGAACCTGATGACTACTTTAACTACAAGAGCTTCCGTAAAGGATTGCACGCATGAATGCACATGTGCACACACACATACATATGCACAGATACGCATGCACACACACACATACACACATACATATGCACACATACATACAAGCACACACGCACATACGCACACACACGCAATACATATGCACATACACATGCACAAGCACACACATACACATACACATGCACACACGTGCACACATGCATACACATGCAAACACATATACACACACACACAGTGAAGACCAGGCAAAGGACTCCATGATGTTAATATCTACAAAGTTCTCTTGCTACTTGCTGGAACAGTAAGAGTGTGTAATCGGGGAGTGTTGTGTATGAATTTATGTAAAATAGTAGAAAAATAGTGTTGATTGAAAAATAATCTATGAGGGCTCTGTTGGTATTGCTTTGTGCTAAGACTGATGCATACTTCTGATCTTTGCCTCTGAAGGCAGAAAGTGATGAGCTAATTTGGTATTCTGGGTGAAGAATCTGGGGTCCAGTGCTACAGCCTCTTATCTACTGTTGTCAGGTCCAATTATGCCTCAGCCAAGTCCTCTCGCCCCCATCTCCTTGCCTGTCCCCAGAGCCAATCTGAGCACATCTGTTGCTCCATGCAAAGTATTTTGGCAGAAACTGCCCTCCCCTGTGCTGGGAGTCATTTGTCTTCACTGGCTTGGAACTATTTTTGCTTATATTTAAATAATGTAGGTTGAAAATATACATATATGTCTGTATATAATAGAGACCAAAGTGAAGTTATGACACCAAACTACAGATAATATAAGAGATTCCAACTCAAACAAATATTTAGAAGAAACTGTTTTAACCCCCCACATGCCAGATGAAGAACCCAGAAGGATTCTCAACATTTCCTTCCAGCATTACCTTTCATTTCAGTCCTCAGCTAGAACCCTCAGGGATCATGTCTCATATCCAGCCTCTCTTGGGTGGAGTAGGCTTTCGAAATCCAATACTTAGCCTTCATTTTGAAACACACAGTAGCAAGGACTCAGTAGACCTATCTCAGGTCACAGAGATCTTACCATGAAGTAACATACTTGGGGATGCATCCTACACGGGACGGCCCAAATGGCGAGTCAGTGCACCATGGGGTATGATATTGATGCCTTGCCTCTTGGGGCAGCTGGAACCTCTGGGACGGTTATTTCCAGCCACAAGTATCAACAGCTTCATCAAGGTCCCTTGAGGGTGGCCAAATGGAGGAAGGTACAAAGGTGTGGCCCACGGTCCTGCAAACATGGAACCTGCTGAGCCTGATGACATCCACATTGTTATGCTCCATGTCAATGAGTTGAATGCAGCAGCTAAGAAGTTGCTTCACCTGTGATAGCACATGCCACTGTCCATCATGAGCAAGGGCGCAGGGTAGCTACTGAAGGAGTTTGTATTCCAGTTGCCCAAGATGCCAGGATCAGCTACATAAACTGCAGAGCCCGGTGAAAAAAGAAAATACAGGGCCCCTTGTTCAAAAATTATTAAGAATTTCAAGATGGTGGCATCAGAACATTAAACTAAGCATAGGGTCCTTCCAAGTGCAGGGTCCTGTGCAGCTGTCTAGGTTGCAAGTCAGTGAAGCTGGTCCTGCAAGAAGCACAGCGTTAGGCCAACGTGGAACCAGTGGAAGTGGAAGTTCAACAGTGCCAGGGATGGGGACAGTTCTTGGCAGGCACAGCATTGAACCTGTCATCACACATATCAGATTCTTTCAGCTGTTTGTGACTGGCGTGCCCCTTTCTGTGGTATCCAAACTGGCTGTGCATGAGTGGTCTGCACATTAAAGCATTGTCATGATTTTGAAATACTTTAAGAAAGTTCCATTCGATTTGAAAGTCATTCACATGATTGCAGGAATTTCAACACTGCTGTTGTCAATGAAAGAAAAAGAACTATTTGTTTCTTAAAATATGACTCAGATGTTGTAAAATTTGGAATGATTTCAAAAAATGTTTTACTTTTTTTCACATGACTTACTTGTGTGAACAAAGTTTATCTTAGTGATGACTACCAAGAGCTTGAAGAGACCATTGATAAAAAGCGTTGGCCGGGCGCGGTGGCTCACGCCTGTAATCCCAGCACTTTGGGAGGCTGAGGTGGGTGGATCACGAGGTCAGGAGATCGAGACCATCCTGGCTAACACGGTGAAACCCTGTCTCTACTAAAAATACAAAAAATTAGCTGGGCGTGGTGGCAGGCGCCTGTAGTCCCAGCTACTCGGGAGGCTGAGTCAGGAGAATGGAGAATGCCGTGAACCCGGGAGGTGGAGCTTGCAGTGAGCCGAGATCACGCCACTGCACTCCAGCCTGGGTGACAGAGCAAGACTCCATCTCAAAAAAAAAAAAAAAAAAAAAAGTGTTGATGGGATTAAAAAAAATCTGATTAGGAATTGCTATTTTAAGCATAAAATCAGATATTATAAAGCTACATGCTAGCGCCGTGGCTCACCTCTGTAATCCCGGCACTTTGGGAGGCCGAGGCAGGCGGATCACTTGAGGTCAGGAATTCGAGACCAGCCTGGCCAACATGGTGAAACCCTGTCTCTACTGAAAATACAAAAATTAGCCAGGCATGATGGTGTGTGTGCCTATAATCCCAGCTTCTCTGGAGGCTGAGGCAGGAGAATCGCTTGAACCTGGGAGGCGGAGGTTGCAGTGAGCTGAGATCATGCCACTGCACTCCAGCCTGGGTGACAGAGCAAGACTCTGTCTCAAAAAGAGAGAAAAAAAGCTATGTTCATAAAAGCAAATGCAAGCTGGGCATGGCAGCTCATGCCTGTAATCCCAGAACTTTGGGAGGCCGAGGTTGGCGGATCACAAGGTCAGGAGATTGAGCCCATCCTGACCAACACAGTGAAACCCCGTCTCTACTAAAAATACAAAAAATTAGCCGGGCGTGGTGGCACGTGCCTATATTCCCAGCTACTTGGGAGGCTGAGGCAGGAGAATCGCTTGAACCTGGGAGGCAGAGGTTGCAATGAGCCGAGATCACACCACTGCACTCCAACCTGACGACAGAGCAAGACTCCGTCTCAAAAATAATAATAATAAATTAAATAAAATTAAATGCAAATTTCTTATTAAAAATTGAAGAGGTTATTTTGGGGGAATTTTGTAAAACTTTAGTATTTAATGTCTTCTTTAAATTTTGAGCTTTATTTTCTTATATAATGAAGGCTTTTGCCAAGTCCCATATAGATACCCCAAGTCCTCTTCAATTTATTCCAATGTGTGGCTTAAAATGTTATTATTTTCCATGTGAAGCAAAAACTGTTGACAGCAGTACTCTAGCCAGCAGCTATCTCAGGAAGTCTGAAGACTATGAAGAAACTCATTTGCTTTTGCCCACTGGTGGTAGGAGAGGCTACTGGGGTTTGATCTGGGAAATCAAGCCATGACAAAAACAGAATTCAATCATGGTGACAATGAATAGTACTTCATAGAGGTGTTGAAATGATTCCATGAGACTGAATTGAAAAGCACTCAGAATGATGCTTGGAATGTAGGAAATACTCAGTGAATGAGAGTTGCTATTACCTGGTACCCTGATAGCTAAAGCATTGGCAAGTTCTGTTGATTCTGTGTCCATGATGCCTTAGCTCTGTTCTAGACTTTACTTTCCATTCCTATTGTCTCACTCCACCATAATTTATTATTTTACTACTGCTCACCTGGACAATTATATGAGCCTCTTAATTTGCCTTTTAGCTTCTAGAGTCTTTTTTGTTTTTTAAGTGACTTGAAGAAGAAGTTAGAGTCTTCATTTTTTACCTATCTGGTTCAGTTGGGATGCTTTAGACTTCAAGAAGCAGACTACCCAACTAAAACTTACTATTTCATACATTAAGACATCCAAAGTTGTCAGAGTTGGTTCAGCAACCAAACAATATCAGGGCTCAGGTTTAGGGAATGTGTGTGTGTGGTGGCGGGTGGGGGAGCGGGGGTTGTTTTATTGGTTTTTTTTAGACAGAGTCTCGTTCTGTCACCCAGGCTGGAGTGCAGTGGTGCAATCATGGCTCACTGCAGCCTCTGCCTCTCAGGCTCCAGTGATCCTCCTGCCTCAGCCTCCCAAGTAGCTGCCACTATAAGCATACACCACCATGCCTGGCTAATTTTTGTATATTTTGTATAGTCAGGGGTCTTGCCATGTTGCCCAGGCTGCCCTCGAACTCCTGGACTCAAGCAGTCTGCCTGCTTCAGCCTCCCAAAGTGCTGGGATTACAGGTATGAGCCACCGCACCCAGCTGTGTGTGGCATTTTGTTTGTTTGTTTTGTCTTCCTCCTCATGGTCTCATTAAGGCTGCCGTAGCTCCAGCCATCACCTTCACTCATGATAACATCCAAAGGTATGGAGGAAAGGAGTGTCCTACCTGTGTATCTCTTTTTACCAGGAAGGGAAATTCTTCCACAAAGCCTATTACATTTCCCAGAATACATCCACCTTAAAGCAATCACAGGCAAAGAGGAATGGGATTACAATAACTGGTTAGAGCATTCATCATTCATCCCGGGGCCTGAGCCTACATTCCCTAGGCATAGCCCTGGCCCTATACCCAAACAAAATTGGGACTCCTGTAGGCGGGAAGGCATGATGGCTGTTGGTAAACAACCAACTACTCCAGCCAGTCCTTCCTACACCCCCTTGGCAGATTCATCAAGCATTTCCTGCTTGAACAAGGTTCCTCTACTGTGTAAAGAAGTCCCGGTTCCCTGGCCTGAAATTAAGTGTTCGGCTCCTAATCTATCAGACGAGGTCACATTTTCCCAGAAAAATCGTCTTGAAGAATCTGACACTTTTTTTTCACAGCCCCTCATCGCCTTTTTTGTAATTATGCATGAATTTGGGGACTACACGACTAGTGTCTCTGCCCAACCAACTCCAAAATGCAACCTCCACGAGGATTGTGGCTTTTTCTCACTGTTATACCCGATACCTAGCACAGTACTTGAGCATGAAAGGTTTTCACAAATATTTGTTGGATGAATGAATGTACATGCCTGACGAAGGGAGCAAGAAGCAATTTCAACAGTTAGATATGTAATTTGGCAAAAGCAGGTTTCTATTTAGCTATCAAAAGAGGTTGAAAGAATTTGGTACCTCGACATCACCAACATTTTGTTGAAGGACAAATTGCCAAGCCCCATGTACATGTGGGACCATTAGTAATTCTGTTGCTATGCAAATTAAAACAGTGATGTATGATTTATAGCTTTAATAACATTCTGAAGGCTCTTAAATTTTAATCACTTGCAACATCCTTTTTAATATTCAATTACTTTATTAACTAATTAGGTCACTTGCTGAAAAAGCACATAAGGCTGGTGCTATTATCAGCTGAGCCTCACAAAATACCTTTGAAATGGTGCAAATGGTTTATTTATTTTAAACAGATCATTAAGATGCTATAATTAATAAACTAATTACAAAAAAAGGCCCAATAGTGATAGATGCACAAATAAAATAGCAATGTCCAATGGATTAGTCATTTTTACATACATACATCAAGGGGCAAAAATTAAATGAAAACCCCCTGTAAAAAGTGCTTTCCTAAATAATTAATTTTGCAATGACTGATAACCCTATCACGGCAAACCTAACTTGAGGCTCATTCATTACACAAACCTGTAATGTGTACTTTCGTTTTATCTAATGACACTCTGGATGGAAAATCCACAGCAAGCGAAACTTGGTCTTCCTTTATTACTTACAAGAGCCCTAATTTGCAGACAGAGTTAGGCACTTCACCACTTAGTGCGTTGGAGTGAAGCGAGCCTCCCGCAGGAGACTCAGAAGGAGACATATACCGGGGCAGCAGCATCCCTGCTTATTGATTTCTCAGCACCGAGTTAAGGTCTTCAAAGCAAACAATGCGAACAAAGAAAGCCAGGGCCAACCCTGCAGGGATTTTTCACCCAATATTCTCAAAGGAGACTGTGGATCGCAGCACTAGCCCTGCATTGCTAATGCACAGAGCTGTTGGGACTATTGCTGGGGTGGGGACAGGGGCGGCTTTCAGGCTCAGAGTAGAATTTTATTTCTGGGATCAGGGTTAAGTAAGAGGAACTAAATCCTTTTGTTGAGTTGGGAAAGAACACTGTCAAATCCTGAGGCCAGGTCATTTTTCTAGCTCAGAATAATAATTTTTTTTTTTTTTTGAGACAGAATCTCACTCTTGTCGCCCAGGCTGGAGTGCACTGGCATAATCTCCAACCTCTGCCTCCTGGGTTCAAGTGATTCTCCTGCCTCAGCCTCCCGAGTAGCTGGGATTACAGATGTGCACCACCACACCTGGCTAATTTTTGTATTTTTAGTAGAGACAGAGTTTCACCATGTTGGCGAGGCTGGTCTTGAACCCCTGACCTCAGGTGATCTGCCTGCCTCGGCCTTCCAAAGTGCTGGAAATACAGGCATGAGCCACCGCATGTGGCCAAATAATAAAATTTTTGAAACATAATAGCCAGCCAGGTGTAGTGGCTCATGCCTGTAATTCCAGTGCTTTGGGAGGTTGAGGTGGGAGGATCATTTGAGGCCAGGAGTTCAAGACTAACCTGGACAACATAGTGAGACCCCTACCTCTACAAAAAGTAAAAATAAAACAGCTGAGCACTATGGTGTGCACCTGTAGTCCCAGCTATTTGGGAGGCTGAGGCATGAGGATTGCTTGAGCCCATGCATTCAAGGCTGCAGTGAGCTGTCATCACACCAGTGCTCTCCAGCCTGGGCGACACAGCAAGATTCCTAACTCAAAAAAAAAAAAAAATTAAAATACTAGCCACCTATCTACTTACTAGACACTGTTGCGGATTGCCTGTAGTGTCTCCTTGAATATCCTTGCAAACATCAAAATCTACCAAACAGCTCTTCTAGGGTTCCTTTCAATTCTAAATTTTGTAATTTTTTTCTGCTCTTATTTTCCCTGTGTTTTGCATATTCCATGGTATTTATCCTGTCAACATTGATTTGCTAAGCTCCTTTTAGGACCAGGCAGTGTTCTAACCTGGAGACACTGGGTGAACGGGACAGATAAGTTCCTGCTCTCATGGCATTTACATTCTACTGGGGGAGACGGACCATCCACTTAGAAACAAAATATAAATAAGAACTTTAGATGATGCAAAGTGCCATGCAAAAACAAGAAACAGGAGGCTGGGCGCAGTGGCTCACGCCTGTAATCCCAACACTTTGGGAGGCCAAGGCGGGCGGATCACAAGGTGAGGAGTTCAAGACCAGGCTGGCCAACATGGTGAAACCCCTTCTCTACTAAAAATACAAAAATTAGCCAGGTGTGGTGGTGGGTGCCTGTAATCCCAGTTACTCGGGAGGCTGAGGCAGAAGAATCGCTTGAATCTGGGAGGCAGAAGTTGCAGTGAGCCAAGAGCTCACCATTGCACTCCAGCCTGGGCAACAAGAGTGAAACTCCGTCTCAAAAAAAAAGAAAAAAGAAACAGGAGAATGTGATAGAGGGTGTCTGGGGTAGCTCTTTGTAAGTCATCAGGGAAGGTCTCTCCAAGGAAAGTGACATTCGCAAATGGACAGCAGGGTCTTGAACAACTGAAAGCGCTTCTTCCCAGTTTTACCAGTTGTTTTCCGCCTTGTGTCCTTTTCGAGTGGGTGAATGCAGAAGGCAGTGAGGGGAGAGATACAGGGATGCCAGGTGTGGTGAGAGTGGCAGGTAAGAGAAAGACTGAAGGGAAATGATAGATAGCATTATGATGTCACTATCGTTTTCACTATTGTTAGTTGCTTGCAATCTGCCTATAAAATGAATGTGTGTGCGTTTTGCTGTTAGTGTGTGTCCGGGTAGGTGAAAAACTGCAAAGAGAGCTATTTCTCATTCTCTTACTTCTTTCCCGTCACTGTCATGCTCTGCAAGTTGTAACAGCTATGTTTAATGTATTCCCAATCTGTTTCAGCACCTTCGTGATGTGTTGATGGAACTTTAAAATATTCATAAATTTCTACATTGCCCCACGGATGCTAAGTTCTTTGGAAGAGCAGCCTAGCCTAGGCAATAAATCTGACCCATGGGTGCTGCTCGAGTATGTAGAAAAATGTCGTTTCTCCTGGGTCCCAAAGGGAAAACATCAGAAAAGACCCCCTTAATCTCTTAACTGGGAACTAAACAGCATTCCAGCAACATATGACCCTCCCTTCCTGGGTCCCTTATCTGGTGGGCTTATTGGCACCTTTTTTTCTTTTTCACCCTTAGGAACCGATATATATATATGCAATTCTGAGCACAAGCTGAATTATGTCTCAGAGATGGATTAAGAACATTGTTTTCAAATGAGACAAGAAAAGGTTAAATATAAGCAGACCCCTATATGAATAAATGAACTACTTTGGTGAATAAAGTTACTATCACATTCAAATAAATACACTCAGCCCTCTGTATCTGCGGGTTCCGTACCCTCGGATTCAACCAAGAGCTGATGGAAACTATTCAGAAAAAAATTGCAACAACAGAAATAATACAAATAAAAATACAGTACAACTATTTACATAGCATTTACATTATATTAGATATATAAATAATCTAGAGATGATGTAAAGTATACGGGAATTTCAGAACAGGAATCTCTGAGGAAAAGAAATAAATAAAAAATAAATAATAGGCCGGGTGTGGTAGCTCATACCTGTAATCCCAGCACTTTAGGAGGCCCAGCGGGGGCGGATGACTTGAGGCCGGGAGTTTGAGATCAGCCTGGCCAACATGGTGAAACCCTGTCTCTACTAAAAATACAAAAATTAGCTGGGCATGGTGGTGCGTACCTGTAATCTCAGCTACTCAGGAGGCTGGGGCAGGAAAATCACTTGAACCTGGGAGGTGGAGGTTACAGTGAGCCTGAGATCGCACCACCGCACTCCAGGCTGGGTGACAGAGCAAGACTCCATCTCAAAAATAAATAAATACTAATAATAAAGTGTATGGGAGGAGACACATAGGTTATGTGCAGATCCTGCACCATTTTATATCTGTGACTTGGGTGTCTGTGGATTGTGGTATCTACTGGGGACCTGGAACCAATCCCCGTCAGACACCGGGGACGACCGTAGTTGTGCTTTCCTTGTTCACCAACCCAAAATAGATGCTAATCAAGGATCTAAGTCAAAGGAGTGTATTAGTGATTCTCTAGCATTAAGGACAAGAAGAGCTGTGAGTTTTGCAGTGAACTTGGACAAGAAAAAGCTAGTTCTATACATCTTTCCTGTCCTCAAAAGAGATGAGAAGGCCCTTTCAAAGTCTTCACAAAAGCTTCTATTTCTCATTGTCATGGTTTTCTCTAAGTACCACATGGTTTAAAATAACCTTTTTTTTTTTTTTTAGTTGAAGTCTCATTCTGTCACTCAGACTGGAGTGCAGTGGCACGATCTTGGCTCACTGCAACCTCCGCCTCCCGGGTTCAAGTGATTCGTCTGCCTCAGCCTCCCGAGTAGCTGGGACTACAGGTGTGCACCACCACACCTGGCTAATTTTTGTGTTTTTAGTAGAGATGGGGTTTCACCATGTTGGCCAGAGTGGTCTCGAACTCCAGAACTCGTGATCTGCTCACCTCAGCCTCCCAAAGTGCTGGGATTACAGGCATGAGCCACCATACTCAGCCCAAAGTAAACTATTCTTATTCCATTTTTGTTTCATTTGATCACTGGATCACTGGCATTGTAACAGCATTATAATCTACAAATTGTCTTTGCAAATCTCTGTGTCTGCCACTTTGAATATTATTAAGTAGGTCTTGTCTAAGAAAATGAACTACTGTAAACCTTTTTTTTTTTTTTTTTTTTGAGACAGGGAGACAGGGTCTTGTTCTATTGCCCAGGCTGGAGTGCAGTGGCGCCAGCATGGCTCACTGTAGTCTTGACCTTCCAGGACTCAAGTGATCCTCCCAGCTCAGCCTCCCGAGTAATCAGTACTGCAGGCCTATGCCACCACACCTGGCTAATTTTTTTTGTATTTTTTTGTAGACATGGAGTCTACAAAAACCAAGCTGTTGCCCAGGCTGGTCTTGAACTTCTGGGCTCGAGCAATCCTCCTGCTTCGATCCTTTTCACTTCCGATCCTCTCATTTTGGCCTTCCAAAATGCTGGGATTACAGTCGTGAGCCACTGTGCGTGGCTTTGTAAACCATTGTTTTAGAAAAATAAATTCTGAATTATAAATAGTTACTAAGAAAAATTGGGGATCACACTCCATCTTGATCTTTCCTTTTTAAAATTTAGAACTGGATCAAGGTGGTTGGGTTTTGAGATCTCCAAAGGACTGTAAAAAAAAACAGCCTTCGAGCCCTCAGATGAGAGGTTGACCCCTGGACACACATCTTCTATGCAAGAGTGGATTCGTCAGGGTCCTGTGCTCTCTCTCACTTTGCCCTCCCTTTGATGCAGCTAGGGCGTGAGAAAGCAAGTGTGCTGAGAGGAAACAGCCACAAACACAGTAGTGTGTGTGCTGGGGCTCAGCAACTCGTTTTCACAGCTGGTAGTGACCAGACCTTGTTGATTGAACATCCTATCAGTAAAATAGTTTGTGTACCACCTCCAGGTATAAAATAGATACCTCGGTTATTTGTGGTGGTTCACACCTGTAATCCCAGCACTTTGGGAGGCCAAGGTGGGCGGATCACCTGAGGTCAGGATTTTGAGACTAGCTTGGCCAACATGGATTGGCCAACAGGATTTTGAGACTAGCTTGGCCAACCCCATCTTTACTAAAAATACAAAAAGAAAAAGCCGGGCAAGGTGGTGCATGCCTGTAGTCCCAGCTACTTGGGAGGCTGAGGCAGGAGAATTGCTTGAACCTGGGAGGTGGAGGTTGCAGTGAGCCAAGATCTCACCACTGCACTCCAGCCTGGGCGACAGAGTGAGACTCTGTCTCAGAAAAAAAGTAATCAAAAAGTTAGGTGTGGGGCCAGGTGTGGTGGCTTATGCCTGTAATCCCAGCTACTCAGAAGGCCAAGGCAGGAAGATTGCTTGAGCCCAAGAGGTTGAGACCAGGCTGGGCAACATAGTGGGACTCGGTTGCTACAAAAAATAAAAAAGAAATTAGCTGGGTTTGGTGGCACATGTTGTGGTGCCAGCTACTTGGGAGGCTGGGGCAGGTGGATCACTTGAGCCCAGGAGGTTGAGGCTAGAGAGAGCTATAATGGTGCCACTGCACTCCAGCCTGGAAAAAGAAAAAAAGAGGCCAGGCGCGGTGGCTCTTGCCTGTAATCCTAGCACTTTGGGAGGCCAAGGCGGGTGGATCACAAGGTCAGGAGTTCAAGACCAGCCTGGCCAAGATGGTGAAACCCCGTCTCTACTAAAACTACAAAAATTAGCCGGGCGTGGTGGTGGGCGCTTGTAATCCCAGCTACTCGGGAGGCTGTGGCAGACAATTGCTTGAACCCGTGAGGCGGAGGTTGCAGTGAGCCGCGATCTCCCCACTGCACTCCAGCCTGGGCGACAGAGCGAGTCTCTGTCTCAAAAAAAAAAAAAAAAAAAAAAAGAAAGGAAAAGAACAGAAAAGAAAAAATTAAGTGTGTAATTATTAAATTTAAGAATATTCATCTACCAAAAATCACAAAACAAAAACCAACCAAAAAAAAACCCAAACTGCCATTCATTGGGCAACATTGCTTCAGCTACTGAAAAACCAGCACTGTATCTGCCAGGTCCTCCTGTAGTGGGTTTGTGCAGGCTGTCCTGATGACACCTGTAATCAAGCCGCAGACCGTATCCTCAACTCCATCCTGTGCTTTCCTTTTCCATTTGGAGGCAGTAAAATTGACAAGGCTTGGCACTCTGCCTGGGTTCCCGGGCTTTGATGTGGTGTAAGAGGCCAGGCCTCGCTTCCTCCACCCATCCAGTGATCTGAATCAATGAGACGTAGCCCAGGAGCCTCTTCCCATACCATAGATCTCTGTTTTTTGTTAAGAAATATGATCTCATTTGGTGTTAGTGGTGCTAAATATTTGAGAATTTACTTGCATATTCTCTGGAAATAGCCCATGTTTTTCTCCTCAGTCTATCATACAGGTTATAAAACCTCAGTTTCTTCTTCTGGTTAATGAGGCTAATACACTTACTACTTAGCCTAGTGCAACTGAGACATGGTGAGCAGAAGAGAGTCCATTCTTTTTTTTTTTTTTTTCTTTTGAGAAGGAGTAAGAGGATATGCCGTATGGCACGGTGGCTCACGCCTTTAAAGCCAGCACTTTCTAAGGCCAAAGCAGGCAGATCACTTGAGCCCAGAAGTTCAAGACCAGCTTGGGCAATATGGTGAGACTCTGTCTCTACCAAAATATATATACAAAAATTAGCCTGTCATGGTGGCGCACACCTGTAGTCCCAGCTACTCAAGAGGCTGAGGTGGAAGGATCTCTTGAGCCTGGGAGGTGGAGCTTGCAGTGAGCCGAGATAATGCCACTGCACTCCAGCCTGGGCAACAAGAGCCAGACTCTGTCTCAAAAAAAAAAAAAAAAAAAAAAAAAAAGAAACTAGCCAGGTGTAGTGGCTGGTGCCTGTAGTCCCAGCTACTTAGGAGGCTGAGGCAGGAGAATTGCTTGAACCCGGTAGGCAGAGGTTGCAGTGAGCTGAGATTGCACCACTGCACTCCAGCCTGGGCAACAGAGCAAGACTGTCTCTAAAAAAGAAATGAAATTCTAGAACATGATACAGCATGGATGACCTTGAGGACATTATGCTAAGAGAAATGTCAGTCACAAAAGGACAAATACGGTATGATTCTACTTATATATCTACTTAGGGTAGTCAAATTCATAGAAAGTAGAGAGGTGGTTGGCGGGGAATGGAGGAGAGAGGGCTGGGGCGTTAGTGTTTAACGGGTGCAGAGTTTCAGTTTGGGAAGATGAGAAGTTCTAGAGATGGAGGGTGGTGATGATGGTTGCACAATAATGTGAACGTAAGCCACTGAACTGTACTTAGAAATGGTTAAAATGGTAAAATTTCGTGTGTTTTACCTCATTTATACACATATATATTTACCACATTATACACTTACCACATTCTACACATATGGTATGTGTATTCTATCACAATTTGAAAAGATAAGCCAAATGGCATATAGAAGGTGCTTAAAAGAACTACCGAGGGCTTGAATTTCCAGTTTTCTTCCTTAGCCATAATATTCTCCTAAAACATATCTGTGAGCACTTGGATGAGAACAGTGATGGGTACATATTTGGCTGTGAAAGTGTAGGCTTGCCTAGGTCTAATCTTCCCTCACACAGGATATAATCTCAAACAAGGCTTCTGTGGATATAGTGTCCCTCAAGACATCTCAACCAAGAAACTGGGGAAGTGTGCTCATCACCACACCACAGTTGGGGTAGCACCATTCACTCTAAGGGCCCATTTAGAACAGTTAATCAACACCAGAATCGCTGTCTGCACAAGGAGTAAGGAATTTCTTCTGAAGGACCCAACAAATTATGTTCCCAACTTAACTGCAGATTTCATCCTAAGAATTTTCAATTTCACTGGAAGTCCGTCTTGCACCAATTTGATGCTGACATTTCCCGCCTTTCCCATCTGGAGATGACTCCTTTGTTTTAAGAAGTCTTGGTGAACATGTGGTTTAGTGGAACAAAATGGAAGACGTTTTTGAGACACAGACGTTGTATGTAAGCCTCAAATCAGGCTCTCAGGAAAAATAAGTTGTACATCAGAAACACGGCCACCAGTTTGCGAAGAGTGTCAGCACGAGCGTAGAGATACAAAGACATGAGGACCTATGAGTTGATTGTTAACCTCCCAAACTCAATTCAGTGTGACAGTGACACTTCACAGCACATTGCATCCAATCTCATTTGAAGCTGACAAAGATTGTTTCTGCTTTACATCTACTGGTTTATTAATGGTCTACAGCCTCTTAAGCAGATGCATATTCATTAGGTAGCCAGCTGTTAGGAGGTTCCCAGATGTCGAATGTAACTCTGTCTTGGAACATATATTTTTTTTTCCTTATCATGAAACAAAGTAATTGAGGCCTTATTAAAGAACCAGTTAATTACTAAAGCGGTACCTTATGCCACCCATCATTCAAATCTGGTAACTCTTGGGACATCTAAAATTTTTGGTGAAGACACAGTATTTAAAAGCCAATCTTTTTTCTGTATTTTATATAGAGATAGATACTGTATGGGTAGACAGAAGGTATGTGCAAAGTTCTTAACAACTGACAAATTCTTTTCCTTGATTCATCACAGGAATTAGGTCTAAGGGATAATACTGATAAACCTAGTAAATTAGTTAAAATTAAAATACTTTAATAATATTTCTTTTATCTAACTCTATTACTTTCCTCTAAAAGAGGACTTGAAAAATGGTTCTTTGTGTAACCCATGCCTCAAACCTCATTTTATATTTTCCATTAAACAGAGTATTTTTTTCCTCCATCAAAAATAAGGTAGTTCAGCTACTGGCAATCCAAGCAGGGTTTTCAAATTACCAGGTATTTCTAAATGCTCTTTAAAACCCTACTCTAAAGATGCCAATTCAAATATTCCCTGAAGAACTTAAATCTAGAAATTCCATTTCTACTTTTATTTGGTAGCTGGACATCTCAATTCTATTTCTCAAGTGCAAGAATCACAGCAGCAGATGAAAAATGGCCGAGAGCATGCAATATTTCCAATTGTTGAGTGCACTTTTTGAAATGGATTCCTCAGCCAAGCAATTCCATGCCATCCACCTTTAGCCTGCGAATTATTCTTAACATATCTTTTGATCCCTTGAGGTGCCTTTGTGTTATATTACTACTCCAAATCTGCTGGATTTTTCTGCTCTCGGATTTGGCTAAGGTCTTATGCTAAGTTATGTCACCATTTCTACAAGACAGAAGATTTACCCTTCAGAAGAGATCAGTTTTTATTTGCTCTGTGGCCCATCTCCTGCTGTTGACCTTTAGAAAATGCAAATAGATTACATAAACATTTCAGGGCTGATTTTAAAAACATAGTAGTTAACAACCCTTTACTAGCTGTCTACCATGTGTGGAACGTTACGTGGCATCTGGGGACAACGTGATCAGAGCGCAGGGATATGCAAGAAAAAGCTGACAATTTATCTGTGTGGCATGTACAATCTCCAAATTCAAAGATCTGAAATATTAATAGAGGGGAATGAGGACAGTGCAGTAACACTGAACTTGGATTCCAGGGACCTGTCCTAGGAAATGTGGCTTTCATAACTACCTTGATCTCTCAGTCAGTCTCAGTTTCCTTGTCTGTAACAAGGAAATAATAAGTGTCTTAACTTTTTGGCTTAGAGTTATTGTGAAAATCAGGCAAGAAAAGAGTGTGAATCCACTCTGTAAGCTGTAATATGCAAATGCAAGTTATCACTATTTGAAATACACAATTTGCATATAAAAACGGTCCCTTAGATACAAACAATTCATATCTTTCACATATAAATGAACTATTAATGCATTTCAGGTTAAATAGTGAATATATCGAATCAATATTACCAATTTTCCATTCAAGTTTCTTAAAGCCCAAGTAGAGTGAGCCCTATTCTATATGACAAGTATGGCAAGGAAAGCAAAAGGGGCCTTCAGAATATTCCATTTCTGGTGGTGATAACCCCCTCTGGGGAACTTTTGAGGAGAATAAAGTAATTATTTCTCTCAGCACACCGAACGCGTTACTAACATGGTCCTTGCCTATCTCCCTGATTCCACTCCTTTTATGCAGAGCTCCAGCTACATCTATGAGCTTCTCTGGTAGCTCTTTCTCCACAAGGAGTCCTCACACGTGGAGTTCTCCGTGGCCGAACGACACTCTGTCTGGCTTAGCATGGTTGTCCCCTTCTCATCATTCTTCAGATCTCTGTGTAAAAGCTCCCTTCTCAGAGGGGGCATCTGGAGTGATCCCACCTAAATTAGGCCTCTGCTCCTATTCTTTTCTAACAGCACCATGACTAGCTCCTTCAGAACACTTAACGCCTGTCCACACTTCCATGTGATCTTACAGATTAGTTTCTGTTCCAGTTAGCATAATACGTAACACAACTATAGAACTATTAAATCAGTAGACATGCACTGTGTACCAGAAGAAATCATCTCAAAAACTGAGCAAATGCTATGATGTCACCAATTTTTCATATTCAGAATCCAGGGGGGCAAATCTCATGTGACAGGCATTTTGCTGACGACTGGTGAAAGGCAAAGCTAAATTCTTTGTACCTCAAGCAGGTCATCTTATAACCAGAAAAAATCAAGTAAATGGATACATAGTATACTAGAGAATCATCTTATCTGATAACTCTACATAGTTGCAGTTGCCAAGCCAGGATGGGGACCACTGAGGGGCCCTGAGACCATTCCCAGAAGTTGCAAGTTCCAACTTTTTCCAATCACCTACCCCTGAGACCAGACTTGTTTCACAAACTTCCTCCAAAATAACATATCACAGCAGATTGAATGCAGAAACAAGTAAAAGAGCCCAGCTACATTCTATTATGTTGGTGCAAAAGTATCTGCAGTTTTCCCACTGAAATGCCAAAAACCACAATTACTTTTGCACCAACCTGGTATTATGTCAGGTATGAAAGAGATTCGCAATAATGTAAAACCATGCTGCTGTTCTCAGAAATTTTTATTTTGGAAAATATAGCTTATAAAGTTGCAGTTTGTTAACACATAATAATGGGTTATTGTGAAACCAATTAATAATTTTAAAGCTTTGCACTTTATATTTCAAATAAACATTGATAGATGCAACCCACATAAATAACAGCTCCTTGAAGTCCTCAGTTTTTAAGGTTGTAAAGAGGGATCTGAGACCAAAATGCTCCATAGACCAACTGTAAGCACTCTTACTTCATTACAAAGTAGAAAAAAGTGTGCTTGGAGCATTTAAAGACCACAACTGCAAGATGTACAGTTAAGAAAAATCAGGCCAGGTGTGGTGGCTCATGCTTGTAATCCTAACACTTTGGGAGGCCAAGGCAGCAGGATCACTTGAGCTCAGGAGTTCGAGACCAGCCTGGGCAACCTGGTGGGACCTTGTTTCTATTAAAGAAATAAAGAAAAGAAGAAAAATCAAATGGAAAGGAAAAGTAGGATTTCATAGTTCATAATTCAGTTATTTAAAATGACATTTAAAGAACAGGAAACAAAACCCACTTTTGCCCTTCAGGGCTTCAAATCCCTGGGAAGGTAAACCTTCAATTGGCCATGTGCTGATCTGCCGCCCATTGGGGTAAGCAAGCCCAGAGAAAGGGCTGCGGTAGCTACTCATGGCTCCACGGGAACAATGTATTAGGCAACGCTGCCATTTAATAAAGGAAGACACACAAGAATTAAGGTCACAGGCTGGGCAGGATGGCTCACAACTATAATCCCAGCACTTCGGGAGGCTGAGGCAGACTAATTGCTTGAGCCCACGTGTTCAAGGCCAGCCTGGGCAAAACAGGGAGATCCTGTCTACTAAAATTAAAAATTTAGCCAGGTGTGTGGCACACACCGGTAGTCCCAACTACTTGGGAGGCTCTTGTGTAAGGATTGCTTGCACCCGAGAAGTTGGGGCTGCAATGAGCCATGATTGTGCCACTGCACTCCAGCTTGGGTGACAGAGCAAGACCCTATTTCAACAACAAAAAAAGGAATTAAGGTCATAGTGAGTTAAAAAATCCTTTCATGGATTTCATTTAGTCTTTATATCTGATTGCTCATCTGGGTATTAGAAGAATAGCAAGATCAGTCAACAAAACTGCAAGTCAATCAATTAAAAAACTGATCTCTATAGCTTGTAAAAGTGGAGAACATTCTAATGAGAATTGTGTGGCAAATCCTATACCAAGAGCTCACTTTAATAGCTCTCTGCCTCACATCTAAACTAATGTGGTAAGAAACGACTCAATACATTCACAGAACAATTCATTTACAATTTCCTTGACAGTTAAAAAAAAAAAAGTGGAGTTAAATTCATGCAGCTAGTAAAACCCCTTAATTAGAAACCAACTTACGAGTCTCTCAGGCTTTCTTTACTATACTCTGGTTTCAGGAATAAAACAGGAACACAAACTTTTGAATTTGCTGTGTAAATTGACATGGGAAGTGTTTAGCACAGCGACTGGCACAAATAAAGTTGCTGATATGTAAGCATTTACATAAAGAATGGGAGGCAGAAAAACATGCACTGCACATATGTCAGTGCTGGTGGACCTCACTCATCATTTATTTAATTATCCAACATTTCAAGACTTAAGTTCATTTTGGAAAAAATGAGGGCCTAGAGAGGTCAGGTAAATTCTCAAGGTCATGCAGATGGTGGGTGATTGAAATGGGCTTCCCAGCACATGGTCTTTCCACAATGCAGTCAGGGCTGTCTTCAGGAGAGCTGAAATACACAGCATTTACCTCAGAAATCCATTTAATATAAGGTGTGCTCCATGCTTAGTATAGATTTAGCTGTATTTCCTAATGTCTCAGCTAGGAAACTATACCACCGTGCTTTATCTTCAAAATGAGACACTGCAAAGTTCAGAAAGATGGCAAATTCTTTAATTCATCTGCCAAAAAGAAAAACTGTTTCATAAATATTTGAGAGAAAAAAAGTACTAACCCTTCCCTCCAAATGTAACTATGGCCTCAACTTGCTAGTGATTACCCTCAAACCAATAGTATTATGGTTATCATTCAGGCAATTAAAAAAAGGAAACACCTAACCAAAGTACTATTTAAAAACAGTGTATATGGTTCTCGAAGACATCAGAGAAGTGGGGGAAAAAAAAAAAACCCTAGAGGGAAGGAAACAAAAATGAATCTGGAGTGGCCGTGTAGACTCACCACACATAAATTGCTGGAACAGTATCAACCTTCCCCTCACACCATTAGGCAGAATACAAAATTGATACAAGCAAAAAAACTCTGGTTGAAGAACGAAAGGGTATAGGATGGGCTGAAGGAAACCCAATAATGAAAGAAAGGAAGAGTATTTTCTCCCCAACTCCAAATGATTTGGGGGTATTTGTGCCTTTCTTCAAGTATAACTTAGTAACCCCTTCGGAGACAAATCATTAAACTGGACAGACATTCAGTGAGACAACTGTTGTTTTTCTCTTTCACGGGCTCTGAAAGAAAAATACTGATAAGAAACTATAAGTTGAAGTTCAAAAAAAAAAAAGATATAATGTAGGAGGGCATGATACAGAAAATGCTTTAGAGGTCAATCTGATTAGAGAAAGAATTAAAACACAAAGGTTCAGATAAACATTTACTTCGTCTAAGAACCATACATATTTGAGAAAGTGAAGATATACTTCTTAAAGAAAAAATTTACTTAAGATGATCGGTTTTAAATATCAGGGACCATATTCTACTATGCGGCCACCAGAGGCTGGCTTGATTGCTCTGAAGTAACAACACTTGAAAGCTCCTATTCTTTGAAACTAAGTTAAACACATTGAATTGTTGAAAGATTAAAAACCGCAGTCAGCTAATTACACTCACTCTCATCTCTTATTCAGCAAATGAATCACTTTTCATTACCACTTAGCTGAAGTACATGAATTTCTGCCTAATTAGAAATGTTGTAGATGGAACATTAGCAAGAATGGAGCAGGTCAGGATATCTTTGCTGCTTCATTTTTAATTCCTAACAGTAGAGTCTGATAGGAAAGAATAGAGAAGTCATTAAATAATTTTAAATTATTTATAAAAATTACTTTGCCCAAACTATAATTATTTTTTCCCCAAATGGTCTCAAATGTCTAACAGAACGAAAGAAAAAGCAGTTCAACATTGATTTTAATGAACATTTTAATGTTATGTATAACAGAACATTATGAATATAATGGAAATAAAGTTTTATCAATTTAATAAAAAAATTTTCAACATAACATGGGGAGGTAATAATTTGATATCTATATTATAGTATTTATTTTGAAAAATATTCCCAGCTTGAGGGTAAAACAATTAATTTTGCATTCCAAACTCTAGAATCATGATTTTCATGTGAGCTTAATGCAGAATTACAGCAGAAAAACAAAAACATTTTCATTAATTTCCTTTGTCATTAAATCAATAAAATCTTTGACTGCTACAGGTCTCCTTTAACAATATATATTTAACTCCTCTATTGGAACCATATTGCTAATGCTGCATTATATACACTCAAAACCAAAACAAAACAAATACTGTATAAAATCTAAAAGCAAACATTGAGTTGTAACATTTATATTTAACTTAAGGTTTTAATGGATTTTTACCTTTGCAGACACCCAAAAAAAAAATAAAATAAATATTTTTCTGACTGTTCCTGACTTAAATGATGGCTACAGGGATAAACACGGAAGGAAGCCTTGCCAAGTTAATCACTGCAAATTGTAAATAATGACTGCTAAAAACAAACAGAAGTTTTTTTCTTTTAAAGGAAACCATAGAGCAGTCCTGAAAAAAATTTCTTCCTAGTTCTGCACAGGATAATTACAGCAGAAGACATGGGAAAAGTCCCATGGCAATCACCAATTGCTTAAAGAGGTTTTGTTACAATAAAAATTTGGATAGTATAATAGCAGTGTTGCTGGAACATTAGCAAAAGTATATACATTCCAGTTACCTTTGATTTAGCCATAATCACATATGTATGCTTTTTTTTTTCTTGGACAAAAATATATATTTTTATAAAAAACTGATCATCCAACTTTAATGATTTCATATATGGACTCAAGAGTGGTAGTAAAAGGAACAGACCCAATTATGACAAGGCGATCCAGGGACAGAAAAATCAAGTTCCTCAGGAAAAGAAAGTATAAAATTAGAGATTCAAACACATTTATTCAGCCCTATTCCAGTCTTCCCACAAATTATGCTGTTAAATGGACTCTTCAGTTGATAAAGGCTTTCAATGGTCTCACCACCCACTTGTGGTCTATCCTCACTGGAAAAAAATGATTTTGACTGCCTCATCTGAAGTGCTCTTGCCTGGCCCTCTGAAATACTGGATATTTCACTTTTATAAAACAGCCTTTTTGGTTCTTTATGTAGATTTATTTTAATTACTTGATAAAAGAAAGGGTAGTTGATTAGCATTTTCCATCCCAACATCACCTATCTGCACAGCTAAAAATTCTTCATTCAATCTGCTTCTTTTACAATCTCTTATTTGCTAAAATTGGCGAAATTTGCAAAGGCATCTTGCTTGGGTTGCACAGTTCCAGAAGTCATGGCTATGTTGGGCATGCCCATTCCCATTGTGCCTGTCAAGCCCATCCCAGCAGCGGACATCCCTATGTTCATGTTCATGCCCATCATGCTCTGGTTCATCATCGGAGTATTTCCAAGAGGGGCCATTCCCATGGTGCCAGTCATCACATTGGGCATGCTCATAGGCATGGGTCCCCCTATCAAAGCATTAGTTTGGGGCCGGACAGGAAGCATGTTCGATGGAGAACTGAGGTTCACAGCTCCAAAACTTTGAGTCATCACATTCATAGGCTGCTGCATATCTACCAGACGAAAACAGACAGAAGAACTTTACCACAATAAATTTTTAGGTTCATAGAACAGAGAACTAATAACTTCTTGACCATCTATCTATACTTCTTTAGCCCCAATAAAATTCCTTTACAGTGATTTTATTAGAAATCAATTACTCTGCACTGGTTCCTCTTGAGACATATATTCAGTGACTATTGGCTCTGGTTCCCCAGAGATGTAGAAACAGTAAGAGTAGACTGGGGAAAAACAGCCAACTTAAAAACATTCCTACAAAACCTATTGTTAAATCCTACTTAACAAGTTGTCAAGAGCTAGTGTGTATAAAAAATCTTTCAAAGGTTTACATCCTTTGACTTATTCTATTTTTAGAACATTCTATTAAAAAAATCAGAAGTATGAAGATTTATACAAAAATCTTTAAAAAGTTTATATCCTTTGACTTATTTTTAGAACATTCTATTAAGAAAAAAACAGAAGTATGAAGATTTATACAAAATCTTGATTTATAATAACAAATAGCTGGAAACAATTGAAATAATTAGCAAGGGAAATCATACACTAATATAACTATCAAGAGCTAACAATCATTTTCCTAAGAATATTATTCAACACAGGGAAAATGATAACTTAATGTTGAATAAGAAACAGTATAGAGAGAATGATCCCAAGTATTAAAAATATGCTTAGAAAAGATGGAAAGTGGCCAGGCGCGGTGCCCCACGCCTGTAATCCCAGCACTTTGGGAGGCCAAGGCGAGTGGATCACTTGAGGTCAGGAGTTCAAGACCAGACTGGACAACAGGGTGAAACCCTGTCTCTACTAAAAATATAAAAATTAGCCAGGTGTGGCGGTGCACGCCTGTAGTCCCAGCTACTCGGAAGGCTGAGGCAAGGAATTGCTTAAAACTGGGAGGTGGAGGCTGCAGTGAGCTGAGATTGCACCACTGCACTCTAGCCTGGGCGACAGAGCAAGACTCCATCTCAGAAAAAAAAAAAAAAAAAAAAAGAAAACATAGAAAGAAATATGTATTAATGGCAATTACCCCTCAACGGCAGAATCAGATGATTTTTGTTTGTCCATCGTATTTGCCTATATTTAAAAAAAAATCTGTATAGCAAATTTTTATTTTAGTGATCAGGTCCTTAAAACTCTCCACAATACAATAAATGTTATCAGGACAAGAATAGAATATAAAGTAATTCAATGTGCCAGGAGGAATACCCAGTAAATATTATGTGAAAATATCTTAAGTGAACAGGCATTTGGTTAACTGTTACAATTTATGTGATATATTTTTATTTATAGTTTGAAGTAGTCCTGGCATTAAGGCAAAAGACTGCAAGTACACAAAGAAGTGGGACGTCTTAAGGTAACTTACTCTGTTGCTGAATCATTGTATTCAGTGATGGCTGCTGGGGTTTGGAAGGCTGCATACCAGGTAGTAAGTTGTCTAGGCTGATGTTTACACTGGGGTCAGACCAAGTAGAGGGCAAGGTTTTGCTGACTGATTTCTGGACCATATCTGTATTCTGATTATAGAGAGGATTAGGCTTCTGCAGCACTGTGCTAACATTTTGCAAAGGCTGGAAAATAGAAAAATGCTCTAAAAATTAAGCATCTGTTCTATAAAAATTATCAGATGGCAATTTAATCACAACAATGAACTTCTGAAACAAAAAGAACCACTAATGTTCTATGCTAATGTCTTCAATACCCTGAATCATTAGCTTCCCAAAGAGGTTCCTCTGAAGTCCCAATCAGGTTTGAGGTGGATAAAACCAACAACTTACCTACACTAACAATTATTCTCCCATCACTCAAAGTCTAGAAGCCACCATCCCTGGCAAATGCCCAGGGGAACTACCGATTTTAGGTTAGTACAGCTTTAAGGAGATACACAAGTGGACATTTATTCTTTCAAAACAGAATTCAGAGGCCAGGCGCAGTGACTTATGCCTGTAATCCCAGCACTTTGGGAGGCTGAGGTGGGCAGATCACCTGAGGTCAGAAGTTCAAGACCAGACTGGCCAACAGGATGAAACCCCATCTCTACTAAAAATACAAAATCAGCCAGGCATGGTGGCACATGCCTGTAGTCCCAGCTACTTGGGAGGCTAAGGCAGGAGAATCACTTTGAACCAAGGAGGTGGAGGCTGCAGTGAGCAGAGATCGTGCCACTGCACTCCAGCCTGGGCGACAGAGCGAGACTCTGTTTCAAAACAACAAAACAAAACAGAGAATTCAGGATATGATGTCTCACATTATACAAGGATATAAGGCAAAACTGTCAAAAAGCAATTTATATTTCACATATCCTGACATTTTGCTGTTCTGTGTATACTTTTACTATCTAAAGTGAGCAACACTAACTGAACTGATTAATATATGGAACAATGTAGGAGAAAGAAGAAATTCAGGAGAAAGAAGCAGAGGTTCCTAGTGGTTATTGAGGATAACTGAAAAGGACAGAAAAAAGGAACAGGAAGAGGAAGAATAATTAAAAATGTACCAATGCAAAGAATTATGACAGTTACAATTAAGACTGCAAATAAAGTAGACTGACTTTATGCTTAACTCATACATTAGGTCTTATTTCTGTTACATAGAGCAGTCACCTTTCTGCTTCTTTCTTCTTTTCCTTCATCCTAATACCCCAAAGACGAGAATCTACACATTAAAATGAGTAATTAGCATCATAAACACATATTCTCAATAGTTTGAGTCAAAAATAGCAAGTTCCTGGTACCATTCAGACACATATTTTCCAAGCCTGCACTTGTCTGAATTCTAAGCTAGTACTAGGTAATTCGGATTTAACTATAAAATAGTGAATTAAGAAGCTCCCATTTTGGTTGTTTTTCTTTATGAAAATGAAAGTTGAAAGATGAGCCTATAAAACATTTATATAATGTAGAGCAGGTCCAGAATTGGGAAGAACATTCACCATTCGAGAGAATGATTTTCCATATTAGCAATAATTATTTACAACCAATGAGTGATATTTCTTTAGGGACATGACCAGAAATTTTACTAAGTGGATACTTGCCGTAAGTGAAACAATATCTCTATTTCTTTTTCTTTTCCTTTTTTTTGAGACGGAGTATCACTCTGTCGCCCAGGCTGGAGTGCAGTGGCGCGATCTCAGCTCACTGCAAGCTCCACCTCCTGGGTTCACGCCATTCTCCTGACTCAGCCTCCCAAGTAGCAGGGACTACAGGTGCCTGCCACCATGCCTGGCTAATTTTTTGTATTTTTAGTAGAGACTGGGTTTCACCGTGTTAGCCAGGATGGTCTTGATCTCCTGACCAAGTGATCCACCCACCTCAGCCTCCGAAAGTGCTGGGATTACAGGGGTGAGCCACTGCGCCTGGCCTATTTCTTTTTCTTAAAGACAATTTAAAAAAACTATCAAGTACCAATTTGTTGTAACAATAAATTTTTGCCATGTTCCTCCTCTGTGCAAAGGCACCATGCTTGGCTTTACAGTGACTACAAGATGGGGGAGAAGGTCTTGCCTTCCAGAATGCAAATGACTATGCTAGGGGAGAGTATGAGGTAAATGAAATGTGCAAATGCGTATATATACACACACAGACACATATTCATACACATAAAAAGGACTTGCTTATTTTTCTGTTTTATACTAATCTATCATTCAATGAGTTAGAGCATCTCAAAGATTATAAATAACAAATTCCAAGGGAACCAGACAACTTACCTGTGATCTTGACATAGGCAAACCAAGTCCCACAGTGTTAGTGCTCATCATAGAGAAATTCATACTCTGGGAAGATGTCATGGTTGCCTGGGACGAGCCCATAAGATCAAACAGGTCTGAAGAATTTGAGGCAGCAGGAGGTGGGCCTAGAGCTGATTGTGAGCCACTAACAAGTTCTACCGCTGGCTGTGAGGCACTGCCAAAGAACTCGCCACTGGAAGCAACAGGGCCTGATGGGGCTTGGTTGAAGGCACTCCAGTCACCAAAGTCTCCATTCCCACTTGTTGCTGTTACTAAGACAGAAATAACTCTAAGGGTAAGAAACTTCATGGAATGCACAGAACAAATGTAACAATCTATGAACTGAAACAAATTAGAGCTGATCTGAGTCCCCCAGATTAACATCTGCAGGTACCATCTCCATCTGGACAGTATTCTTTCTCATAAATATTACACGAGAGTTAACAAGGTGGCAAAGAAAAAACAAACCTCCCAAATATAACGTAAAATCCATCTCTTGGCAGCTCTGTAGGTGACACATTGAATTTACCATAAAAAAAAATGGCCAGGCATGGTGGCTCACGCCTGTAATCCCAGGACTTTGGGAGGCCGAGACAGGTGGATCACAAGGTCAGGAGATTGAGACCATCCTGTCTAGCACGGTGAAACCTCATCTCTACTAAAAATACAAAAAAATTAGCTGGGTGTTGTGACACACACCTGTAGTCCCAGCTACTTGGGAGGCTCAGGCACAAGAATCGCTTGAACCCGGGAGGCGGAGGTTGCAGTGAGCTGAGATTGTGCCACTGCACTCCAGCCTGGGTGACAGAGCGAGACTCCGTCTAAAAAAAAATGAAGAATTTCTCACTTATTTGGCCATACTTCCACTGACAATACAAGGGCTATAACCTTAGCACATTGCCTGCTTCAACTGGGACCATTTATTTACAATCAAAGAGAGGAGGAAAACTCATGTAATATTAAAAAACACAACCAAGCCAGAAACAAGCAAAACCCTATCATACTTTGCAAGTTTAAGGTTGAATGCATAAAATCCATACTCTTAATCACTACAGTCTTATCAATTAACCTCTGATCAATTTTTATATTGAAAGGAACAGATAAATACGCATAAATGGAAGTTGAAAAAGCAAAATGTGAAGAAAGAGCTACATAAAAACCGTCATCTGAAAGCAAATAGTAAGTATGTACCTTCCAAGTTAATTAACACCATCCCTTTGCATTCCATGTTCATTTACAACTTGGAAATACATTTTGTCTAGCCTAAAAAGTGACCAACCACTACAATACCATGTCTCATTATGCTAAATATCAAAAGAGAATAATAAGGTGAAGTCTTTAAAATTACATTCTTCTATTACCATATTAAAATGTAAGCACCCTTGAAAGAGAAAATAATTCACTTAGAAACTCCAAGTTCTACTAACAATTTAATATAAAAATTGGGCTAATTTCTTTACCTCAGGGTTTTACTAATACACGTCTTTGATCTTTTTTTTTTTTTTAAGTGACTGCATTAAGAGTTTTACAGTTAGTTCTAGATATTAAACAATTTAAACTAAGGCTGCTGGATCAATGTAAACTTTTATGCTGATTTTCTATTTGCTTGATCTATAATGCAGAATATGAATGGAAACTGGGGCAAAATGTGTTGCCCCACCTGAAAACTTCATATCTGAAATGATTAATCGTGGGAGGAAACGATTTCTAGTGGGGCATATATTATTCAGAAATGATTAATCATTGTTGCAATGGTTTCAGCCCCCTGCGTAAGGTGGTCAGGTTATATTAATCACATGCATACAGATGAAGAGATGTATCACTTAGGCAACATTAACATATTCAAATTATTTGCATAGTAGGCAACTTTATATACATAAAAACTTTGAGAATTAGACAGGGAAGCTATAAAATAAGGGTAACGTTTACCTTCCACTTTGGTTTGCCTAAAGTAAAGTATTAACCCTTAGATGGCATATTCTTACTTTCAAAATGAAGCAGAAAATTACTCAACAATTCTAGTTTCTGGGAAATACTTGGAATTTACAAAAATAAGTAGTCAAAATAACCCCAAACCATTTTACAAGCTATGTATCTTTTTTCTAACTCCTCACAAACCTAACCAAATATTACTAAATATAAATTTTAATCCAGTTTAATATAACAGCAATAGATTATGTGACTTGTGATGAGTAACAACACTAACTCAGTCAAATTACATCTTTTCTCCCTGCCTCACCTCATGTTTAAGATTCTCATAGCTAAATTTTAAAAATATTGTCTCAAACTTCAGACTGACCAGATTTTATAAAACAAATACCACAACCTCTTCACAACCTTAAAAAAAAATAAAAAAGACACTTAATACTGAATGTAGCCCCTATTCTATTAGGTTGGTGCAAGAGTAACTGGGACAATTGCACCTAATACATACCTCTATAGACACTATCCTCAAAAAGAACCATGACAAGCAACACCGTTCCCAGTTTTAGAAAGTTGAAGGCTCGAAGGCTTTCATAAAGTTAAACAGCTACCATATGGCAGGGGTAATAAGATAAAAATATTAATTAAAAAAAAAATAGGCCTTTCACCTCAATCCTTGATGTTTAAGCCCATATTCTGTTTGAATGGTTTTTTTGTTTTAAAATTCTATTCTAATAAAGAATGAGAAAGTTTTGCATGAGGTTCAACTGCTCATTTTAGGATATGTCAAAATGAAGTTCAGTTATTTTTCACATAAATGCTTTTAAGATATCTAAATTAAAAAGGAATGCATTTTAGTAAGATAGTTGGCCTGATCCCAGTGTTCCTTTCATTCATGAAAATCATAAGCTAAACTAAACACAAACTATAATATTCTTGCTGCTATTAAATAAAATGAGATGATACAGAGATACTCACATCCTCCTTTCCCTTTCAAAAAAGCTAAACAAGAGTCACCTATGAATATGGGCAATTTTCTTTAGATGTACCTGAGTAGTCTGTAACCAAAATAATTCATTTGGCACATTTAAGGCATCTGCCCAATAAAATACCTTGTGAATAAATTCTTTAGGAATTATGAATACTACAAGGAGAAAAATGACAGAAAGAAGCTGACTTGGGGGGAATGGGAGTTGTTTTTAATAACCTTTTTACCACCCTAGACTTCTGGCCAATCAAATTGAATCATACCTTGGGAAGGGAAACTGCCTGATGCAGCAGCTGAGCCAAAGTCAGCAAATCCTCCGAATAAATCAGCTGATCCTCCTAGAAGTTAAGAAAAAGTTAAAACTGTTAGAACTAGAGAAAAATTGTAAATAATTTCTGGAGGCCATTTTAGTGCCACACAAAAAGTACCTAATATTAGAGGCCCAGATGCCTCACAAAAGCTAAAGCTAGTCTGTTGACCTAGATTTTCATGTCACTATGTTCCCTATGAGCTACCATAGACTCTTTTCCCTTCCTCAGTCCTATATCTAGTAAGATAAATGACACTGTATCTGTTGTTAAAATTATCTCACTAATATTTCACAAGCATAATGTGGAAATAATACAACTTATCTAGCCAATTATGCTCTTTATAAGGAGTCTTCAATGGATTCTAAAACCTGAGTAAAATGCTGCTGGGGAATAAGATATTCACAAGACAAGTAAATAAAATGCAGGATCCTTGATTGGACCCCGGATTTTTTTTTTAATTGCTATCCTGAAATGACAGAATTGAGACACTGGGGAAATCTGAATGTGGTCTGTATATTAACATTAATACTGTTTTAATGTTAAATCCCAAGTATGATTGTATCACAATCATAAAGGAGAATGTCCTTGTAAAGAGATATAGGCTGAAGTATTTTAGGGGCAAAATGTCATGATTGCAACTTCCTCTCAGATGATACAGATGAACAAACAGTACACAACAAACAAATAAAAAAGAACGAGAGAGAGAGAGAGAAAGAAAATGGGGCAAATTTTCCGTATGCTTGTAATTTTTAAAAATAAAAAGGGAAGAGATGAAGTCCACTTGTATAAAATCATTTTAGAGTCTGGTGTGGTGGCTCATGCCTGTAAATCCCAGCACTTTGGGAGGATGAGGTAGCAGGATCGCTTGAGCCCAGGAGTTGAGAGATCAGCCTGGGCAATATAGTGAGACTTCGTCTCTACAAAACCTTAAAATATTAAACTGAGCATGGTGGCGAGCAGCTGTAGCCCCAGCTACTCGGGAGGCTGAGGTGGGAGGACTGCTCGAGCCCAGGAGGCAGAGGTTGCAGTGAGCCAAGATTGCTGCGCTCCAGATTGGGCAACACAGTGAGACGCTGTCTCAAAAAGCAACAAACAACAAAACAAAACAAAACAATTATTTTAAGCAGAGAGAGGGAGAAATATCAATACAATAGTTTTGGTGGACGGGTTTTCCCCCGTAGTGTTTACTCCATAAAAGAGTAAATACTTGTATTTTGTATTTTTAATGCATGGGAAAAAAATAGCTTTTTTGCTACTTCTAGATAGGTGTTTTTAAAAGGGTAAGACCCAAATTATAAGTCTGCAAATCAATCTCTGTGTGCGTAACATTACATTCTGACATAAAATTTTATTTGTAAATACTACATGGGTAAGAATATTTACTTTTACCTATAATTTCAATTATAACATTATTTCAAGTTGTAATATTCCTTTTTTTCTCAACTTTAGTGAAACAGACCAATATCTGAAACTTTAAATAGTCGTCCTTATTTTTGTCTGTCCTTAAAGATTTCACCTCTTAACAGTCACAACCTTAGAAGTCTACAGCAGTTCAATGATGGTGCTTTTAGTGTTATGTGAACATTATATAGGTTACATCACAGCTGCTTAGGCCGCAGTGCTTAGAAACTAGCCAGGTGGGACTGGAACATCTGGGCTGCACTCAAACACCACCAGGGACAGCTTCCAACATCTGGTGCCATTTCTGAATTGTCTTATCGCTGAAAGACATTCTGCCCCATCTGCTACACTCAACTGGGTTAATTAAACTAGAACCATCTCCCCTTCTTAATATATGGCCAACAGTAATAAAAGGAACAAATCAGTTTCTGATATGTGTGTACTTGGTATTTCTTTTTAATGCATATTTACTGTAGTCAACTAGCAGCAGGCATAACTAATTCCTCATTTCTTCACCACAGATGCACATGCTCATACATACATATATATATATATATATATCTCCTCACTCACCAGTTGACTAATGCCAACCAAAGTGAAGGTGCTTCAATTCTATCTACACTACAGCTTAGTCTAATTTTTACTTCATCTAAAAGAGAGTATCACAGTGATCTGGTTTTCTCTTCCTTAAAGGTACATACATCATGATAAAATGTGACAAGGAACACAAAAGTTCAATGAGTTATACATGTTTAAACCATTTAAACAAGCACACATATTAATAAAACCTATCAAGTAAATGAATACTTCAAACAGCTGCTGCTTAATATTCGTAAGTTTGTTTTCTGTAAAGTAGTCCTTTATGTTAAAAACATTGGTCAAGTATACTGTTGGGTAACAGAATGATAGTTAATCAATTAATATAACATTAAGGGATTTAAAAATTAAAGATTATTTTAATTTGCTTCATTTAAGCAGTGAATAAACATCAATATATAACTTATTATAGCAAACAAGTTAGGAGTTAGGGATTTTCTTTTCTGTTTTTCTTTGTTTTTGAGACGGAGTTCCACTCGTCACCCAGACTAGAGTGCAATGGTGCACTCTCAGCTCACTGCAACCTCCGCCTGCCAGGTTTAAGTGATTCTCCACCTTCTGCCTCCCAAGTAGCTGGGATTACAGGTGTCTGCCACCACGCCCAACTAATTTTTTTATTTTTAGTAGAGACGGGGTTTTACCATGTTGGCCAGGCTGGTCTCGAACTCCCGACCTCAAGTGATCTACCTGCCTCAGCCTCCCAAAGTGCTGGGATTACAGGTGTCAGCCACCGCCCCTGGTGGAGTTAGGGATTTTCAAATCTTATTCAGTCTAGGCTACAAAGAAAATACATGTTGAGGATAAAAGCTGTAGATCACAACTTCAAACTGGTAAGAAATTTTATTTCTGACATACCCTGTATTTAGTATTTCAGATAATTACCTATCTTCTATCACCAAAACAGAAATTATATGATGTTCATAACTTATCTATAGCAAATAGTATTCCTCTCCATCTATATTACAGGGATTTTGATTTCAACATGAGTAGCTTAAGAATATTGGGAGCAAAAAATGGAAAGATGTATGTAACTATTTTACAAATAGAAGTTGTCTTTCTCTGAAAATGTTTTTTCTCTCTAATCTTTTAAAGTGCCACATATTATGCTTTTACTGGTACTTTAAGAAATGTGATCTTCAACTTTGAAAACTGTCTCAAAAATTAAAAATCTCTTTATTTAGAAAATGTTTCTCTCCTAAGACTATCCATATCTGTATGTATGATATTCATACCAAATTCCACATTCATTTTCTATACTTAAGCATTTTCCCAGAAAACTTCTATCTAAATTTATATTCTAAAGGAATATAAATAAAAGAGTCTACCAAAAATTGCTGCATGTGGAAGACTGCTAATTTTCACAACAAGTGCTATCCTTCAAGATTCCCACATGAGAACTGTCATTATAAATGAACCACTTCCATCTGCCTTTCCAGGGCAGCAGGGAGGTTATTTAGTCACCAGCTGGGAACATGTATTTCCCAAAGCAATATTGTGAACAAGAAAATACAGGTAAACTAGACAGTACTTAAACGACAAATGGAAATTTTCTTTGACAAAAAAATTTAATCTAGATTACATTAAGACAAACTTTTGCATGAAGAATTTACACAACATTAAAGCAATGGCAAAGTGCAAAAAAAATGTAAATACATGACAAAGAATTATTATCTATAATACACAAGTTTTAGAATATCAATAAGGATGAATACTCCTAATAAATAAAGAACATGAATAGATAGTAACAACTGGCCTATAAAAATATGAAGTGTTCAAACTCAATCATCAATGCAAAATAAAATGAAATATTATTTTCTCTTTACCAAACTGAAAAAGCTTTAAAAGGTGCTATTGTACTACAAAATTTTGGAAAAATAAAAAAACTAATGTCTAGAAAACAAGGGATTAACTGGCTAAATTATAATATAGCCACCCAATGTAAGATTATAAAGCAATGAAAAGTACTATAAAAGAATACCAACTATCATAAGAAAATGGTCATGAGATCTTAGGTGAAAAGCAGTTTATCAAAATATATAAATAAATGACTAAAACCCAGAAAAACCCAAACAAATGAAAAGTCATATCTAAAAGCCTGAAAAAGATCTGCCACATAATAAATGCTTAAATAACTACATTAATGGAATATGTAGAAAATGTATTTTAAAAAGATATTCACCAGATTAATACTTTATGTGTCTAAATTATGGTAAATCACTTGTTTTCCACCAAATTGAATGTGCATTACTTTTAATAATCAGTGAAAAAGAGAATATACTGAAAAAATTTTATTTTCAGTAAACTTAGTTTAAAACTGGAGACAACCCCTACCCAAATGATAAGTTAGTGTACTAAGAATGGAACAAGGTGAGTATTTACATGTTCATGTAAATGTCTTCAACTAACTAGCGATTACTGGGTACAAAGCAGCAGGTTCAAATGTAAATGTAATACACATTTCGGATTTGATATACCTTAATCCTTTTAAATGTTTCTTTTTAACTTAAAAACATTCAAAATATATTGCAAGTCATTTAAGTTCTATCTGTATTGATTATGCTGAATTTTCTCAACCTTATTTATTGTACTAGAAATATCTAGTTTAACAGTATGTTAATCAAGACCTAAATTTCTTAATTACAAAGGGACAAAAGAGACAAGTTGGACTTCTTTTTAAAGAGGTGAGATAAACTAAAAAAAGAAATGGGACAGTTTTTGGCATTCTATTTCTAATTGGCTTATTTTCTAAATATAGTCACACATTTCTCAATGACAGAATGCATTGGGGCATTAGGCAATTTTGTCATTGTGCAAACATCATAGAGGGTACTTACACAAACCTAGTTAGCCTACTACATACCTAGGCTATAAGGTATAGCCTATTACTCCTTGACTTCAAATCTGTACATCATGTCACTATACTGGATACTGTAGGCAACTGTAACACAATAGAAAGTGTTTGTATATCTAAACATAAGAAAGGTACGGTAGAAATATAGTATTGTATATGGGACCATGGTCACATACTATGCAGTCCATGACTGTACTTTAAATTATTTTTCATTTCTTAAAATGTTTACTTAGAAATGTACTTTATGTAAAAGCAACTGAAACACCATGTGAGTACAGGTTTTAAAAGAATATCACCACAAGGGGACATTTTATTAAGATATGAGATAGTCTCAAGTAAATCCTGATAGTTAGGTTTTACATATATATTTTTAAACTTGGTAAGATATTCTACAATGATTTTACCATATATACTTTTGAGAATGCTAAGAACATGTAATCACACACACACAAAAATCTGAACATTTTCTCAGAGGATATATTTAGCTGGTGAGTGGTACAGATGCCATATCTGCTTAGCTTTACAGTTTGTGCCCACATTACTTGCATGATGGTACTATTATAAATATGGGCACATCTGGTAAATGACACCCAAATGACATACCAAATAGCAATGTTAATATGGTAGATTCTTATACCTTCTCGTGTAAGTGCTAAAGATTTAATGCCCAATTTCCTTTCACTGCTGAATTCAATTTAAAATATATTATTAAAATATTTAAATAGAGATTGGGAGTAACTAAATTTATGTACTGATTGAAGAGGGAGCTGCACAAACTGGTTAAACATACGGTTTCAAATAGGAGATAACTTTAATTTTAAAAAATTCTTCTAATATCAATCTCTATTAGTTGCTTTTTATTAAGATAAAATAAAATTTAAGGCAAGAAACCTCCTAGATTTCATTCAAACTTTCTCAGTTACTATATTAATATCAATTGCTACTTCTATTTAATTAGTCAAACTACTGTTTGCACTGGAGAAGACAAACCACTCAAAGGTTCCTTGCCAAGTAAAGGAAGCATGTTGGTATTTAATAAATCTCTCTGTTCAAAGCAATCTTGATGTCACAGAGGAAAAGTTACATCCACCCATCTGACCTTCCTAGTTAATTCTTCTCTGATTGCTCCATTAAAACTTTTCACAGATGCATGAAAGGGGCCCTTTAAATATTTCATGCCAGGAAGTCCAAAATAGTTGATATTCTGTGACACTATATCTGTATTATATGACTACATGCTAACTACCAGTTAATTCTACAGTTCAAATCTTAAACATATAAAAATATATCACATAAATTGTTACACAACTAATGTAGCTGTCCGTAACCTTGGGCATTACAGTCCAATCAAGTTTAATGAATAATTTTAGGAACAGTTTGCAGTTACAGAAAAACGGGAAAGGGAATTGAAGAATTTCAGAAAGTAGGCTGGCCAGGCATGGTGGCTCACGCCTGTAATCCCAGCACTTTGGGAGGCCAAAACAGGTGGATCACCTGAGGTCAGGAGTTTGAGACCAAGCTGGCCAACATGGAGAAACCCTGTCTCTACTAAAAATACAAAAATCAGCCGGGCGTGGTGGCGCATGCCTGAAATTCCAGCTACTCAGGAGACTGAGGCAGGAGAATCGCTTGAACCCGGGAGGCAGAGGTTGCAGTGAGTCAAGACTGTGTACTGCACTCCAGCCTGGGCAACAAGGGCGAAACTCTGTCTCAAAAAAAAAAATAGAGAAAGAAAGTAGGTCAAACCAGATGTCTGGGCTGGGTGCAGTGGCTCACACCTGTAATCCCAGCACTTCGGGAGGCTGAGGCAGGCAGATCACCTGAGGTCAGGAGTTCGAGACCAGCCTGGCCAACACAGTGAAACTCCGTCTCTACTAAATATACAAAAATTAGCCAGGCATGGTGGCAGGTGACTGTAATCCCAGCTACTCGAGAAGCTTAGGCAAGAGAATTGCTTGAATAAAGTTCATGCCTAATCCAAGAATTTTAACATAGTAGGTAAGGAGGAGGAAATAATAGGGGGCTTTATATTACATTAATTATACTAAACTATCAGTGAAAAGTAATTTCCAGCATAGACTTACACTTAAAGGTTAAGTTAAAGTTTTTTTTTTTTTGAGACAAGAGTCTTGCTCTGTCACTCCAGCTGGAGTGTAGTGGCATGATCTCAGCTCATTGCAAACTCCACCTCCTGGGTTCAAGCGATTCTCCTGCCTTAGTCTCCTGAGTAGCGGGGATTAAAGGTGCCCATCACCACGCCAAACTAATTTTTGTAGTTTTAGTAGAGACAGGGTTTCACCATGTTGGCCATGCTGGTCTTGAACTCCTGACCTCAGGTGATCCGCCTGCCTCGGCCTCCCAAAGTGCTGGGATTACAGGTGTGAGCCACTGTGCACAGCCACAATTCGGCTTTGAAAAATCATTACACACAACTGGGAATAATAAATTTACTTTGCACATTAGTCATACCCCCATCTTACTGTCTACATTTTAATGTGAAATGAACTTAGGCTTGGAAAGACTGTCTTTAAACAGAAGATGTATTTGTTAAACTATTTTGACACGTCACACAATAGTTTATTAAAACTCCATAATCATCAAATACAACCCTAAAAATATCAATTTTCTTGAAAACAATTGATCAGAAATTACTCAAAATCTAGCACATACTGGAAATCAAACTGAAGAAATCATCAATCTCATCTATGAGAAATTCAAGGTAAACAGTTCTTTTGCTGTAGCCCTCTCTTTTTTTTTTTTTTTTCCGAGATGGAGTTTTTCACTGTTGTTGCCCAGGCTGGAGTGCAATGGCGCAATCTCCGTTCACTGCAACCTCCGCCTCCCGGGTTCAAGTGATTCTCCTGCCTCAGCCTCCCGAGTAGCTGGGATTACAGGTACCTGCCACCATACCCGGCTAATTTTTGTATTTTCAGTAGAGACAGGGTATCACCATGTTGGCCAGGCTGGTCTCGAACTCCTGATCTCAGGTGATCCACCTCCCTCGGCCTCCCAAAGTGCTGGGATTACAGGGGTCAGCCACCACGCCCAGCCGCCCTCTTTAAATATGTTTGGTAGTTACATACTTTCAGAGAATGTCATTCCTCTGACTGAAGCACTTGCCATTGTTTATCACTAGATAACTATTTGTGACTCTGATTAATGATTATTTTCTCCACTTGACCTTCGCATGAGGACAACAACTCTGTTTTTTACAAGCACCCAGATCAGTGTCTGGTTCAACAAATATTTGTTCAATTAAAAGAATAAAAAGTTAAATGATCTCTAGGCATGCCCAAGGTGACAGCTGCAATTAAAATTTAGGGAAAGACAGTAAAATGCGCAGAGCAGTACCTTTTGCTTATAAAGAAAGTAAAGGCAACAGTTTAAATGCAATTTTTTGTTTCTCCAAGTTAATCTTAAAAATTAAAAATGGAAACTATAGATTCCAAAATCTATGATGAAAAATTTCAGAAAGTACATGATGCCTTGAAATACTATTTATTATTAATTAGGGAAGACACAGTACATCAGGTATGAGGAGTCATTAAAATCTAAGTATGATAATGATTTGAGGATACTATTATTAACCACCAATAAGTACTGACCACAAACAAAGTTTTGCTAGTCTGAGGGTGGGTCAGAAAAAGGTATAAAATAGGGATAGAGAAATGGGTGTACATATAAAAAGATAAGCAAAAATAACACAATGATTCCAAATAATGCTCAAGACTCACTAATTTCATATAAAAAATGAACCCAATGCAAATAAGTAATCTTATTTTTCAATCTATCTTTTATTTGGCATTTTAAAAAATGACTCTCAAACCAAAAGAAAAGGCCAATGTAGAAGCTTACCTGTTGACTGGCTGGTGCCATCAAACAGATCAACAAGGTCACCAGATGACTTGCTGCTAGGCACTGAAGTCTGAAAACACACACATAACTCAGGAGCTTCGAAAAGTTTGTTTTTCTAAAAATCAGCTCTATCCATCTCTAATTCTCAATTTAGACATAAATACCTGTAATTAGCTTAATAAGGGTAGGGTTTTCTGGAAAAAGAGTACTGACCTTGAATCCTTATGGAGAGGCAGCAAGCACTTTTAAGTACCTCCATTCCCAGCAGTGTAAAAGTCTCTTAACATTGACACTTTTTTTCCTACCTCACTTTTCTGACTGCATTTCACTCTGGAAAATATTAACTGCCAGATCCCACTTGAATCTTAATGCTAAGTATCAGTTCATTAAAAAAAAAAAAAAAAAAAAATACCCTAGCATATGTACCAGTCCCATACAATACACTGAGTCATAATTGCCCAGGTATAAAAAGGCCAAGACCTTGGCCTGTTAAAGTCTTACAAGAAAGCTCCCTAGATAATTCCAAGGCTTGAGATCCACTGGATTAGAGGTCAAGATCCTAAACAGCTCTAAATTTCTATGAACCTTAGCAAAACTTATTGTTTGTATATCACACAAGTTAGTATAATTCTATGTTATTTGATATATTGATATGTTTCATATTTAGTTCCCCAACTAAACTGAGGCCTATACCTGTAATACTATTTTTATCTTCTCCACAAAGCTAAGCACCCTGATACCTAAATACCTATGTCCTATATGTTAGATATATACATGCTAAATTAGAACTCAATTATTAGGCAATGGGGAAACCCTAAGATCCTAGGCATGTTGATTTGAACTTTGAAAACTAAAATACTATATACTGTGATTCCAAAACACCTTTAAGAACAGATCCAAATGAGTTGGGTAACTTTCTAAGAACTTCAACCTTCTAGACATTTTTTTTGAGGGGAGGAGGGTAAATGAAAACAAAAAAGAAAAAGCTTGTACTGCCGGGCGCGGTGGCTCAAGCCTGTAATCCCAACACTTTGGGAGGCCGAAGCAGGTGGATCACTTGAGGTCGGGAGTTCGAGACTAGCCTGACCAACATGGAGAAAGCCCGTCTCTACTAAAAATACAAAAAAATTAGCCGGGCATGGTGGTGCATGCCTGTAATCTCAGCTACTCGGGAGGCTGAGGCAGGAGAATCACTTGAACCTGGGAAGCAGAGGTTGCGGTGAGCCAAGATCGCGCCATTGCACTCTAGCCTGGGCAACAAGAGCGAAACTCGGTCTTCCAAAAAAAGAAAAAGAAAAAGAAAAAGCTTGTACTACAAATATAAAATATTTATTGCAGAGTGTCATATATTCAGGCTATACTACAAACTGTTATTTAAAATCCTTTAAGATATGTGATAAAAGTCTCTATTATTAAAAAAATTATACAGATATTTGGCAAAAGCTGACATGGTATTTGTTATTGCAACTAAGCAGGCCTGGTTTTATTTTCAGAGTCACCTACAATCTGCTGCATACATTAGAAAACTGTTTTTCCCAGCTTTTAGCTATTTCTCTTGCAAAGACACAAACTGGGGAAACAGTAGTCGGGGAAAGTGACAAAAACAATAATTTAGTCTTTTGAGGCAAATCTCCCTATTTGGCAGATTTCTGTTGAAAAGACTAGGGTTTGGCCAGGTACCTAGCAGGTGGATTTCATCTCTATGGTAAATAAAAACAAACGAAGATGGTACAAGAGGCAGTGCTTCTTTTGATACTGATCAGTAATGACTGTGAGGCAAACACGCCTCCCTTTATAGGCAACGTTTCTACATTACATGAGATAACTTGCCCCTATATATCTCTTCTTACTCCCTCGTTTGTCATTTCTTAAAACTTTCAAATACTTCCAATGTTTTCTTTAGTGAATCTACTTGTGGTTGGTAACCAGTATTGTCTAGATGGGGACAGAGGCACTACATTCTGATTCACAACCTTCCCCAAACAAACCAAAAGTGTCATTTCTACTTTCATAGAAAGTACCCAATCATTCAGCAATTGGACAGGTTTCTCCCCTCAAAGAGATTTCTTATTATTAATGTCTCTTGGTAATACATGCCAGATGATCCATAATTAATATGATTGCCTAGAAATGCCCAAGCCTACTAATGCAGGAATTCGAAGAGCGGTTTATAAAAATAAAACCATGTATAATGTGTAAACTACTGCCATTCCCACCTTAACTGAAGACTGAGGTGTGTGGGTTGAAGCATTCTGATCTGGACTTGCTTTGTCCCCTGTGTAATGTGCTGCTGCTCCAAGATCAATGGTTTTGGAAGGATTTGCTGTGCGCTTGTGTCTGGTTGTGGTGGTCTCTGTGGCCTGTGTGATATGAATATGCTTTGTCGTCACAGTCTCCTCTTCATCTTTGAATTCACCTTTGGGAGATCTGCCTCTTCTCGCTTTCTTTTCCTCATCGCTGTCGCTAAAAGATATTAAAAATGAAGCAAAATAATAAGACGGGATTATTTTAAAATGGGTCCCTCAGTGATTTGAGCTAAAGAATTTCAAATACAGTAACTCCAAAATTTCATACTTTGACTACTTGACAGGGATCAACAGAATGTTATCTAAGCTGTCTGAATAATGATATATGTGCGCTGGGGAGGGGAAGTGGAAACACAGAGAATATCCTATATAAGTCTAAAATACTGCTACAAAAAAGTATTTACATAAATGTGTATAAATAAAAAATGTCAAAATAACTCGTTTTTATTACAGATTTAAGCTTAACTTAAAAATAAAATAGGATTTGATATCAGAATCCATGATAAGACCCTGAGAGTTCAAACACTTGCATGTGATGATTATTTTCTTGACATGGACTGTGTGCAAATTACTATAGTTCCACTTTTACAACACAATTCTGCATCAACTCTCAAAGACTAATGTGTGTACATAATAAAATAATAAAAGTTCAATGGATGCTAAAAAAATCACACATCTTAATTCGAATAATTAAACTCATCTGTAAATGCATGAAAATATAAGGGAATGCACTTTACAACTGTGCTATTTTACTATAGTATCAGGAGATCAAACTTTTATATAACTATAGAAAATGCTTTCTAGAAAACAACTGTATTTAAAATATTTTAAAGATAATTCTCCTTCAGCCACATTCAACAATTTTTTCTTTCCTTTTTCTTTAATAGTGAAAAAGATTTTAAAAACTAAACAGTAAAAGCCTGGGTTTTTCATATGCTAGGAATGAAAATATCAGCCCTAGTCTGTTCTCTAGTAACAAGTCATTGGGTTTTTTTCTGATGTAAGTAGGAGAGAGAGAGAGAGAGAGAGAGAGAGCGAAAGAGAGAGAAAGAGAGAAATGTTACTTGAAACATGTTCCATTACCTGTATTACTTAATTTTAGAGTAGGTGGTTTAATTTATAAATATTCTGGAATATAATGTTTAAAATTCTCCTTTAAACTGCTGATGCAATTTACCTCAGACTGAACTATAGCAACTTGTACTTAAATATAAACCAATCTGGAACTTGTATAAATCAAAGATCAAAAAGAATGACTTCCCACACAGAGCAAAGGGGTTAAATATATTTTTATATATAAACATTTTAAGGAACCTACAAGTTCTGATACGCATTCAAAAGCCCTTACTAACTTCTCAACAACAAATGACCTGAAGATTCCCATTAGTCCTACAAGTAAAACTGAAATTTCTTACTTTTTTGGTGTCCAATTTTATTTCAGCGCAAAATAATTTATTCACAAGTTGAAAATATAAATCTGACTAGCACACGATGAAATGGAAGCTCCATATCTGATCAATGTTCAAGAATTCCTGAATGTAATAGTGAACTAATAAGTATGAAATTCAGGTAACATGCCATCAGGATTGAGGTCATATGCAACTCTGTCAAAAAATCTACTCTTCTCTCACAAATACTTTAAGATAAAAAGTTCCTGGTGTGCCCTATCATTATCACGATAAATCATGTTCACTGCATTTTCACTCTTTTAAACCTAAATACTCCTTAAAGATTTAGAAACTCTAGGAGATCCTGTCTTAGAGGCAACATAAAAAATAAAAATCATGGGAGAAACAGAAATAAAAGAAGAGTAGAGAGACAAAGAAAAGAAAAACTAAGGATAGAAGGGCAAAGGAGAGAAAGTAACAATACAGAACACACACAGATATCTAACCAGCCTACATAGCGTTATTGTTTATAAGTAAAACCTAAGACCCAACCAGACTGTGTGGATCTGCCTAAAGTAACACAGTTAGTGGTGGAACTGAGCCTGCCCTGAAATGTCTCTTTTTCAAGACTGTTTGAAAAACTGGAATGTGATCTTTGAAGAGCTAGAACTTATTTTTAGCACTTTGAATAAATCTATTTTACAAGTATATATCTAGCTTTTTTATACTGAAAAAGGATGCATATGATAATTATAAATACTAAACATTGGGAGGGAAATGGTGCCCACTTCAAATATACAGAGCTGTTTCCCTCATTAATGTTTTTGTGGCCTGTGTAAGTTTTGGCTTGGTTTGGAAAACATTATTGAAATTATGGCCATTATTCTGTTGGTATTTCCTGAACAGGCATTCCAGGGATTTAAAAGATATGAAAACATCCTAAAAATACACTAATTAGATTGTATTTTTGTTTGGACCTCTTTTTAATGATCCCTAATTCTGAACTATTAGGATTTTTGGCGCAGGGTAAAGAAAAAGAGATGGCATTTAGTTACGAGAACTCACTTGAAGGCTTGGTTCCATCACTAACTGTGTTATTTAGGCAAGTCCACACAGTGTGACTGGGTTTTAGGTTTTACTTATAAACAACAAAGACAAAATTCTTATTCTACTCTAGTAGAGATATTGTGAGGCACAAATGATAAAGGTCAAATTTAAAAAGTAAAATTTGCTCTGTAAATTAAGTGCTATATGCATTACCCTTTACATTCTCAGAAAAATTGGTTTATAATAATATTGGTAAGTAAGAACAAAAGTGACTGCTGCAAAGCTCAAAGTATTGTTCCATGTAAAACTAAATACCATCAGAAAATGTAGTTTATAAAAATACAGCTCTATTCTCAAAAACTGGTTCAAAATCCATTTGGATTGTTTTTCTGGTACACACTGGCACAGAATCATAATGAAATGTCAAGGAAGCATTAAATTTCAAATCCTTTGACTTATGTTTAATTAAACTTAATATATAAACTTCATTATCCCTCAGTATCTTAGGTCCCTGGATCATCTAAGGTCCAAATGCAAAATAATCTATACAAGTTTTTACTGGGGAAAAAAATCCAAGGAAAGACTACTAGCTTGAATAAAAATACACAGGATCAACTTCAAAAATAAGTAGACAGAGGCAACATGGAAAGTATGTCAATACTAATTGCAAGTAGTGTATAACCTAGTATCTTAAAAATAGTTGCACAGTGCTTGCTTCAGCAGCATATGTACTAAAACCAGAACAATACAGGGAAGATTAGCATGCCCCCTGTGCAAGGATAACTTGCACATTTAAGACTTGTTCCACATTTCTGCACAGGGCATATTTATGGCAGTGAAACTATTCTATACAATACAGTAATGAGGAATATTATGCATTTGTCGAAACCCATAGAAGTGTACAATATAGGAAACCCCAACGTAAACTACAGACTTTAGTTAATAAGTGTATCCATACTGGCTTTTCAATTGTTAACAAATGCACCATAGTAATGCAAGATGTTCACAGAACCTGTTATGAAGGGGAAGTGGGTATATGACAACTCTGTACTTTATGCACAATTTTTCTGTGAGCTTAAATTGCTCTAAAAACAAATGAAGTCTATTAAAAAAAAAAAAAAAGGCCCAATTTCAGATAATGTTAATACCCCAAACAAAACCAACAAAAAACCAAAAACCCAGTGGCATAAATTTAGGGCTCTTTCTAAGAGACCCGGGAGACAAAGTGGTAAAATACCTGCATCTTTCTGGAGAGTCTTCTCTATCTTTCCTCCGGAACTTGCTGATGGTGTCATCAATTGTGCTTCCAATTTTATCACTCAGCTCACCTAATTTATCACTGAATGGAAAAGCACTCTTGTTTTTATCCCACTCCTCATCCCATTTTGATTTGGGCTCAGGATCATATCTTTCACCTAGATAGAGCATTAAAAAAAGAAGCAATTCTAACGACATTAAATTCAAAAGGTATCTACAAGTCCTTATTTCTCAGGCTTTTCCTCATAATAAAATCATTTTCAAAGGAAAACAGAAAGCTCCCACAGTGCTGAATCAACACAATTACAGCAAGGCATAGCATGTAATGCCAGTCATTAAGTGGCAGGAATGCAGATTCAAAAGCTTTTGTTTATGAATACTTACACAACCTTAATGCACAGCACAGCATATCAGGAAATTCTTAAAGGCTACTGAAAGGAGTAGTGGAAAACACAAAACCAACACAAGCTATATAAGCAAAAGAGAAATGAAAATCTTTCTGTTTTCACAAAAGACACTTAATATGTTATATTTTATTCCTGTCCCTTAATGGTTTCCCAATTTTCAGAAAAGCATTGGATAGCAACAGTATCTTAAAAAATACAACTGAAGGAACTCCAATCTGAATGCTACATGTCCCAATAAGCTAAAAAGTCTCAATAACTGTCACGCCTCAGTATCAAACTAAAAAAATAATTCAATGAATTTTCAGGGGATGGGAAAGCATTCCGTAATTACTGTACAAAGAAAGGATTACTCTAACTACCAAAAACTACACATACTAGAATCAGGAAGTATGCTCAAACAGTAGTTCAGAACAGTGTCAACCAATTCAAACACCCATTCCAAACATATGCTGAGACTGGCGAAACCTAGAGCCTCTGTGTGAATTTGGGAATGCAGAGAATAGATCGTGGCAGTAAACAAAAAACCCAAAATGTCAAGATTTGTTTTAGTCCTTGCCCCTAGGGACCCAAAGGAGACATAGGAATTACAGACACAAAATGAAACCCTTCCATTTCCATGTCCAAATCCAACTTAAGAAGCAACAGTAGAAGGTACAGAGAGCACGTGAGGTATTTTTAAAAAAGAAAACATTAAAAATTAAGGCAGGTTGGAAGAAAATGAAAAGGACAATGAGAAACAACAAAATAACTAAAAAGTGGCTAATGGAGCTTTTGTTTTGAACTTTTGTTTACAGGATCTAAAAGGATACATAGCCTTTGGAGATTGAACAAAACGATTTTGCTGAATTGCCTCCTAAAATTGCAAGGCTAAAATTTTCTGTTACATGTTTAAGGATTTTAACATATTTACTGAATCTGGAAATGACCATCAACTTAAAGAAAACATGACAAAATGAAGTTTTCTAGACAAAATTTAAACCAGGATGGTTTTTTTAAAAAAAGTGATTTTCCAACAATGTGTATGTACATTTCAACAACAGTGTGATGAACCAGACTTCGGAAAGAAACAAATTTACACGAAAAATGGAAGTGGATGAAAACCAAACTGATTAGCATGGCATGGTGAACATCATACTGAATTACTGCTAAAGATACTGGATATTGGCAAGACATTATCTAATGTCAGAATGAAAAAACACAAAACTGGCCGGGTGCGGTGGCTCATGCCTGTAATCCCAGCACTTTGGGAGGCCAAGGTGGCTGGATCACTTGAGGTCAGGAGTTCAAGACCAGCCTGGCCAACATGGCGAAACCCTAAAAATACAAAAATTGGCGAGGCATGGTGGCTCACGCCTGTGGTCCCAGCTTCTTGGGAGGATGAGGCAGGAGAATCACTTGAACCCGGGAGGCGGAGGTTGCAGTGAGCTGAGATGGTAACACTGCACTCCAGCCTGGATGACAGAGCAAGAATCCTCAAAAAAAAAAAAAAAGAAAAGAAAAAGAAAAAACACAAAACTGCTAAGAGTGATTAGTTAAGTCTGAATAACATAAACCATGAACAATAACTTAGCAAAAGGATGTGATGCAAACACACAGGATATCCAACTCTATCTTTAATACAGATGCTGCAGTTAGTGCATTGTGACTGAGTTTGAAAACGTATTCAATTTTCTAAGTTTAGCTGATATAATTATATATCATGCTGGCAAAAAGAAAGATACAAGCAAGAATAGTGTGGAAATAAGTTTCAAATAGCAATTTCTATTAAAAACACATTAAGTTGCTACAACTACTTTGAAAAACCTGAAGAATAAAGTTACTACTTGGGTAAATAATCCAAAAACTTTGGACTTCCCCAAATAGAAACTTCAAAACATTATTTATATGCTTTAGGAGAAATATTTTTGCCCAATTCAAAAACTAACTTGTGGCCGACTCTGGTTGCACTGCCTATGAGTTAGCCCTATTTAAAAAAAAGAAAAAGAAAAAACTAACTTGTATTTGATGCTTCAATATAAAAAAGGGAATTTTTCTGCTGTTAGAAACATCCTTAAACAGCTAACTAAACGCAGTGTTTTTTCTTTGAGAGTGGGAAAGCAGAGGAATAAATGAGTAAGGATATTTTATATGTTAAGATTTTTACATGGTTCCATTGAAGGAGATATGAGAGCTCAATATAATCCAAATATAAACATATATGGGTGGGGGGAGCTGGAGAGCCTCAGTGAACAGCTGCTAAGATACACAGCACTGGCCAGTCTGCACATACACAAAATGAGCAAGAGATTGTCAGAGCTCACAGAAGACAGAACAAGTCCAAAGGGACATGCCGTGAAAGACAGTTCCTATTTTGTGTATCTGCTTCAAGCACCTATGCCCTATTTTAGAGAAACTATATTATTATATTAAAAATAAACATGAAAGATGAATGTTCTAGCTGCTCTTAAGTGTACTGGGAAGAATAAACAAAACAATAGGCCTAGATGAAAAACTGCGAGTATCGTCAGTCATCTTTTATATGTCAAAGTATGCAATGCTTAAATAAAGAAAGAGAGACTGAGGCTGGAATGACTGTCAGGAAGCTTATCTGGTTTGGGCCAAAAATACAGCTAAATTGGTTTCAAATTAGAAAGATGGATCTCCTGATCAAACTTTTTATTTTTATACTCTAAACTCTGAGTTATAGAAACTTTCTTCCCCCTTCTTTTTAAAATGGCAATCCTAAGAGGGAAGGGCATATATCTGTTTTAATCTCTGTATGACACCTCAAAATATGCAGTCATTTAATTAGCCATTAATGGTTAAAATCCTATTGCCGAACCCACAAGTTAAAAATAGGAAGATTCATGTGATAGTAGAAGTCAAGATTAGTACTGCGTGTATTTTAGTATTCTATGTATTCCTAGAAAAGAAAATTAGCATTTTGGTCTTTGGTATTTCACTGATTCTTAAAATATACTCAAGAAGCTAAGCTGATGCTTAGGTGTCAGCTTGTCTTTGATACTCACTGTATCTGAATCCTCCAACACTGTCTGAGGAAACCCCAACATACTTGTCTTTGTTCTTCTTTGCTTTCTTTCGCTCTTCACGAAGCCTGTCGTCATCCTGGGCAAATTCAACCAATTCCTTCACCTTCTGTCGAATATTTATACCTTGATCCTTACCATGCTCATCTATGAGGATGGTAAGAGATAAGCAAAACCTAAGAATTCACTTAATATGTATCAAGCTCTTTAAGATTAAAAAAAAGACACAAAAACTTCAACATAAGAAACTTCAATATTTAAAAAACAATAGAAAGGGGCAAGTTGTGCTATTTAACTTTGTCATTTCCTCTTCAGCAAATTCTAAGTTCTAAAATGGAATTTTGGCTTATAAGAGCATGTAAAGATGAACTAAAAAGGACCACAGATAATGGTACTATGCAAGGTCAATTAAAGATTGACCTAAAAAGGATTACTGATGATGACCACACAAAATAGACATATCCATAAGTGCTATTGTGTTTTTCTATCATATTTTAAGAAAACAAATCAAAAGAAGAACCACTTTAGCATGTTAATAACTGAAAAGCACACAAATGTCTTGGTTTCCCCAGTACACGTCTGGAACACTAATTATGAGGTTTTAGCATAGCTCAAAAACTGAATTTTTAAAGTGCTTACAAGTGGGGTACGCTACAAAATGAAATGTGCTTCATTTTCTAGCCTCTTTCACATTCAAAACACACTGTGGCCTTGCTGCCTTTGCACAGTAAATATTATTTGGTGGGAGGGAAAAAAACCCCAGCTTCAAACAGATGTGTGTGTTTTGGAGCTCTAACCTTTTCTTCCCATATGATTAAAGCTATTCCTTTATGGACACCACAGGGGACCAGTCTCCAGTGCATATTTTAATATAAACCCGAACACTCATGTTGTGTTGGTTCTGTTGTTATTAGCCAGTCTTTTCTGCAAGTTCTTGTCTTCACTAATTAATACTCTAGGGCCCCACGTCTTGGATTCTGCACTCGTCACACAACCAGCAACAGTCACATTCTAATTAGAGCAGAGAAGCTTCTAAGCTGGTTCAGGTGACTGACAACTCCAACTACTGTTTTAATTTGCTTATAAGGTTTTTCTATTGCTTACCTACAAAGTGGTAATTTTCCAGGGATCGTAAATCATAAATGTGTTCTCTGGCACTTGTAACAACACGCTCTGATCCATTCCTTATGAGGTAAGCTAGGAGCAGCAACGACTGCAAAAATACAAAGCAATAAATGATTTAATGAAATATATTCTAGTAGAGCTTTGGTAAATGGTTAAAAAAAATAATTCTAACATTAGCAAATAAAGAATCTTCATGCTGGTGGTGAGGTTTCTTTACATTAGACTTTAAACACATAATCTAGAACTTACATAATCAATTTGAAGTTCCTCTTATATTAAGCATGATAAATAATTATAAATCATCTACTGGATACTATGTGTCAAAGACTTAAAAGAATAACACTGATGTTCAAAATATCAGAATGCTTGATATAAATAGACAATAAGGTTTTAGAAAGCTGACTCAGTTTTTACTTTTTATCTGAGCATTATGGAACTGTGAATTGCCAGAAATTATTTGGTAATTAAACAATCCTATAGTATTTTCCCCAGATAAAATTTAATTTTGAGGTTAATTATGTGGCTTTTGTTTTAAAAGGTTGTGGCCAGGCTCAGCGGCTCATGCCTGTAACCCCAGCACTTCCTGGGAGGCCGAGGTGGGCGGATCACTTGAGGTCAGGAATTTAAGACCAGGTTGGGCAACATGGTGAAACCTCGTCTCTACTAAAAATACAAAAATTAGCTGGGCATGGTGGCCCACGCCTGTAATCTCAGCTACTGAGGTGGCTGAAGCACAAGAATCACTCGAACCCAGAAGGTGGAGGTTGCAGTGAGCTGAGCCCGCACCACTGCACTCCAGCCTCGGCGACAGAGAAACTCTGTCTCAAAAAAAAAAAAAAAAAGATTGTTACCAAAAAATAATAATTTAAACAACCTGAAGGTAGAAAATTTTGCAAAATAGACATCTTCACACATACACACACACACACACACACACACACACAAATAGCTGGGTATTGTGGCGCACACCTGTAGTCCTAGCTACTTAGGAGGTTGAGGCAGGAGGATCTCTTGAGCCCAGGAGGTCAAGACTGCAGTGAGCCAAGGGCATGCCACTGCATTCTGGCTTGGGTGACAAAGCCAGACTGTCTTAAAAACAAACAAACAACAACCAACCCCCACCCCCAAACTAAATTTTGTTAAAATGTAAATTTGGAATGACTGCTAATGGGTGTAGGGTTTCTTTACAGGGTGATAAAAATGTTCTGGAATTAGACAGTAGTTACTCCTACAAAACTTTGTGAATATACTATATAATAAATTGTACATTTTGAACTTAACAATGCTTGGAACAAACCTCACTTGATCAGGTATATGAAAATCTAGTTAGGCGGAAAGGAGGGGGTGGCAAAAACAAAAAAAATTTAGTTAGGTTGGTAAAACTGAGGGACACAAAACCTCCTTCTACCAGTAATTTACAGCCATGTGTCACTTAATGATGGGGATATGTTCTGCGTAATGTGCCATTAGGCAATTTCGTCATTGTATTAATATCATAGAGTGTACTTACACAAACCTAGATGGTATGGCCTGCTACACACTGACAATCTATAAGACAACCTATTGCTCCTTGGCTACAAACCTGTGCAGCATTGTTACTGTAATGACTACTATAGGCAGCTGTAACACAATGCTGAGTATTTTTGTATCTAAACATAGAAAAGGTACAGAACAAATAGAGTATTATAATCCAATGGGACCACTGACATATAAGCAGACCATCATTGACTAAAATGTCCTTATGTGGTATATACGACTTTTAAAAAGGAGTTTATCCAAGAATTTTTAAAAAACCAAAAAACTAAAAGCAAATTTAATTTACAGAAATTTCAATTATTTCATCACACCTACCATACAACCTGAGGGAATGACACTGAATGTTTTCAGAAAGAAATAACAACAAAAAAAATGAAACTAACACATAGATTTTCAATCCTAAAAGCCAAACTATGTCATTTTGGATAGCAAAGAAAAACATTCTGAAGAAGCAAGAAAATATGGTAGGTTATAGAAGCATAGATGACTATATTATTATAGAATTCTGCATTATATGAGATCAGAACAAAAGGAATCTGATAAAAAGTTCGTATTCATAAGTTTAAAATTAGAATTATATTTTGAACATTTTGGATACAAAATACTGTGAGAATACTATCATAAATTAGGTAAATTTCTATGTCGATGACAAACCATATCAGACTGTGGTATTCATCTTAACTGCTCATACACTAAACATGCACACTACTCTACTATAGATTCATTATTTTTGATATGCACAAACATTTTAGTAGGAAAAATTTTAAGAAATAATCAACATTTAGAAGTATTATTAAGAATTTCTCATTCAGAACAATTGTTCATGATGACTAGAAAATAGAACACAAATAACAAATCTACTTCTTTCATGTGCTTTCGATTATTCTATTCTAGGATTTAATATACTTCAAAATCACCTATGTATATACACCTTCAATTTCCAGCATTTGTTTTCAACATGTCAAGTAATTAAAGCAGACTTGTGTCCATACCTTATAAACTCTTCTCCAATTCTTTTTGTTGTCTTTTAACATTCGTGACCAAAGCATGTTCATAAGTTCTGGAAATTGTTCATACATAAATGTAGCCCTGAAAAAAGAATCATTCTTTAAGAGTCTGCAATATATTAATTTTGACAGTAGATGGCAGACTTGTTCTAATTTGGTGTTTCCCTGAAGAGTTTTTAAAAATTAATAAACTTAATTCAAAAAATTTAGAAGATATGTACTTCCTTGAAAATGTTTTCCCTATGTTTTATACACTACCTGGCACATATGTAAGCCCCACTAATTAATCAATACTTTGCAATTAATAATTAATTAAATTAATTAATATACTTTGCAAGCTCTTCATTCACTGGTACAATGGCCCAGATGTTCACAGAAAAATTTTTTTGTAACTTTCACTTCAAGTTATTTTATATGCATTTGTCAAAATTTTACATGGTGAGCTACAGTGTATCTCAAAACTTCATTAAAAAAGATACACTGTGAGTTTCTTTTTTGAGCCAAATTTTTAAGGGGAATGGATTGCATAAAACTTTCCACATTAGTATCTGAAACTCTCTACATTACTATCTGAATGATTATGCAAAATTTATATTTTGGCAGCCAAATAGTTTAAATCTGAAAGCAAATTTCATATTTCTGTGTTAAGATGCTTTGATTTTTTTCTGCACTGCTGAGTCAAATTATCACTTACTTGGCAATCTCTCCCATGAGTTGCCCAGAAGGTCCCCAAGGATCATCGTTCGTTGCCTCTCGAACCTTAGACTCGATCTCTGAATAATTCATAACAACATTGGTGCTGTAGAGGAAAAAAATGCACGCACACATGCACAAAGATTAGCATCAAAACTGAGAAACACATGAAAACTTAATAATGACACTACTGGGTGTCCTAATGAGCTACCTCTACAGGATGGGAGAGAAAACATCTTTTGTGCACAAGCTACCCCAAGGACACTATGTAACACACTTAAGTTATCTTTAAGCAGATTTTACTATACCATTAGCCTTCAAGAATACAGATGAGAGATTACATTAGAGCTGGCATTAAGTCCAGTAAAAAATGGCTGAAGGTCAAATTAAAAAAAACAAAAACAAAAACTGAACATGCTGGAGTCTATTATAAAACTAAGTTGTCAGTTTCTTGACCAGATCTGGTTTACATGCAATGCAGGCTTATGTTTCCTGCTTATAGAAATTCTATAAATTAGGCAAAATTATGTAACAGCTGAACAGTATCTATATCACATTTTTAAAAGAATAAATCAAAGATATCTACAGATGTTTAGAACCACTATAAACACTGAACTGTGATCCTTGAGTCTTTTTTCATTTACTCTATCATATGCACTTCTATGTCATATATTCACTGTAACCCTCACTTTTACTGGCTGCATAATATTCCATCAGGAGATTGTACGATGGACACTTAACTTTCCCTTAGGTCTTCAGCAATGATCAAGAACGTGGGCCTCAGGAGTCAGAAAGATCTGATTCCAATCACTTACTATGTGACCTTTGACAAAATTATTTTAATTATCTTAATCTCAGTTTCCTCAACCAATAAATAAGAATACTACCTCAAAGGCTAGCACAGCAAATGGTGTTTATTTAGCACAGTGTCTGACATATAGAAAGTACTCAATATATGTTAGCTATTATTACTATCAAATATAATAACCAACACCAGCCTGGGCAACACAGTGAGACCTGGTCTCTAAAAAAAAAAAAAAAAAAAAAAAAATTAAAAATTAGCCAGACATGTTGGCATGCACCTGTAGTCCCAGCTACTAGGGAGGCTGAGGTGGGAAGATTGTTTGATTCCAGTAGGTCAAGGCTTCAGGGAGCCATGACCGCCCAACTGTACCCCAGCCTGGGCAATACAGCAAGACCCTGTCTCCAAAAAACAAAAGGAAATATATATAAAATAACCATCTATTAGGAGTATTTCAAAACATTATGTAATATTTTTATATGAAAGAATTCACTTCGGAAAAAATCAGATTAAGACATGAGATGGCAAAATATTTGGTTAAAATGGAATTTCTCATGCTTATATGAATTTAAGAATTCAAAGACATTTTGAGAATAAAGACTGCAAAAATGTGACATCCTATAGTAGTATTCATTTGACATCGAAAGCTCCAATTATTACCAAATAATTGTTATAACAGGTGTCTGTGAATATGGTAATTCAATTCTTCCACTTAGCATTAAGTCTTAGAAATAGTGAAAAATCAGAATTTGGTTAACTATTACATGCATATACCCCACTTTTGCTATATGGTTTTTCAGTCATCAAAAACTTCTATTTTTAAAATAAGGAAGGTTTGGTTGAAATTGGCACTCAAATCTCTTAAATATAAATTTCAAATTTATTACAAACACTTCAATTTCTTCATGTTTAAAGAACAAACCAACAAACAGGTTTGGGTCAAATTTTAAAGGAACAATTATGCATTTAAGTGTGACTTGCCAAAAAACTGAATCAATCTGGCTTTCAGATTTAAATTCAGAACACTGTTCTACTATGGAAGAAAAGCAAAATCCTATTATTTTCTTTCAAATCTTGGAGAAAGCTGCCTCCTAAGATATCAATTAATGTGACAAAATAAATATAAATTCCTTCCCCAGGACTAAAATAAATCCACAATCTCCACTGCCCACCCCCCCTTAAAAATGTTAAGACCACTAAGGAATACATTTTCGTTAAAATCCAGTAATGCTTCTATTGCAACAGTTTTATGTATAAATGTAGAAGAACAATTTTCCTCCTAATTTTATCAACCATGGAACCAAAATAAAACTAAGGCAGCCAATAACAGATTCACAATTTAAGATGCCACAAAATGATGAATTTCAGAATGCTTTTGTTTATCCTGGTGGCTGAAGAATGCGTGGCTTAGGCAGTTAAAAGTGTCAAAATGCAGCTGTGAAAATGAACAATAGCAATTAGGATTATAATTCACCCAAGCATTTCATTACCAAGAATGCACTTGAAATCTCTTTGCATTGTTTAATTTGTTGGAGAACAAGATGAAAGAAGTTAATCTCCAGTCCATGTACATGAAATATTTTTACCAGAGCCTTCATAAATGCTGTAGATTTCAGAACACTGCTTTCCTTGTTCAAGCGACAAAGGCCCATGGGTCAAATAAGAAAGGTTCTGTTTCCGTAACCCTTCACAAGATTCTTAGCTGAAGGCCTGTGTGAGTGCTGTGTTTAGAGGGAGAGGTGGCAGAGAGCCAATAATCTAAGAATCTCCTCATTTCTTTGGTTGAAAAACAATGGGAGCCATCAGAACATACTTACAATATAGTTATTAAGTATATCCACAGGAGGATATGGCAAACATAAAACAAAAAAATAACAGAACGCTTACACAAAGAAACCAGATCTATTAGAAGTTATTTTCCAGGCCAGGTGCAGTGGCTCCTATCTGTAATCCCCAGCACTTTGGGAGGATGAGGCAGGTGGATTGCTTGAGCCTAGAAGTTCGATACCAGCCTGGCCAACATGGCAAAACTCCATCACTACAAAAAATACAAAAATTTGCTGGGCGTGGTAGCGTGTACCTGTGGTCCCAGCTTCTCAGGACGCTGAGGTGGGAGGACTGCATAAGCCCAGGAGGTTGAGGCTACAGAGAACAAGACCCTGTCTCCCACTCCCCTCCCCCAAAAAAAGCTATTTTCCAATGAAGCTGTTGCTTTCAGAAACTGCAAAGAACCCCCTCAAGATGAGATTTGATGGCATAAAGAATTCCAAGACAAAGTATTTTAAGCTTCAACTAATTCAGAAACAAATGTAAACTAAAAACAACACTGTATGGTTTGGCCTTATTCCAGGTCATTTAAAAATAACTATTTCTAAAAAGGTAGAAATGGCATTTTAATCCTTCCTTTCTCATGTTTTCTACTGCCCTCAATCTATGCCCTACCCATAATTCCAGTGACCTTTTTTAAAAAAGAAAACAATCCCTCCGTGTTAAAAATAAAAATAAAAATTATGTCCAGATTTGAAAGGAAAAAAATGGCTAGTTTAATTCTGAAAACTTCTGACACAAATGTTTTAAGAATATATCACAGACGCTAGAGGGGGCACTCTCAACGGTTTCTTAAACACACACACAACAATCCAGACAAAGGTCTAGAATTTGATCTGCAAACAAAATTACAGAAAAAGACACCGCCCCTCCCCAATAAATTTCATACCATTTAAACTAACACTACAGTCAAACAAGTGACTTACGGACTTTCACCAATCCTAAATTGAGATTCCTAACTTGAAATTTTAAAAAATTATCTCTTTACACTTAGTTGTTGTTTTTTTTAAAGTACCGGCAACCATTATTATGACCTTCTGTTGAAGGCTCAAAGTCTTTGGATACAGGCTTTTCTACTTACATTTCCTTTCATGTAATTATCATTATAACACTTAAAGGTAACCAAGAATACTTTGATAACACCAAAAAAATTTTCTGTATATTATTTTAAACCAGTCTGACAGTAATACCAAAAGAAAACTTGACCCACAAAATATCTAATGATTTTTAACATTTCTGCTGTCACCATCAATAACTACCTTTTATTTCCAGATTTTTATCTGTATTTAATTTCTGCAAACATAAACAGACATGAGATGTAATAATGGAGGGAAAGTAAAAGAAGAAAAATAACTTTAAGAAATGCTGCTGTTTCACAAGAGAACATAAACCAGGAAAAAAAATGTTGCTGTAATTTTTACATTTCTTCACTAGTTTAAATAGTATCTGTAATTTTCAGAACAATCTAATAGTCACCAGAAAGTACAAAATGAGCCCTTCTCACATGTGTTCTATCTAGGCTTACTCAACATATTAACTTTCTCTTTGCTTAAAACAAGAGTCTTGAAAATGAGTGACTTGAAGAGTAGGTTTCTCTGTCCTGATAAAGATAGGTAATTACTAGGATCACACTGTTTAAATGTAACAGTTACAACTACTGGGTAGTTCAGCAGTATAACTGGCTAACAATACCAAATCTTAACGGACTCTAATATTAGGCCAAAAAGAAAGTTAAGAGAGGGAATGAAAGATGGAAGGAATCACCAAAGAATGAAGAATACAAGAATAAAATCCATAGACACAATCATTATTGTTTATGAAACTGTTTGTTGTTTCCAAAGTGCTTTTACTCATTTTCACATTTGCTTCTCAGAACACTCCAGCAACTTCACTCTGCACAACTCAGCAACACTGACTCACTAGATCTTTAGTGCCAACTGCGAGAAGTTACCATCCTCAAGTTTTGCACACATGCTTTGATATGGTTTGGCTGTGTCCCCACCCAAATCTCATCTTGAATTGTACTCTCATAATTCCCACGTGTTGTGGGAGGGACCTGTTGGGAGATAATTTGAATCATGAGGGCGGTTTCCCTCATACTGTTCTAGTGGTAGTGAGTAAGTCTCACAAGATTTGATGGTCTTTTTTTTTTTTTTATACTTTAAGTTCTAGGGTACATGTGCACAACGTGCAGGTGTATACATGTGCCATGTTTGTATGCTGCAACCGTTAACTCGTCATTTACATGAGGCATATGTAATGCTATCCCTCCCAAGATCTCATGGTCTTATCAGGGGTTTCTGCTTTTGCCTCTTCCTCATTTTCCCTTGCTGCTGCCATGTAAAAAGTGCCTTTCACCTCCCGCCATGATTCTGGGGCCTCCCCAGCCATGTGGAACTGTGTCCAATTAAACCTCTTTTTCTTCCCAGTCTTGGGTATGCCTTTATCAGCAGCATGAAAATGGACTAACACATGCTTCTAGAGCTATGTAAACACAGCCAGTATTCAGTTAGTCAAGGGTCAACTATTCAGTTTGTAAATTATTAGTGTTCATCGTAGCCCTCCTCTTTATTCTCCATTTTCTGCTTATTTGACTACTTGACATTCAGATAATATCAAATTATTTTACTTGGTAAGTTTCAGTCCAGTTTTTAGAGGTAGAATTGATTAAAAGCTAAAATGAGGCTTTTACTTACAGGCAGTCAATACTTCTTATCTACATTAAGAATCATCAGTAAAATAATTAACAAGAAAAAACTTGAGCAGTCCTTGTTGGTATTTTTTCCTCTTAAAAGTTCAAGAATATGCTTTGCTAAAACAAAACTATACACCAAGAGAAAAGGTAAAGTATAGGTATAATGTGGTACTAACTGCTAACAAAGGAATAAGGAGTAAAGTGAAACAGATTGAGAAGTATTTTTCCCAGTTTGCCTTTTAAATTTTATTCCTTTAAAAAAAAACTGAAGTCAAATGAATCTATATTTTTTATATGGTTTCTCTTTGTTTTAAGCTTATTGTCAAGATTTCACTCATCCTGAGATCAGGCAATCTTTTATTTGAGACCTCTAAATGTGTTCTGACGTACGCATGCATACACACACCCATACTAAGATAATTTAAAAGACAGAAACATCTGGAGACAGAAATAAACATAACTTAGTTCCAAGCAACAGTTTTAAATAATGTTTTTCTTTATATTAATACTCTCCTGTATTTTCCAAATTTTTTCAAAGTATTATATTGTAACCAAGGTTAAACTACTAAAGGCCATTAAAAATATAAGTACTGTATCATCATTAGCTACATTTTAACTATTTATAGGCAAGTAAACATCATGGTAGACCACATGAATATTATCTGTACTTCCAATATCTTGTTTTATCAGGTTAATAAGTGCAGCAAACAGTAACTAAAATATATACATACAGACTAAAATATGTACACCAAGTGCTATGTATGCAAAACCACAGAGAACAATTTAAGTACCCAATTTTGGAATTAATATGATTTTTTAAAACTGTTAGGGATGAATAATTCTTGACATCAAAATCTGTATTTAAAAGTCACCTTTTATCCTCAATGCCACAAAGGTTTCAGAAAAGATACTTTTATAAATTAAATGCTCTTATTAAGTATAAATCTTCTTAATAATTTTTTTAACATAAAACACCCATAAAATTAACATTGTAGAATAGGGGTACCCAACCCCCGGAGTTGCGGACCGGCCTGTTGGGAATGGGGCTGCATGGCAGGACATGAGCAGTGGCGAGCGAGCGTCACTGCCTGAGCTCTGCCTCCTGTCAGATCAGTGGTGGCCTTAGGAGCGTGAACCCTGTTGTGAACTGTGCATGTGAGGGACCTAGGCTGTGTACTCCTTATGAGAATCTAATGCCTGATGGTCTGAGATGGAACAGTTTCATCCGGAAACTATCCTCCCCAACCCCTGGTCTGTGCAAAAATTGTCTTCCACAAAACTGATCCCTGGTGCCAAAAAGGTTAGAGACCACTGCTGCAGAAGACAGTTTCCTCAGGTAACAAAAGTCTTAAACCAGAAACATTTGGTCTTTCTTTTTATGTTTCCATCCATAACATTAGATAAATAGTTTTAAGAATAACTCTAGAAGCTAGATAATGAACCTTGTGATATTCATTTTTTATCAGGGGATAGCCTCCACCACATTACCCTTGTTTGCAAGTTGAACATTTTATAGGTTCAATACTCGTATTTTAATATCAAGTTATATTTCATTACAGTCCTGTGAACAGTATCAAATGTACTGTCAACGGCCAAGAAGCCTACTATTCCTAAATTCAACAGGTAGATTACTTTCATTGTTAACGAAATATCTGAGGCTCTATAGAAATGATGTGGGGAGGTGGAAAAACTCATTCGTCCACATGGTGGGATATTCACCACCCATCAGAAAAAAAAGTCTCTCACTGATCTGCAAATGAAAATGAAATACAATGCAATGAAAAAGTCTTAACACAAGCGACAACATAGCGCAGTAGAAGAGATAATTTTGCTATAGTAAACATGTTATAAAATAGCCATGCTGTTAAAGCAATAATAAACCATAGTACTCCCTCCATATTGCAAGAATTCCAATAAAATAAAGTTTGGAAAAGTACAGAAGAAACAAATATCACAATCCTGGACACTTCCTCTAAAGAAACTCACTCCAAATCCCACAACTAGTAAATGGCATATTTAAAAACTATTAGGTCTTTTAATTCCAAAGCCCATTTTCTATTATGTCACACTGTACTAAAATCATAGAATATAATCTGGTCTAAGATGACATCAAATGTAGCATCACAAATTATGCTACAGAAGAGCTATATGCCAAATAAATATTTAAAAAGATATATTCTCAGTCATGGAAATTACATTTTCTTTGGTTTTAGTAAATATTAAATACAAATCATCTAACTGAAAGGGAGGAAACTGATGTCTCTCCTCTTAAACATGTACTTTTAAAAGTAAAGAAAATACCAGTTTGATTAGGGAAAAACTGAAATCAGAGACATCTAAAATCTGAAGCTCTCTTACCCATTCTGCAATAACAAGATTTCGGAAAAGAGTAACCTAGTTATTAATACTTAAAACATATAACCTATTCAATCCAATGATATCATATGTATATGGGATGCATATTATTTATGGCTTCAACTATGTACACAAATGACTATGCTGGATTATGCATCTTCTGTTTTCCTCTTTACTTTTCAAGAGGGAACTCTAAATTTCTAAATGCTGAAACACAAAACTTTGCTTTTAAAAATAACCATCAGGAATTTGCACAAAAATATTATACCCTATCTTTTAGCTTTCTCAGTCAAAAAAAAATTACGATCAAATGAGTAAAAAGCAGCTTACTACCAGGCTTTGAAGGAGGAGGGGAGCCCCATAATACTTTTTAAATCTATTTAAAATAATTCTGGATACTCAAAGATCAAGTTAGTTACTATAACTGAGAACCTAAAATACCTTTAAAACATGGCAAACTGCCTAAGTCCAAACTCTAGCTGCCTGTTCGTATGAGATTAAAATTACAGAAAATGCTGTCTTAATGTTCAAAAACACCACTTCCAATTTTTTCCTCCTGACATGATGTAAGACCATAGAAACTGGTATAACTATTTTTAAAATTATAATTAAGTTGTCAGAAAATTAAGGACTGTATTCTTTTTTTAAACCAATGCTACTCTCACATCAATTCTACTTCCAAATTCTTTGTTTCATTCTGACTAATGCTGGCCTTCAATTTCAATAATCGTTGAATCCAGTATTATCATGAAGGCAGAGAAATGAACCACAGAATTGTAATCACTCTTGGTGTTTTAATACTACTGAACATTGCTGATTGATATGGCTGAATATTCTTGTAACCTTAATTCAAATTTTTACACTGTATTTGTACTACTTATAGATAAAATAGATAAATATTATGGAACTGTTTTATATGTAAGTGTTTTTCAGTTTGAGGAAGAAGGGAGAGGAGGAAGGGGGAGCAAGTGAAACACCAAACAATACTCTGCAAGTAGGAAAATTCAAAAAGCTGTAAGAACTCCTAACATTCTCGGAAGATTAAAGACCCTTGTGTGTATCTTCAAAATTATGAAAATGGAAATGTCTGTACAGACTGTTAACAATCTCCCACATTTATCCATAAATTAAAGATCCTGTGCTTATCCTCACCACCGGATAATGAATACATATCGTCACCAAAGTCTTATTTCTCAGGTAAACTTTTGCATAGCAGAACACTTCATAAATTTACTGATTCTACATAGATTTGACTGTGTCATCAATCCAAGCTATTGCCAAAGTTGATGTGTTCCTCTCTAAATATATGTAAAGTATTTATTTTCTGTCCATGAATTATCATTTTCTTAGACTCTATCACATTAACTACCAGCACAAGAGGCTGGCTTTCAGTCATTTTTTTTTTTTTAATACAGAAATAATTTGGTACCACAGCCTCAAAGCTGGAGAACAAAGCTAAGCTGTGAGGTGGATGTGAGGGACTGGTTTAGCCAAGTGACATGTTTCCATACATGCATGTGAGATCATAACAAAATTATAAATTTCCTGTGTCAAACCTTCCAGATGTTTTAAAAAGTCAAAACTTTGTACAGAAAAATCTATCAAAAACTTATTGTATTTCACAAAGAATGGTTTCATAGCAGGAAATGTAACGCAAGAAATTTAATCTGAGCAATTTGATGAGTAGCTGACATTAACCTATTTATACCATACTTTCCCTTCTAATCTCTAAGAATATCCAGTACAGATTGTCAGTATTATAAATAGTCTTTATCTAAAAATTTCAAGCTTAAAAACCAGTTTCCAAATCCTGACAACTGCAAACTGTACATTTAGGAAATACATGGTAACTTGCTTACAGAAGAGTTTACCTAACATTCCAAGAAAATTTCCAGTATTGGTTCAATTAATAGTTTGGATGGGGCAAAATTAACCAGACTCACATCTAAAATTTCTGAGATTTCTAACAACCAATATGTCTGTCCTAAAATATAGCTAGCAGAATAAATCTTAAAATTTTTTTTCCAAAAGCAAGCCACATAAAATAATTATTTTATGAAAAATTCAAGGTCAGAAAAGATTACCTAATACGAATAATCACTAAAGAAGTCAACACTCCAAGTTTAGTTTCAAACGACAATCTGTCGGACTAAAATGTCTATATAAGAGGATAATTGAAAAGATAGGAACTTATAGAAGCAAGGACTAAAATAACCCATTTTATATAAAAGGTCATTAAATGTTTATAGTCCAACATAAAGTCTTTTGGGAAACACCCAAAACCATATAATAATTTTAATGCCTCAAAAAATATAGGGACTGATCCAAAACAAAAAAAATATTTAAACCAGGATAGTGGTGGGATTTCTGCCCCTTAAAGTCTGTCATTTAATTCTTCTTCCCCAAAAGCAACAACTCTTGATCGCTATTAAACATGACTTAAACTGGCAACTTTTCAAGGAAATAGTTTAGTAATTTATGTAACAGATGTGCAAAGAAAACTACACGAATGCGATAAGCCAAGAAAAACATCCTGATGTCCATAACTAAATTATGACCTGTGGGAGGAAGAAACTATGAAACTATTTCCCCTTCCTTACAACTTCAGTGGTTACCAATACCAAATTTTCAGATTTTGCCCATTTTCAGATATTAAAATGAACCTAGACCCCAGAAACTGTTCCAAAAGACAAGGCCATGCTAAAGGAAAATATTGCACACTTATGTATTTTTCATCAACTGCTTCATCTTTTATGGCTATTTTGTGGCAAATGCAAAGTAATATTGTATATTAGTTGATCAATAATTTTTTAGAGATTATTAGGGCCTGAATTTTGTCTCTGGCATATACTACCTGATCCCTGGACACATCAACCACTGTGTGACTCTGCTTCCTCATCTGAAAGGTACCTATGTATTATTATCATTATGGAGATTAAATGAAATGACATGTGTAAAGCATTCAGTTTTCTGTTATTATTTATTATGTTGTATATGGAAGCCCTTCTACTCCCTCTCTAGCACAGGTGCTGCTGCTATTATGACCTGGGCAGATGACAGGCTTACAGAAAAACTGTCTCAAGACAGGCTAGTCCCACAATGCTAAGGCGTTTTTATTTTCCAGAGAGGCACTCTAGCAGCAGTAAGACTGCTGGAGGGGCTGTTTTGTGGCTAGCAAAAGTGAAAAATTGTGACGTTAAGGGAAGTAGGATGAAAAATAGCTTCCAAAATGTGGCAGCAATGGTACTTGGAACAATGTAAGCAACAGAGCAGGCAGAGGCAGTCACCACTAGAAAATTCCTTTCCTTCCATGGCCATAGAAGAAGAAGCCTCATAACACAAAAGTATATGAACGCTAACAACTATATAAAAACACATGTACATGTGAGCAAAGCCCGGAAGAACCAAAAAAACCATATGAAAACAGCTGTGTTAGAGTGGTAATAACTAGAGTGGGTTGAAGGGGGAGCATCTGTTTAAAAATTTAAAAATATTTTTAATTTATACAACTTTAAAACTGACTTTTTAAAAGAAAACTAAAATAGCACTTGTAGTAAAACTTCTCTCAAATTGCTAAAGAAGTATCCCTGGGCTGATTTAATTTTGCTGGGGATCACCCCTAACTCCCCTGACTCAGCAGTCTGTATTCTATCAGTGCACCACCTGCATAGATAAAAACTAAAAAGGGCCGGGCACGGTGGCTCACACCTGTAATCCCAGCACTTTGAGAGGCCGAGGCAGGCAGATCACTTGAGATCAGGAGTTCGAGACCAGCCTGGCCAATATGGTGAAACTCTGTCTCTACTTAAAAAAAAAAAAAAAAAAAAAAAAATTAGCTGAGCATGGTGGTGTGCTCTTGTAGTCCCAGCTACTCAGGAGGCTGAGGCAAGAGAATTGGTTGAACCCGGGAAGCGGAGGTTGCAGTGAGTGGAGATCACACCATTGCACTCCAGCCTGGGCATGGAAGCGAGACTCTGCCTCAAACAACAACAACAGCAACAACAACAACAACAAAAAACACTAAAAAGACAGCTTTGGGTGGAGGAAGGGCCAGAAGGTAAGGGTGTCAAGTTGCTCTCTGCCCCTAGGCTAGCTGTGGAACACTGTGCCCTCAACAGGAAAGACTGGGAATGACAGCCCCAACTCAAACTATTTCTATTTCCAGCTGATTTCTCTTATTATGTTTCTTTAAAACTTCCAAGATTTTCATTTTTAATTTTTTTAAAACAGTAGTCTAAATGATGTTTTGTGAAAAATACTTTGCCTGGAAGATATAATAGGTGCTATGTCAAAAAAGGGTTCCAGGGAAGGTCTGAAAAATGTTTAAACAAGGGCAACTTTATTCATGTAACACTTCTCAGAGACTATTATTTTAATGGTGCATTGTGAGTCTCCAAGAGAGATAATGCACTTTTTTTTGAGACAGTCTCGTTCCAATTGCCCAGGCTGGAGTGCAGTGGTGTGATTTTTCAGCTCACTGCAGCCTCAACCTCCCTGGGCTCAGGAGATTCTGCCACCTCAGCCTCCCAGGTACCTGGGACTATAGGTGCACGCCACCACACCCAGCTATTTTTTTTTTTTTTTTTTTTTTTTGTATTTTTAGTAAAGACAGGGTTTCGTCATGTTGCCTAGGCTGGTCTCAAACTCCTGGACTCAAGCGATCTGCCCACCTCAGCCCTCCCAAAGTGCTGGGACTACAGGCGTGAGCCACTGTGCCCCGCCAATATTAAACATTTCTAAAACTTTTGTGACAACTTATCCTTTTCCTGGAACATCTTGTTAGTATCCCAAGAAACTCATTTTGGTATATGCTATTCTAAAAAATTGCCCTTTTCTTCTTTCTTTAGAGACAGGGTCTTGCTCTGTCACTCAGGCTGGAGTGCAGTGGTGCGATGATGCCTGACTACAGTCTTGACCTCCCAGGCTCAAGCGATCCTCTCACATCAGCCTTCCAAGTAGCTGGGACTACAGATGCATGCCACCACGCCAGTTAGTTTTTATATTTTTTGTAGAGATGGGGTTTCGCCATGTTGCCTAGGCTGGTCTCGAACTCCTGGGCTCAAGTGATCCACCCACCTCTGCCTTCCAAAGTGCTGGGATTACAGGCATCATCCACTGCAACCAGTCGTCCTTTTCTTCAAACTTCCAAAAATATTTTTAGTTTATACTTTCATCTTGCCATTCTTGTTTTTGGTATCTGTTATTTCTTATTTTTTACCTAATGAATAGGTTTTCCTTTAGTCTTTTATTTTTAAGTTTTAATATTCTTGTTAGGTAGCTTTCGGCCTCTTATTTTGCCTTAAATCTCATTTTTTAAAACTCGTTTTTTACTGTTAATCTTAGTTTCCTACCTTGCTTATTTTCAACATCATCTGCTTTATTCTTTTCGTAAGAGTAAATGCTTCACACTGCTTTTTAAAAATACTGTACTTCAAAAACATGGGTTTTTGTTGGGTTTAAACAAAATACCTAAGGGCTGGCAAGATGGTTCACGGCTGTAATCCCAGCACTTTGGGAGGCCAAGGTGGGGCGACTGCTTGAGCCCAGGTGTTCAAGACCAGCCTGGGCAATATAGAGAGACCTTGTCTCTACACACACACTCCCCCTCCCACTCTCCCTGCCCCTCCCTCTCTCTCCCTCTCTCTCTCTCTCTCTCTCTCTCTCTCTCTCTCTCTCTATATATATATATATATATAGAAACACATTTAAGCCTGGGCAACAGAGTGAGACCTCCATCTCTACAAAAGATTTCTAAAAATTAGCCAGGCGTGGTAGGACACACCTGTAGTCCCAGCTACTGGAGGTGAGGGTGGAGGGTGGGGCTGAGGTGGAAAGACTGCTTGGGCCTGGGAGGTTGAGGCTGCAGTGAGACATGATAGTGCCACTACACTCCAGACTAGATGACAGAACAAGACCCTGTCTCAAAAAAACAAACAAACAAAAAAAAGTTTAAACTTTATTGTAATCCTTTCAAAATTCTCACTTGTTTTTAGCTTTTAGTTTTAATTTCTTAATAACCCTCATTTAATAACCTTATGTTAAACAGCTTTCTTTTTTCTTCGTGTTTTACTTTTTTTTTTTTTTTGAGATGGAGTCTCCCTCTGTTGCCCAGGCTGGAGTGCAGTGGCAGGATCTTGGCTCACCGCAACCTCCGCCTCCCAGGTTCAAGCAATTCTCCTGCCTCAGCCTCTGCGAGTAGCTGGGACTACAGGCGCATGCCACCCTGCCCAGCTAATTTTTTTTGTATTTTCAGTAAAGACAAGGTTTCACCATGTTGGCTAGGCTGGTCTCAAACTCTTGACCTCAGGGATCTGGCCTTGGCCTCCCTAAGTGCTGGGATTACAGGCATGAGCCACCGTGCCCGGCCTTACTTATAACACATAGCAGGACAAAGAAACAACAAAAAGCACAATAAAAAAGATGGATGATCTCTCACTCTCACACCAGCAGCTACTTCTTTGGGTCCCCTCATAAAGAGGTAACATTGTTCATAGGGGCCAATTAAATATGTATAGGATATAGGAGATAATAAAAATAAACTAGCTTTATCAAGTCCCAAGAGTGAAAATATCCTTTTTTTTTTTTTTTTTTTTTAAGACAGTCTTGCTCTGTCGCCAGGCTGGAGTGCAGTGGCACAATCTTGGCTCACTGCAACCTCCACCTCCCAGGTTCAAGCGATTCCCATCTTACTCTCCTGAGTAGCTGGGACTACAGGCGTACACCACCATGTCCAGCTAATTTTTGTATTTGTAGTAGAGACGGGGTTGCACCACGTTGGCCGGGATGGTCTTGATCTCCTGACCTCATGATCCACCCCCGCCCACCTCGGCCTCCCAAAGTGCTGGGATTACAAGCGTGAGCCAGTGCGCCAGGCCACTGTTTTTTAAGACAGAGTCTCGCACTGTCCCCCAAGCTGGAGTGCAGTGGTAGGATCTCGGCTCGCTGCAGTCTCCACCTCCCAAATTCAAGCGACTCTTGTACCTCAGCCTCCAGAGTAGCTGGGGTTACAGGCACGTGCTGCCACGCGAATTTTTGTATTTTTAGTAGAAATGCGGTTTTGCCATGTTGGCCAGGATGGTCTTGAACTCTTGACCTCAAGTCATCTGCCCCCCTCAGCCTCCCAAAGTGCTGGGATTATAGGCTTGAGCCACAGCGCCCAGCCAGAGCTGCTTTTTACAATATTACTTTCTATGTATATTTGAGAAGTAAATAAAGGTAAATTTGAGAAGTAAATAAAGGTAGTTTCACTACTTTTTGTCCTGAAAAATGATCTCAGGGGCATATCATAAAGCTGAGCAGGCTGCAAGCTGTCACTGGGATATTTGATACCATCTTTGGGGAACTATTTGTTTGGTGTCTACTTCCCATTACTTTCCCACACCTGTTAGTTCTGCACTTAAGAATACTGACACTTCTAGCTGAGATTCCTACAAAAGCCATTTAACTATCTCTCCACTTCTGAGGTATCTTCTTTTCATTCATCTTCTACATGACCACATTAATCTTTCTAATATTTAGTGTTGGCCATGTTAGTGCACCACAAATTCATCACTACTTTCCCTCAAACATTTTCCTCCTACTGTATCAGTGGACAGTACCATCCAAGGTTATGGCTTGAGCAACACTTGAGAGATTACTTCTCTCCCTTCCTCCCACTGAATATCCAATCTACTCCCAGGTCTTTGCAATTCTATTCCCTAGGTACCTCTCAAATATGACTGTCCACTTCTCCCTACCCACACCAATACTACCTTAATCTAGGGTCACCACTATTTTTCACCTGGATTATTGGGAACAGCTTTGTAACTAGTCTCTCTACTTCGACTCATCTTCTACCAGACTAGGGCCAAAGAGAGCTCTTGATGAAATACAAATCCTTACTAATTGAAACTGAGCTCCTATTTTAAATCTAGTAAAGGCTTCCTTATTGCCTTTAAGCAGAAGTCCAGGCCAGGCGCGGTGGCTCACTCCTGTAATTCCGGCACTGGGGCAGGCCAAGGCAGGCAGATCACTTGAGGTCAGGAAATCGAGACCAGCCTGGCCAACACGGTGAAACCCTGTCTCTACTAAAAATACAAAAATTAGCCCGGCGTGGTGGCACATGACTGTAATCCCAGCTATCTGGGAAGCTGAGGCAGGAGAATAGCTTGAACCTGGTAGGTGGAGGCTGCCATGAGCCGAGATCATGCCAATGCACTTCAGCCTGGGTGACAGAGAGAAACTCTGTCTCAAAAAAAAAAAAAGGAGGAAGTTCAAAATCCTTAACAAGATATAAAAGGTCCTTCATATGAGATACCAGTTTACTTCTTCAGTCCCATTCATGTGTCATTCTCTCCTGAAGAATAGGCCTTTTGCACAGGCTATTCTCTCTGTCCCTGCTCTCCAGCTAACTCCACCTGATCATCAGGTCTTATAGCTTGAATGCCACTTCCTCCAAGAAACCTTCCTTAACTCCCAAAACAGTTGGGAGTCTGTGTACACGCTCTTCATAGCACCCTTTGCTTTCTACTACCTAGAATTACAACTAAAACCAGTGTATCAGACCGGTGTGGCAGCTCACACCTGCAATCCCAGCACTTTGGGAGGCTGAGGTGGATCACTTGAGCCTCAGGAGTTCTGAACCAGCCTGGGCAACATGGTGAATCCTCATCTTTACAAAAAAATACAAAAATTATCCAGGCAAGGTGGTGTGCACCTGCAGTCCCAGCTACTCAGGAGGCTGAGGTGGGAGGATCACTTGAACACAAGGAGGTCAAGGCTGCAGTGGGCCGTGATCGTGCCACTGCACTTCAGCCTGGGTGACAGAGTGAGACCCTGCCTCAAAAAACAAAAACAGTGTATTGTAACAGGCATGTTTGTTTATTTACCCGTCTCCCCCTCTGGATTCCATACACCTGGGGACACAAAATAATCTTGCTCTCTTAAAGAGCTCCAGTTCTGGCCAGGCACGGAGGCTCATACCTGTAATCCTAGCACTTTGGGAGGCCAAGGCAAGCGGATTGCCTAGGCAAGCGGATTGCCTAAGCTCAGTTCAGGAGTTCGAGACCAGCCTGGGCAACATGGTGAAACCCCATCTCTACTAAAATACAAAAAAAGTTAGCCAGGCATGGCAGTGTGCACCTGTAGCCCCAGCTACGCAGGAGGCTGAGGTAGGAGAATTGCTTGAACCGGGAGGCAGAGGTTGCAGTAAGCCGAGACTGCGCCACTGCGCCACCGCACTCCAGCCTGGGCAACAGAGCGATTAAAAAAAAAAAAACCTCCAGTTCCTGGATCAGTCTTGGTGACAGCAGATGTTCTGTTACTCTGTTCTGAGTAACAGAACAAAGGGACAAAAATTCTTAAATAGCTTCTTTAGGACTATAAAAAAAAGTCCTAATTGAACTGGTAATCAGAACCTGCATGATCAGGCCTCAACTTACCTATCTAGCCTTTTCTCTCATTCCCTCTGTTTCGTTTCCTTTATGGGATGATTACACTGCTTTACTAGCTGATTAGCATTACTGCCTTAACAATATGCCCTTTACTTTCTTATCTCAGTGACTCTATGTGCTTCCAGAATCCCCACCTCTTTTCAAACCTAGTTTTCAACAAAGATGCAAAAATGAAGCCTTCCTGTTCTTTCCAACCCATAATTTCCCCCTTCCTTTGATCAAATCCAACATTACATTTTTAAACTCTTATGTATTATATTCTGCCTGTACAATGGCTATGTATGAATTTATTTTAATTACCTTAATATATTGTCAGTTTTAAAAAAGCAAATAGAGTTGATCCTCTTTATTTATGGACTCCATATACGCAAATTTGCCTACTCACTAAAATGTAACCTCAAAATCTGTATTCACGGTGCTTTCATGTTCATGAACATTAGCAGAGGAGCAAAAAACGTGAGTTGTCCAGAGCACACATTCCCATCCGAGGTCAAACAAGCTGACACTTTGCCTTCTTGTTTCAGTTCTCAAACCATAAACAAGGGTCCTTTCTATAATCTATTTGGTGCAACGTATTTCACACTTTTATGCTTTACACGTTGGCAATTTCGCTGTTTAAAATGGCCCTGAGCATAGTGTTCAAGTGCTATGTAGTGCTCCTAAACACAGGAAGATTGTGATATGCCTTACAGGAAAAAAATGCGTGTGAGATAAGCCCTGTTCAGACATCAGTTATAGTGCTGTTGGCAGTGAGTTCAATGTTAATAAATCAGCAATTTTTTTATATATTAAAAAAGATGTCTTTAAATAAAAACACACATAAAAAACAAAGTGACGTACTGACTGGCTAAAGAAAATGTCACCAGAGGCTCAAAGGAACCTACCCCTGTGTTTTCCCCTAGGAGCAATGGTTCTGCTTAAGGCGACTTTATAAAACATAGCTACCTCATATAACCAGAACTGACTACACTATATCTTATGCAGTTTTCTTTCCCTCTCGGTGCCTAACAACGAATGTCTAACATAAGATGGCTTGTGAAAAACTGACAAATGAATATGTAAGTGAACTCCATGATATCTTGGGAACAGAGAAGGGAGAGGTGGAAAGGAAGAAAGGGGAGCTGAGACCAAGATATGAACAAGGGAACTAAAATAAACACCCTCTACTCAACAAACACACAAAGCCAGCTCTTTTGGGGGCATGACTAGAAAGACTTATTAATTTACTATATCCTCTGAAATTAACTCAATGACCCCTTGCCAAGACTTAAAAAGTTAAGATAACTTGGCACAAGATTTCTGTGTCCCATAGAAAGATTTGAAGAACTAAATGAAATCTAAAGTTAAAAAACATACTTCAAAAACATGAAAACTTCTCCTACCCATGCTGAGTGTAAACTATGGATTTGGGAGCCATCACGAATTTCATTTCTATAGATGTACCAATTCTTTTATATAGACAATTTTCACTTTTCTGGCAGGTTGTTAATTGAAACTTGTACATACTGGAACCCTCTCCTTTTTTTGCACAATCTATTACCACAGAAGAACTGTACAAAGCCAAGACTGCTTTTTCTCATACTTCACACTCTCTTCCACAATACAGCCATATTTGTTTGGTTATTGGTTTTTAATACACATAACTCTAATGGGCCAGGCATTGTCCTAAGCCACGGACAATTCATTTAATCTTCCTAACAACTCTATGAGGCAGCTACTATTACTATCCCCATTTTACAGATGAGAAAACTGAGGCACAAAGAGGTTAAGTATCTCACTAGAGGTCACACAACCATTAACTGTCAAAACATGAACCCAGGCAGTCTGATTCCATAGATGAAGGTCCAGAGACCATGTTATTAATTGCTGTTTATAATCATGATTTCAGCCACTATCACCTTCTACTCTTGTTCTCCCTTCCAATCCACTATCCAACTCAGCACCAAGAGTAAGTTACATGGCCCTGAGCATAGTGGTGTCATTAAGCGGTGTCATTTTGCTCCCTTATCAAAATTCCTCATCAGCTGCTTATGACCCTTAGAATAAACCCAAACTCCACACAGTGGCTTACAAACCTCTGAAGCTACTCCTCTTCTTCCATGTTCTTGCCACACTGCACTGCCACTTTCTCACCAGCTCTTTCTTTATCCAGGACCTTGCTTATTCTAAAATATCCTCTCCTGGAACACTTTCTTTCACTTTCTTCACTCTACTTTTCAGTCTTAAAGTAGGTGCCACATCCTCAGAAAGGCCTCCTCTGGCCACTCTATCTAAAATAATCCCACTCATCATTCTTAACTGCAGCCTCTTTTCTTCGTAACACAGAATGTATAATTATTTTGTTTACTTGCTCTTTTTATTTACCTCTACCAAAACTTGTTTACAGGTATATTTTCAAGTACCTACAAGAGTTGCAAATGATCAATAAATACTCATTATATTAAAAAGCCAGGTTATCCTGTGGCTTCCTGTTACTTCTGGTTATAACACTTTATTCCCCTTGGGATATAAGTATCTGACATGAGATGCATACCTATAATTTGAGTCTTCTTTATCAGCGATTATGTAAGCATTAAGAATATACTGGAAGCTGTAATCCCAGCACTTTGGGAGGCTGAGGCAGGAGGACTGCTTGAGCCCGGGAGTTTAAGACCATGCTGGGCAACATGGAGAGACCCTGCCTCTACAAAGTATAAAAAAATTACCCAGGCATGGTGGCCCACACCTGTGGTCTCAGCTACATGGGAGGTTGAGGTCAAGGCCGCAGTGGGCTAGATTGTGCCACTGCACTACAGCGTGGATGGCAGAGTGAGACCCTGTCCAAAGAAGGCAGGAAAGGAAGGATGGAATATATGTAAATACACACACACACACACACACACACACACATACTGTAACTCATTAACTAAAAGATGTTTATCATCATGTATTCTAAAAACTCATACTTGAGAAATGCAATCGGTCTAAAAGAAATGTCAATTATGTGTTGTTATTTTCAAATTACTCCTTATAATATCTGAAGAAGGCTACAAAGATACTACTTACATTAAATTCAAAATCAGTGTTGTCTTGCCAGCAAATTTCTCAAGCTCTTTTACTTTTTTTTTTTTTGAGACGGAGTCTCACTCTGTCCCCAGGCTGGAGCACAGTGGCGTGATCTTGGCTCACTGCAACCTCCACCTCCCAGGTTCAAGCGATTCTCCTGCCTCAGCCTCCCGAGTAGCTGGGACTACAGGCACGTGCCACCATGCCCTGCTAACTTTTGTGTTTTTAGTAGAGACGGGGTTTCACCATGTTGGCCAGGATGGTCTCAATCTCTTGACCTCGTGATCCACCAGCCTTGGCCTCCCAAAGTACTGGGATTATAGGCACCCTGTAATCCCAGCCATCGCACAAGCCACCGTGCCCAGCCAAGATCTTTTACTCTTAATGTTCAAATTAAGAACTTAACATTTGTCCTACTTAAAATTACGTAATTTTTCAGCTTTATATACATTTTTTCTTAATTGCTGGAAAAATGCCACTTTTAACAAATGGCCAATTTAATCCAATTTAAGTCAAGGTTTTTTTGTTTTTTTTTTTTTTTTGAGATGGAGTCTTGCTCTGTTGCCCAGGGGCTGGAGTGCAGTGGCACGATCTCGGCTCACTGCAACCTCTGCTTCCCAGGTTCAAGTAATTCTCTTGCCTCAGTCTCCCAAATAGCTGGGATTGCAGGCACCTGCCACCACGCCCAGCTAATTTTTGTATTTTTAGTAAAGTCTGGGTTTTGCCACGTTGGCCAGGCTGGTCTCAAACTCCTGACCTCAAGTGATCCACCTGCCTCGGCCTCCCAAAATGCTGGGATTACAGGCGTGAGCCACAGCATCCAGCCTAAGTCAAGGATTTCATATTTCAAATGAATTATATATTTACTCTGTGAGTAAAGCCAGCCTAAGTACATGCTTAATACGTACATCTTAATTTTATCTATAAATTCTCAATACTTTTTTCTACAAATTTTGCAAACGTGGATAGTTTACACTTCTATTTGCAAAATAAAGTGCCAGCATTTAATTAGAATAGTGCTGCCATAATTGAGACTCTTAAATTACTCAGTAATCAGTTGCTGGTATAAACAATTCAAAAACCAAAAGCAGTTGCAATATAACAGAACTATGAATTACAGGTGAAAGGCTGTAACAAGAAATATTGTTAGGAAGAATATATTCTATGGGAGCATGTTATTGCCATAATCACAACCATTATCTACAATACATACACTTGTGTGGCATATGCTTTTTGTCTGTTCACACTTAACTCATTTTAAAAAAACAAATAGCATTGCTAGAAGTAGTGAAAATAGAACAGAAATATAGTGCTCTTCACAAATCTTATTCTCTTTATATTTAATAATATGAAACAGACCAGGTGTGCTGGCTCATGCCTATAATCCCAGCACTTTGGGAGGTGGGCGGATTGCTTGAGCCCAGGAGTTTGAGATTTTCCTGGGCAACATGGCAAAACCCCATCTCTACAAAAAGTACAAAAATTGGCCAGATGTGGTGGTGTATGCCTGTAGTCCCAGGTACTAGGGAGGCTGAGGTGGGAGGATCACCTGAGCCCAGGAGGTCAAGGCTATAGTGGGCCATGATCGTGCCACTGCACTCCAGCCTTGGTGACAAAGGGAGACCCTGCCTCAAAACAAAACAATCAAAAAAAGAAAATAAAACCTTAAGCTTTACTCAAAAGAAAAGTATCATCACCACACTTCCAAAGAACTTTGTCCCAGGCCAGGTGCGGCGGCTTACGCCTGCAATCCCAGCACTTTGGGAGGCCAAGGTCAGTGGATCACTTGAAGCCAGGGGTTCAGGACCAACTTGGCCAACATGGTGAAACCGCATCTCTACTAAAAATACAAAAATCAGCTGGGTGTGGTAGCAGGCAGGCACCTGTAATCCCAGCTACTTGAGAGGCTGAGGCAGAATGGCTTGAACCTGGGAGGTGGAGGTTGCAGTGAGCCGAGATTGTGCACTGCACTCCAGCCCGGGTGACAGAGCGAGACTCAGTCTTAAATAAAATAAAAAAAAAAAACAAACAAAAAAAAACAGAACTTTGTCCCATGTGCCAACTCTGGACTACAGGTGATCCTGCATATCAAGAAGTTCTAGAAATCTCCTAATTACAACAAAAATCTATCTATCTATCTATCTATCTATCTATCTATCTATCTATCTATACATATAATCAACTGTATAATCTCTATTTTAAAAATATGCTTTACCACTAAGTGGAACCAAAACCAGGAGTCCTCAGAGAAATGGCTGATTCCAGGGCTGAAGCAGTCAAAGTTTCAGGATAAGCCTAAAACATCTTTGTACCAGAAGCTAAGGGTGCTCAAAAGAAAAAAGAGGAGGTCGGGCACCATGGCTCACTCCTAGCACTTTGGGAGGCCAAGGTGGGCAGACTGCCTGAGCTCAGCAGTTCGAGACCAGGCTGTTGCTACTAAAAATACAAAAAAAATTAGCTGGGCATGATGGGCCTATAGTCCCAGCTACTCAGGAGGTTAAGGCAGGAGAATAGCTTGAACCCACAAGGCAGAGGTTGCAGTAAGCAGAGATTGTGCCACTGCACTCCAACCTGGGCAACAGCGTGAGACTGCCTCAAAAAAAAAAAAAAAAAAAAAGGAAAAAAGAGAAGAAGAACTGAGGAATAGTCTATTTAAAAAAAAAAAACAAAAAACTGACTTGTAGTTTCCAAAATGCCTGTCGTGAAAGACAAAGAAAGGTTAAGAAACTCTTCATTAAAAGAGACTAGAGAATCATGACAATTAATTAAATGAAATCCTGGAATGGGACAACTGACAAAACTGGAATATGGAAGAGGTAAAACTTGTTTCAATGTCAAATTTTCGGAATATTTTTTAACTACACTGTGGCTATCTAAAAGAATCATCCTTATTCTCAGGAAATGCACACTGAAGCATTGAAGCAAAGGGGGCATGATGTATATAATCTACTTTCAAATGGATGAGGGAAGTAAGTGTGTGTGTGTATGTGTGTGCGTTTGCGTAAACAGAAAAAGATGGGGGTGGGGGAGGGCGAATGACAAGCAAAGATGGCAAAATCTTAAAAATGGATGAATGTGGATAAAAAGTATACATGTATTCTCTTTACTACTCATTGTTAATTTTATGTGTCGTTTATCTCAATAAAAAAATATATTTTTGGCTGGCATGGTGGCTCACGCTTGTAATCCTAGCACTTTGGAAGGCTGAGATAAGTGGATTGCTTGAGCCCAGGAGTTCGGAGTTCGAGAACAGCCTGAGCAACACAGCGAGACCCCATCTCTTTAAAAAAGAGAAAAGTGTATATATTTTTTTCTTTTTAATATGCCTCAATAAGTAACATACACTTGGAACAAAGTCAAACTTCATGAAAAGGATTGGTTGTAGTCAGGTGCAGTGGTTCACACATGCAATCCCAGCACTTTGGAAGGCCAAGGCAGGCAGATTGCTTGAGCTCAGGAGTTCAAGACCAGCCTGGGCAGCATGGCAAAACCACGTCTCTATAAAAAAATACAAAAACTAATTAGCCAGCATGGTGGCATATGCCTGTAGTTCCAGCTACACGGGAGTCTAGAGTGGGAGGACTACTTGATGCCGGGAGGTTGAGGCAGCAGTGAGCCATGATGGTGTCACTGTAATCCAGCCTGGGTGACAGAGCAAGAGCCCGTGTTTAAAAAAGAAAAGAAAAAGGTCAGGCACGGTGGCTCACACCTATAATCCCAGCACTTTGGGAGGCCGAGGTGGGCAGACCACCTGAGGTCAGGAGTTCGAGACCAGCCTGGCCAACATGGTGAAACCCCATCTCTACTGAAAACACAAAAATTAGCTGGGCATGGCAGTGCACACCTGTAGTCCCAGCCACTCGGGAGGCTGAGGCAGAAGAATCGCTTGAACCTGGGGAGGCAGAGGTTGCAGTGAGCCAAGATGTACCACTGCATTGCAGCCTGGGTGACAGAGTGAGACTCAATCTCAAAAAAAAAGAAAAAAGAAAAGGATTGGTTGGTATTTCCTTTTCATTCTGAGCCATCATTTTTTTTCGGGTTTTTTGTGTGTGTCTTGTTCTGTTGTCCAGGTGGAGTGCAGTGGCACAACCAGGGCTCATTGAAGCCTCCATCTGCGGAGCTCAAGCAATTCTCCTGCCTCAGCCTCCTGAGTAGCTGGGACTATAGGCGTGCATCATCACATAATCTGTGAGCCTCGCTAATTTTATATTTTTTGTAGAGACAGGGTCTTATTATGTGGCCCTGGCTAGTTTCAAACTTCTGGGCTCAACAAATCCTCCCTCCTCAGCCTCCAAAAGTGCTAGGATTACAGCGATGAGCCAGCACGTCCAGCCGAGCTGTCATTTTCTTGATTTTACAATTTGAAGAACATTTATTTCAGAGCTGAACTAGCCAATAAGTAGCTCTCAAGTGCAGTCATTCTTCCACTAACTCACTGAAGAGTTAAAATGCAGCATGAACATTATAAGCTTTTAGATATAGATGTAAGTTTTAATGTAAAGGAAATTTTACTAGAGTTAAAACACATACTTTTACCGAATGTTGATAATTAAAATCTTATTTTATAGTTAAGTTACAGTAAAAGGAACAATCACTATTGTGTAAGTTATGCAAATTTTATTCTTATTCTTTTGGGACACCCACTACCAACAATATCCCAAAGCCATGTTGGTATGTCAAGCAGTCTTAAGTACTTATAAGTAAAAAATCTTAAAAGTCATTTTACTCAATAATACACAAAAATACCCTCCAGGGGCTGAGGCAGGAGAATGGCATGAATCCGGGAGGCGGAGCTTGCAGTAAGCCGAGATCCGCCACTGCACTCTAGCCAGGGTGATACAGCGAGACTCCAGGACACTTTAAAAAGGTCTTATAATTGTTCTAGTTAATGACAGAAGTTAATAAACACTAGCAAAATGTTATATTTGGATATGATGGTAACAGACTATTTATGACTCTAAATCACTAGAATATCCATCCCACTTATTAGAAAAACTTTGTTGAATATTTACCATAAAATATTTATTTGAAAGTTGCTTTGCAAATATCAGCCATTACAAATCCAACTGCATATCTTGTGGTACACATTATCTATTCCAGTACAAGTTCCTCAAATCCAATTTTCAATAAATTTTAAAAGTTTAAGCTCCTAGGGTTCATTTACAGAAACAAAGTATAGAAATATTATTTCTATTTAACAAGCAAAACACTCCTATTCTGTACTTACAGCAACTTCAGACTCACATCGTTTTGCGTGTAAGTTTAACCATGAAATATTCTTTCCTATTGCTGGCAGTTGCTTAAGGCCACTTGCACAGCTTATTTGCTCTTTAAAGTTAATCGATTTTGTTTTATAAAAGTAAGGACGGTGAGGTGTTTTTCTTGCCAGAGGTATCATATGTTAGACTGGTTTCACAAGAAGATCAAATATCCAAGGTACTCAAAAATGAGTAGAGCCCAAGGGTTTTATTTGTATTTTAGATCCCAATTCTAGTTTTCACAGGTATGATAAGATAGCCACTAAAAAAATTTTTAGAGTAAAAATTTTACTGTTAAAGGGGTTTAAATTTTATAAAAATTTATTTCCCAACTTAATTCCTATTAATTGGAACCTAAAAATGGCCTTTGTTCATCTAAATTTTAAACTTTTTAACAACTTCAGAAAATGCCTCACAATGACAAAACTAAAGAAATAAAACAAAAGTAAAGAACAATAATTTACTGACAACACAATGGTAAATAATTTACAAACAACAAGCATCTTAAGACTGCTTGACATACCAACATGGCTTTGGAATATTGTTGGTAGTGGGTGTCCCAAAAGAATAAGAATAAAGTTTGCATAACTTACACAATAGTGGTTGTTCCTTTTACTGTAACTTAACACATATTAGCTTATTTAATTCTCTTAACAGACCTGGAAGGTAGACCTTATCCTCATTTTATACAGCAGAAGTAGAGGAAGTATCTTGACTCACGTCCCTCCTATACTTACCCTTCTCACTCTTCATTTAAAACTAATACTCCAAGAAATTTGATCAACTGTGGCACACTCACAACCAGTTATCTTTTTAAATAGGTGGTGCTCCATTTAAAACACTCTATTAAGGCAATTTTATGAAATGTATTATCTTGTTCCTCAGGACAACATCTAAAAAAAGTAGTAAAATCAGTTAGCCTTAAAAAAAGGCATAAAAGCCTTCTAAGAAAATGACAATATGAGACATCCTGCACTGGCACAATATGTGAAAATTACGTCTTTGCAGACATGGGCTTGATATTGTACAGTCTGAGTGTATCATCTATAGATTTTCTTCTGCTTGATTAAATTCATATGTATTGCCAAATATCAGATGCTAATCAAAAGTATATAACTGTAAAAAACCTTAACAGAATGATAAAATGAAAAATCCTATATCTCAACAGTGGTAAGAGTGATACCATCTCTTTGTGAACTCAAATACTTGATATTCTGTTTAAATTAAGTAGGCTATAGTTTTTTTCATTTTTCACCAGTAATTAAACTTAGATGTATTATCCAATCTCAAAAACTAGACTTGACTTTTCTGACATGAAGGAAAACTGTTTCTAGAACCTGTCTACTGAAATTTTGAAGACCTTTATAATGTATTTTCCCCTCAAGTTCTCAAAAAAGAAACATTTATATCTCAAATTATTTAATCTGCACTATTTGATTAGGGTATAATATGGACCTTCTTTCGTTTATGACAGAACTAGCTTCTAAGAAAGTACTCACTGATATATCATCTTGTGTCATTTTCTATTTTTCATGCAGTTTTCATATGCATATGCCTTACAGAACCGTAAGCTGCCTACTGGAACCCTAAGATCTGTCACATGTCTTATAGTACTCTACAGGGCTTGTGGTTACTATTTAATAAGCACTCAGTGAAGGACCCTTACAAGGTCAGCCAAGATTAGTAAGGATATCAATAATGTATTTTGAGTTACTGTATAACGTCTAGATGTTTACATCCTATGCCAGAAATATAGTACTTAGATGGTACATAAGCGATTAAAGAACATTATTCCAAATTATCCACACTGAACATAAGAAAAATTGGAAAAAGTTGTGCATAAATCCTATTCATATGACATAGCACACACTGAGGCATGTCGAACTGACCAAAACATAAAGATCACAGGATTATAGAACTTTTAAAAGTTGGTCACAGAGGACCACTGATTCTGAAGCACATAATACAGCTCAACAAATGTAAAAATATTTTTTACAATTGCTTACAGAGAACACCTTCATAACAACAGTGAAGATTTTCTTTTTCACCTATGGAAACATCTATTTGCTTCCCTCTCATTAAGGGTCACCGACCTCACAGTCATTATTCAGAATATTGCAAGAGGTCAGAAAAAATTCCTTCTATGATAGGTGCATATGTGGAAAACAGAACACACTGCAACTGAATTTGGTTCAGAATCTTAAGTACTGTAGCCTGGGTGCAGTGGCTCACGCCTGTAATCCCAGCACTTTGGGAGGCCAAGGCAGGCGAATCACTTGAAGTCAGGAGTTCAAGACCAGCCTAGCCAACATGGTGAAACTCTGTCTCTATTAAAAATACAAAAAATAGCCTGGCGTGGTGGCACACGCTTGTAATCCCAGCTACTTGGGAGGCTGAGGCAGGAGAATCACTTGAACCTGGGAGGTGGAGGTTGCAGTGAGCCGAGATCATGCCACTGCACTCCAGCCTGGGCGGCAGAGTAAGCCTCCATCTCAAAATAATAATAATAAAATAAAATAAAATAAAAATTAAGTACTATAAATTTTTCCCAAGTAATTTTTTAATTTGTGTGAGGTATATACTACTAATTCACCTTTCTGGTAGCGAAATATGGACACACCTAATTTTACTGTGCTTTGCTTTACTGTGCTTCACACCTATTTAAGGTTTATGGCAACCTTGCATTAAGCATTTTAGTATTTTTTTTTTTTTTTTGAGACGGAGTCTTGCTCTGTCGCCCAGGCTGGAGTGCAGTGGCGCGATCTTGGCTCACTGCAAGCTCCGCCTCCCGGGTTCACGCCATTCTCCTGCCTCAGCCTCCCAAGTAGCTGGGACCACAGGTGCCTGCCACCACGCCCGGCTAATTTTTTTTTGTATTTTTAGTAGAGACGGGGTTTCACCGTGTTAGCCAGGATGGTCTCGATCTCCTGACCTCGTGATCCGCCTGCCTCCACCTCCCAAAGTGCTGGGATTACAGGCGTAAGCCACCATGCCCGGCCGCATTTTAGTAATTCTTACAATATTTCCAACTTTTTCATTATTCTTTCTGTTATAGCAGTCTGTGATCAGTGATCTTTGATGTTACTATTGTAATTGTTTGGGGATAGCATGAACCACGCTGCTAATTGATAGTAAGTTGAATGTGTCCTGACTGCTCCACTGACTGCCCATTCCTGCCGCTCTCCCTCTCCTCTGGCATCTCTATTCCCTTAGACACAATATTGACATTAGGTCAATTAATAACCCTACAATGACCTCTAAGTGTTCAAGTGAAAGGAAGAGCTGCACATCTCCTACTTTCAATCAAAAGCTAGAAATGATTAAGCTTAGGAAGGTATGTTGAAAGCTGAGACAGGCTAAAAGCTATGCCTCTTGTGCCAAAAAGTTAGGTTGTGAATGCAAAGGAAATGTTCTTGAAGGAAATTTAAAGTGCTAGTCTAGTGAACACAACAATGATAAGTGAAACAGAGCTTCACTGCTGATATGGAGAAAGTTTGAGTGGTTTGAATAGAATATCAAACTAGCCACAACATTCCCTTAAGCCAAAGCCTAATCCAGAGCAAGGCCCTAACTCTATACAGTTCTATGAAGGCTGAGAGAGGTGAGGAAGCTGCAAAAGAGAAGCTGAAGCTAGCAGAAGTTTATGAGGTTTAAGAAAAGAAGCCGCCTCCATAAGAGAAAAATTTAAGGTGAAACAGTAAGTGCTGATGTAGAAGCTATGGCAAATTATCCAGAAGGTCTAGCTAAGATCATCTAATGAAAGTGGTTACACTAAACAGATTTTCAATGGAGATGAAACGGCCTTCCAGTGGAAGATGCCATCTAGGACTTTCATAGCTAGAGAGGTCAGTGCCTGGCTTCAAAGCCTCAAAGGACAGGCTGAATCTCTTCTCATGGGCTAACGCAGCTGTGAGCCAGTGCTCACTGCACATTATGAAAATCCTGGGGCCCTTAAGAATTATGCTAAATCTACTCTGCTTGTGCTATAGAAATAGAACAACAAAGCCTAAATGATGGCGCATCTGTTTACAGCATAGTTTACTGATTATTTTAAGCCCACTGTTGAGATCTACTGCTCAGAAGAAAAGATTCTTTTCAAAATATTATTTCACATGGACAAGGAGTCACCAAGGAGCTCTGATGGAGACGTACAAAGAGATGAGTGTTTTCATGTCTGCTAACACAATGTTCGTTTTGTAGCCCATGGATCAAGAAGTCATTTAGACTTTCAAGTCTTATTATTTAAGAAAATACATTCCATAAGGCTGTAACTGCCTAGCTAGTGATTCCTCTGATGGATCTGGGAAAAGTAAATTGAAAACCTTCTGGAAAGAATTCACCATACTAGTTTTGCCATTAAGAATATTAGTGGCTGGGCACAGCTCACACCTGTAATCCTAGCACTTTGGGAGGCCAAGGCAGGAGGACTGCTTAAACTCAGGAGTTCAAGGCTAGCCTCAGCAACATAGCGAAACCTCATCTCTACAGAAAACTTAAAAATTAAAAATTAGCCAGGCGTGGTGGTGGGCGCCTGTAGTCCCAGCTACTTGGGAGGCTGAGGCAGGAGAATGGCGTGAACCCAGGAGGCAGAGCTTGCAGTGAGCCGAGATCGTGCCACTACACTCCAGCCTGGGCGACAGAGCAAGACTCCGTCTCAAAAAAAAAAAAAATTGTGATTCATGGTAAAAATATCAACATTTACAGGAGTCTGGAAGTTGATTCCAAACCTCATGGATCACTTTGAGGGGTTCAAGACTTCAGTGACGGACGTCACTGCAGATGTGGTGAGAACAGCAAGAAAACTAGAATTAGGAGCGGAGCCTGAAGATGTGACTGAATTGCTGTAATCTCATGATAAAGCTTGAATGATGAGTTGCTTCTTCTAGATGAGCAAAATAAGTGGTTTCTTGAGATGGACTCTACTGCCAGTGAAGAACATGGTTAAAATGACAACAAAGATTTTTCTTGTTTTTCTTGAGACGATGTCTCCCTCCATTGCCCAGGCCGGAGTACAGTGGCACCATCACTGTTCACTGCAGCCTTGACCTCCTGAGCTCAAGTAATCCTCCTACCTCAGCCTCTTGAGTAGCTGAGACTACTTGCCACCACACCTGACTAATTTTTGTATTTTTAGCAGAGATGAGGTTTCACCATATTGCTCAGGTTGGTCTTCAACTCCTGGGCTCAAGTGATCCACGTGCCTTGAACTCCCAAAGTACTGGGATACAGGTGTGAGCCACTGCACCTGGCCAAAAAAAATTTTTTTTTGAGATGGAGTCTCGCTCTGTCGCCCAGGCTGGAGTGGCACTATCTTGGCTCACTGAAACCTCCACTTTCCAGATTCAAGCAATTCTGCCTCAGCCTCCCAAGTAGCTGGGACTACAGGGGCCCGCCACTACCCCTGGCTAATTTTTGTATCTTTAGTAGAGATGGGGTTTCACCACATTGGCCAGACTGGTCTTGAACTCCTAGGCTCAAGCAATCCACCCGCCTCTCCCTCACAAAGCTCTGGGATTACAGGCGTGAGCCACTGCACCCGACCTAAGAATTATTATTTTTTTTTTTATTGAGACGCAGTCTCGCTCTGTTGCCCAGGCTGGAGTGGGCAACTTAGCTGATAAAGCAGTAGCAGAGTTTTAGAGGACTGAATCCAATTTTTTTTTTTTTGAGGTGGAGTCTCACTCTGTCCCCCAGGCTGGAGTACAGTGGCGCTATTTCCGCTCACTGCAACCTCTGCCTCCCGGGTTCAAGTGATTCTCGTGCCTCAACCTCCCAAGTAGCTGGGACTACAGGGGTGCGCCAGAATGCCGGCTAATTGTGTTTTTGAGATGCAGTCTCGTTCTGTTGTCCAGGCTGGAGTGCAGTGATGCAATCTTGGCTCACCGCAACCTCTGCCTCTGGGGTTCAAGTGATTCTCCTGCCTCACACTCCTGAGTAGCAGGGATCACAGGCGCCCGCCACCACGCCCAGCTAATTTTTGTATTTTTAGTAGAGACGGGGTTTCACCACGTTGGCCAGGTTGGTCTCGAACTCCTAACTTCAAGTGATCTACCCACCTCAGCCTCCCAAAGTGCTGGGATTACAGGTGTAAGCTATTGTGCCTGGCCGAATTTTTGTATTTTTAGTAGAGACAGGATTTTGCCATGCTGGCCAGGTTGGTCTTGAACTCCTGACCTCAAGTGATTTGCCCACTTTGGCCTCCCAAAGTGCTGGGTTTACAAGCATGAGCCACCACGCCCAGCCTGACTCCAATTATAAAAGAAGTTCTACTTTAGGTAAAATGCTATCGAGCAGCATTGCATGCTACAGAGAAATCATCTGTGAAAGGAAGAATCTATGATGCAGAAAACTTCATTGTTATTTTAAGAAATTGCCACAGCCACCCCAAACTTCAGCAATCCCACAACCCTGATAAGTCAGCAGCCATCAACATGGAGGCAAGATTTTCCACCAGCAGAATGATAAATACCTGCTGAAAGCTCAGATGGCTGTACTTTTTAGCAATAAGATATTTTTAAATTAAGGTATGTACTTTTTTAAACATAATACCATTGTGCATTTAATAGACTACCACATAGTGGAAACATAACTTTTATATGAACTGGGAAACTAAAAATTTGTATGACTTGCTTTATTCCAATATTCACTTTATTGCAGTGGTTTGGAACTAAACCTGTAATATCTCTGAGGTATGCCTGTATAACAATTTTTTTGTTTACATGATGTCTTGTAAAAGATTAGCATAAACTGCTAAATACATATTCTGAAAGTATATCATCTAGATTTAAATCTAGACTATCTTCTAGATGTGCTATCTGTGGCACACTCTTGGCATTCTGTGCCCAATTTCCTCATAAGAAAATTGAACATAACAATGTTGTCACCTTTGTTCTTGGCACATGGCAAATGCTCAATAACTATTAGCTTTTATTATTAGAAATATCTGGATTTAAAGGATATCCTCTGTAATAAATATCAACTTACCAAATTTAATGTATTCATTCAAAAATATTTGAGCGCCTACTATGTGTCATAATTGTTCTAAGAGTTAGTAATACAGCAGTAAACAAAACAAAGTTCCTGCCCTCAAGGAACTTGCATATCAGAGGCAGGAGATGAATACATGTAACAGAGGAAGGCAAGCACAGAAAAAAATAGTGACGAGTGTGAGTGCATACTATGTAATACAGGAGGTCCACTGAACAGAACAGAGAAAGTGAGGGACAGTGGTGGGAGAAGAGATCACAGGCGGGGCAACAAAGAGCCAGATCTGTACAGGCAATTAAGCAATGAGATGAGAAGCCACTGGAGAATTCTGAACCCATTTGACTTAGTATTTTTAAAGAATCCCTCTCGCTGCTGAGTGGACAGCAGATGACAGGGCTAAACATTTTACATGCTTAGTGAGAAACAGGCCATCCTTCAAAGCCCCATTCAGTACCGAACTTATAAGCCAAATACATCAAACTAAGGATATTACTGGCTGGGCACAGTGGCTCACGCCTATAATCCTAGCACTTTGGGAGGCTTGAGGCGGGCGGATTGCCTGAGCTCAAGAGTTTGAGCCCAGCCTGGGGAGCATGATGAAACCCTATCTCTACAAAAAATTAGCCGGGCATGGTGGTAAGCACCTGTAGTCCCTCTTACTTGGGGGACTAAGGTGGGAGGATGGATTGAGCCCAGGAGGTCAAGGCTGCAGTGAGTCAAGATCGTGCATGCCACTGCGCTCCAGCCTGGGTACAAGTGAGACCCTGTCTCAAAAAAAAAAAAAAAAAAAAAAAAAAATTATTTAACCATGGGGGTTTAACTACAAATTAAGACATGTAGTTTCAACCGTATAACCTAAGTCACTTTAAAAAGTGATAAATGAAAAATTAGTATGAGAAAAATTAATAGAAAAAGGCTCAGTATGCCTATTAGCATTGTTCTTTTTTTTAATATTAAAAAAAATTTTTTTAGAGACAAAGTTTCACTCTGTTGCCCAGGCTAGAGTGCAGTGGCACAATCACAGCTCACTGCAGCTTTCAACTCCTGGGTTCAAGTGATCCTCCCATTTCAGCCTCCCATGTAGCTGGGACTATAGGCATGCATCACCATGTCCGGCTAATTTTTTAATTTTTTTGTAGAGACAAGGTCTGTGTTGCCCAGGCTAGTCTTGGACTACTGGGCTCAAGAGATCTTCCCTTCTCGGCCTCCCAAAGTGTTGGGATTACAGTTGTGAGCCACGGCACCTGGCCTTGCACTGTTCTTTAATGATTTACTAAAAATGCATGAAAACAAATGGCAAACAAACAAACAAACAAAAAACCCGAAAATTGAATTTTCAATGCATGCCTTTTTTCTACTATAAAAATATAAGCTATTTGAATGAGAATTCTTGAATGAAACATTTCATTCAATAGTTGTTGAAAAAGCACGCATGTACGTTTACCACATAATGATGAGTGTGTGCAAAATTATAAAAGATTATTTATATTAAAGTTATCTAGAACTTAAATACTGTCCTAAGAATTGAGAAGCTAAATAAAATTCATGTCAAAACAAATATTCTAGGCCAGGCACAGTGGCTCACACCTGCAATTCCAGCATTTTGGGAGGCCACGGTGGGTAGATTGCTTGAGCTCAGGAGTTCGAGACCAGCCTGGGAAATGCGGCAAAACTCCATTTCTACCAAAATACAAAAATTAGCTGGGTGTTGTGACATGTGTCTGTCGTCCCAGCTACTTGGGAGGATCGCTTAAGCTACTTGGGAGGATCGCTTAAACCTAGGAGGCTGAAGCAGAGATGGCACCATTACACTCCAGCCTGAGTGACAGAGCAAGACCCCGTCTCAAAAAAAAAAAAAAAAAAGAAATGAAATATTCTAAAATTGGCTAACTAGACTCTTCTTAAATGAAGTACAAACCATTCATGTGCACTGTTGCACATTAACAAAATCACTCACATTTAATAATTCGTTAGCTAAATCTATCCACAAGTAATAAGTAGCTATAAATTGGCTCAAACATAGGAATATATTACGTTCCTTTACCTGTATTTAATTTTCAGGCAAAAGAGCCCTGGTAAGCCAAATAATTTCTTGCCAATTTGAGGGGTTGAATAACCAGAAAGCCCTTTCTCCAATGTGCTTTCCTTGTATATACTGTTTGTCCATTGTCAAACACCATGAATTTGGTATCACATATTTTAGAGGATTCTTTTTCTTGATATTGTTCAGTCTCTTAAGAATAAATTGTCTGCTTCAATTTGCATTTATGAAATAAATCTTTTTATGTTTTAGTAATGTTTTACATTAGCAGTTACTTTAAAATCTTGAGAATACACAAAACAAGCTGAACAAAATATTAAGAATTGGCAGATGGAATTCGCGATATGTCTTTCCAAAGACTTTATTCCTCAACATGTCTTTTGAAAGGGTATTTCTGCAATATGCTTTGCAATATTAAAGTAGAAGCCATTTATGATTTAGCAAAAATAATACAAGGCATAAACAACAGAGGTATTTAAATTAGCTGTCCTATATGTAGGCTAAACTGAGTCTTAAGAGAGAGTACTCACTGAAAATAATGATTTCATGGATGAAGATATAGTTCCTACATACTTACAAATAACCTAGTCTGACAATGATATCTCTATTTTCACAAACACTGTATTCCTTTGATTTTTCTAGTGTTATACTGTTTTGTGTGTAACAGTAATAACAGTAATAGATGTTTCAAGAGTTTACTGTATGTCAAGTACTATACTGTTTCACATTTAATCCTCATAATCCTATAAAATATCATCTCTATTTTACAGAGAAATAAAGATACCATTCTAACACATAAGATCACCGTTTCTAGTAGCAGACCTAAGATTTCAATCCAGTTCTCACCTCTGAACCACTAGCTATTCCCACATTTATTAAACACCATCTGGAGGCACCTAAGTATAGTGGCAAAGTATATTTGGCTAGCAAATTATTATAAAAATACATAGATGGACAAACACACATAATTAAGCTAAACAAGGAAAGCTCACATGAAGCGTTAACCTGAAAAACACAGAAGAGTAAACAGTAAAATATGTTGTCACCAAAGGTAGCTGAGACTAAAAAGTTAACTGTATATAAGAACCTTCAAAAGTACTAAAAATGTACTTTGAATCTGTGAAGTGATCTTCATTAAAACAAACATTGGAAACAAGTAGGAAAATAATATAAGCATACAAAAGGCCAGAGGCAATGGCTCATGCCTGTAATCCCAGCCCTTTGGGAGGCTAAGGCAGGCAGATCACATGAAGTCAGGAGTTCGAGACCAGCCTGGCCAAAGTGATGAAACCCCGTCTCTACAAAAATTAGCTGGGCATGGTGGCACATGCCTGTAATCCCAGCTACTTGGGTGGCTAAGGCAGGAGACTCGCTGGAACCTGGGAGGCAGAGGCCAGTCGCAGTGAGTTGAGATCACACCATGGCACTCCAGCCTGGGAGACAGAGCAAGACTCCATCTCAAGAAAGAAAGAAAAAAAAAAAAGTCCAGAAAAAGACTCAACTGTAGAGCCATATTGTGAAACCTTGGATTACTAGCAAATGGCACTCAAAATAAAAAAGGCTAAGTACTTTCAATGGACATATCAGTAAACAGATGAAAAACTGCTTTGTAGGCCGGGCACGGAGGCTCACGCCTGTAATCCCAGCACTTTGGGAGTCTGAGGCAGGTGGATCACCTGAGGTCAAGAGTTCAAGACCAGCCTGGCCAACATGACGAAATCTCGTCTCTACTAAAATTACAAAAATTAGCCGGGCATGGTGGCACGTGCCTGTAATCCCAGCTACTCAGGAGGCTGAAGCAAGAGAATTGCTTGAACCCAGGAGGCAGAGGTTGCAGTGAGCCAATATCGCACCATTGCACTCCAGCCTGGGCAACGAGAGCGAGACACCATCTCAAAAAAAAAAAAAAAAAAAAAAAAAGAAAAACTGCTTGTAAACTAATACTAAAGTGTGCAAGAAAACATAAGAGGCAGTTAAGTGCTTTTTAAAAGCACCCTGACAGTAGTACTAAATAGATTAAACTACAGAAAATTACCCCTAAGAAATGCTAGCAGAGATAAACCAAACTCATCTTTCTTTGGAATTAAATTCCTAATATCTACTTGTGTCCAGTTACTAGAAAAGGAGGAGAATAATTAATTCATTGTTTCAGCAATAACAATTACTTATAATCGGTTCAAAGAAAAGTTGACATGGGAAGACTAGAAAGCTGACAACTATCTTACTATCTCTGCTTTCAAATTCCAAGAAGCAAACTGAACAGAGATTTACTGGTAAGATAAAGAAAATAAAGGGGATGATATCTGAAGACTGAAAGAAAAGAAAAGAAAAATAATCCATTCAAGTTGTAGCATATTTGTAGTGGCAAGGTTCTTGAAGGCAGGTATTGTATGTTTCGAGTTCAGAAAATAGAGTACTAGACCAGGCGCAATGGCTCCCGCCTGTAATCCCTGCGCTTCAGGATGCTGAGGCAGGCAGACTGCCTGAGCCCAGGAGTTCAAGACTAGCCTGGGCAACATAGCAAGAACCCTTCTCCACAAAAAAATTTTTTAAAATTAGCCACGCATGGAGGCGCAGCTGTGGTCCCAGCTGCAGTGTGCATGTTTGCATCACTGTGCTCCAGCCTGGACAACTGAGTGTGACCCTGTCTCAAAAATAAAAAATAAAAAGAAACCAGACTACTAATCCAATAAATAACAAATGTATTGCCTGTTAAAATAAATGAATATACTATTCTTTATAAAAGCAAAAGTTTCTCCCTCTGGAGTCAGGAGACTAGAACAGCAGTTTCTACAGCTCTATTACATTATCTAAACATTTAGGAACTAAAACCAAGCAAATATACATCAATAAAAATCAACTTATGAGGGAAAATGCAAGCTATGCTTAGGAGAATAACTTAAAATGGACTACCCATAGCTGTTGCCTTAGGACCTTAGCCAGAGCTGTTTGAATCACTATCAAAAAAAGGGCCACTGAGGCTGGGCAAGGTGGCTCATGCCTGTAATCCCAGCACTTTGGGAGGCCGAGGTGGGTGGATCACCTGAGGTCACAAGTTTGAGACCAGCCTGGCCAACACAGCAAAACCTCAGCTGTATGAAAAATACAAAAATTAGCCAGGCATGGAGGTAGACGCCTGTAATCCCAGCTACTCGGGAGGCTGAGGCAGGAGAATCATTTGAACCCGGGAGGTAGAGATTGCAGTGGGCTGAAATCACGCCATTGCACTTCAGCCTGGGGGATAAAGTGAACTGTCTCCGAAAAAAAAAAAAGGCGGGGGGGGGGGCGGGTCACTGATGAAAGAGATTTACCACTAATATTACTCCTTGCAAGGAAAGAGAAGGATTCGCTGAGCTTGAACAAATAAGTAGCAGTTTTGATCTACCACTACCATGTCACCTTCATTACATTCCTCAAATCTAGAGAGAAAATAGAACTGCAGCAACTTTCAATTTTACCATGTATAGGATGACAAAATATAAACATGTCCAATTTTATTACAGCCACAAGTAAAGATAGGTCATAGGATGACAATGATTAAGCTAGTGCTCCTAGTTGGTGGGAATGGTGCCACTTATCCTTTCCTGCCACATCGCCTTTTATGCAACTTGACGAGTGGGAAGATACTGGCATTCCAAGCTCTGGCAGGCCTATGGCTTTATCTGCTTCCCTCAGTTCCACAATGTTCTGCAAAACAAATCCCTCTACTGCCACCAGGAGGTGCAGCGATTGTGGAAAATATACCCCCACTTCCAGAAAAAGTCTTCAAGGTCTCAAAAGCCAGTGTTTGAAATACATCATTATCACTTTGAGTAGCTGAGATGGGTGGATCACCTGAGGTCAGGAGTTCAAGACCAGCCTGGCCAACATGGCGAAACCCCGTGTCTACTAAAAATACACAGATTAGCTGGGTGTGGTGGCAGGCACCTGTAATTCCAGCTACTAGGGAGGCTGAGGCAGGAGACTCGCTTGAACCCCAGAAGTGTAAGCTGCAGTGAGCTGAGATCTCGCCACTGCACTTCAGCCCCGGGAACAAGAGCGAAACCCCATCTCAAAAAAAAAAAAGAAATACATCATTACACTTAAGAGCCGCTACCATACTGAATCTAAGAGTGGCTCCAGGAAACACATTTTTCAGAGTACATTTCTTTTTCTGAAGTAAAACCTCACTGGGTATCAATATACACTAAAAGTCCTAGTCTTCCTGAGTCATGGTCTTATTTATTGCATAAAATATTTAAGTATAACATTTATTGATTACCACTTTTTAAGAAAATTTCCCTTTTCAGCCTAAATTGTCTACAGAGGATAATGGCTCCAAAATTTGTCTGCTATTGTAAAAACTAGTTCCAACTATTTTTCCTTGATGGAAATGCATTTCTCCAATAGCCATCAAAGGTGGAAAAAGTCTTACTCTAGCCAGGTCCCCTCATTTTACAGATAAGGAAGGCAAAGTCTGGAGATTCATGTGATTCTGCCTCAAATCATACATACAGCTAATTAAAAACGTAATGCCAGAATATGAACCAGATAGTTAAACCCCTAACCTTTCTCTCATAGAAGCCCTCATTCTATTGATCCATCTATCTGAATAGCCCTTAATCACGTCACTGCTTCTTCATTTGCAAGTTCCTTCATCATTTTATACCTCTGATAATCAGACCAACCATTCTATGGATGCACGTCTATTATGGCATTATAAGGTGCACAGTCTAACAGATCCACGGTTCTGTAAGATGCTTACATTTGGGGGGAAGAATTTCTTCTCTTCTTGCCAGTGAAAAGATGAAAATTAAAATCCCGAGTACTCATCAGTAAATCAACCTCATGTTCTAATCTTAATATGTGTCAGACACCCACAAAAGCCTTAAAAAGTCTTTGGTGACAACATTCTTCTATGTTCTTGAATAATTTGGTTCAAGTCTACATCCTAAATTGGGTAGTAAAAAGATAGATAATATTTTTCAACAATAGCTTTTCCTTTAGATAACTACTTACATGGCAAATTTAACCTAAAGCACGTGAAGATTAGTAACAAGTGTGATAAGCAAATATGAAAGGTACAACAATAGTAGGAATATTGCCTCGATTTCTGTCTTACGAACAATGTACAGCCTCTTCAAATTTTTGAGTACCACAAATTTGGTCCTCTAAGAGAACAAGGTGTTTCTTAATGGTTTTATTCTTCTGACCTCTGACTGAGAAATAAGGAGGCAGTGCCAGGCACGGTGATGCATGCCTGTAGTCCTGGCCACTTGGGAGGCTGAGGTGGGAGGATCACTTGAGCCCAGGAGTTGGAGGGTGCAGTGAGTTATGAACACACAAAAGAATGAGACCCCATCAAAAAAAAAAAAAAAAAAGGTAGCTTTTAGTCTTCTTTTGGCCTTTAAAAAACTATTTAAGTTGATATCCTAATCTTTACACAATATACTAAAAAAATGCCAATGAACCTAGATCTGGAAAAGATCTAGTTTATTTCATCTTCGGTAAGCAAAAGCAAAGAATATATAAATAGCTAAATAGTCCGAAATAAATAGCTGAAGCCTTAATAGCCAAATGAGTTGTTATAAAGGAAAATTATTAAAGCAAATCACTTTTCAAACTTGAAGCTTCTTTCTTAAAGAGGTTTATTTCACTCTAAATGCAAAACATTTGCTAGTTTCAAAAGTACACTAATATAAACATATTCTGTTAAGGGCTTTATATGCAATACAATCCCTTAACCCTTAAGCCTCACAACAACATTCTAAGGTAGGTATCGTTGCATTTTCATTTTGTACCAGAGAAAACTAGGGCACTGTGAGGATAAGTAACTTCCCCAAGGTTATAAAGCTTGAACCCAGCTTTGCAGGTTCTGAAACCTGTGCTCCTTAGGCACTCTATTGCCTTCTTGGTAGCACAGAAAATATAAAAATATGGTCAAGCTCTAAGTTCTATCTGATGTATCAGACAAGGCACTGGAAATTACTTTGTTTCCTGGTGTCAAGAAAACAGTTTGCTATCTATACTTCCTGATTTTAGGTTAGGTGGGTGGCACAAATCAACTGTTTTTCTCACCACACTTATTGCATAATCATTAAAGCCCCAAAGGAAGAGGACTGCTTAAATTCTTAAACTTTATTTCCTGCTGGCCTAGAAGACCTTACTTAACCACTGTTATACCTGATATACTCATTTTAAAAGTTAAGGTTTTCCTTGTGCAAGTAAGAGACTAAAGTTATTTCAGTCTTAAAGGAAATCAACTACGTACTGGTCGTTTTACCTGCTTTTAAAAGCAGATCAACAGGATATAAACCTGGGTTGTTTTTTTCCTTAAGAGGACATTTCTTAATGACCTCTTAATTTAATCGAATGGAACAAGTAGCACACCAAAAATGATGTGTAGTGGAAAAAGAAACAGAAGAAAAAATCGCAAGAAGTCATATAGTGATCTACTTTCACTAGTGTTAGAAAAGCAAAGGATGAGTGTCTTCTTGAGTAACTTCAGGCTGACCACAATAGCCACTTGTTACACTACTACCACCCACTCCAACACTTCAGGTTCATTAGGAATTAAGAGGAGGCAAGGAAGATAAAAGACACACCCCAACCAGGTCTAAGGTCTCTCCGTACTACACCTTGAGGGACACAGGGAACCAGTGCATTGTGCCCCCCACCCCCAAACCTTCCCTGCTCCCCAGGAGGCAAAGCCCACGGCCTGGGGCCAAGACAGTCCTCCGGCCAGGGCAGTGACCCAGCGCCAAACAACCCGCCCCTTATGACCAAAGCGTCGGCACCCAGGGGTTGGAATAGGGGAAGGGACGGGAAGGCCTGGAAAGGAGAGAAGGGTGGCCAAGAGGATGTTTTTTTTTAAAACGAGGGAGGGTCCCTCCCCAGCCTCGCCAGCGGGGATGAGGCCCGGGGCCGGGAAGGAGCGGGCCGCCGCCATGATGGGGCTGGCAGAGCCAGGGGGCGTGACGTGGGCAACCCCTAGCCCAAGGCCAGCTCCTTCTCCCCCTCCCCCCTCCCCCACGTGGGCCTCGGCCACAACTGCCCCCCGATACTCACGCTTTGTCCACCAGCTCGCGCACCTTCCACATGTTCAACATCGTGCCCCGCGCGGGACGGTCCGCCGCCTCCCTCTCCTGCTCCCCACGGACCCCGGAACACTTCCGTACCGGGGCAGTTCCAGGCCGGGGTCACCGCCGCCCGCCGCCTCGAACTCCCCCAGTCAGCTCCTTCCTTTGCCACAGCAGCGGCGCCGCCGGTGACACGTCGAGACGCGGCAGCACAGGCGCTGCGTGGAGCGGAAGTGTCCGACTTTCCGCCGCTGCGCGCGGGGCACGCCGGGACTTGTAGTTTTCCCTGAGTGCCGAGCTCGGCCGGTTGAGTTGGGAGAGCTGAGAGGTTGAGTTGGGAGAGCTGAGAGGAGTTGGGATGGTTTCTCTTAAGCTTTCCCAGTCCCCGGCCCCAGACCTACCGAGCCAGAAATTTTGGAGGTGGGGCCCAGCGATCTGTGCTTTTACAAATCCTCTAGGTGATTCTGATCACGCTCAAGTTTCAGAACCACTGGTGCAGGGTCTAGTCACACTCAAACACTTTTCAAATGTAAGGCAGTATTACTATGTTATTAGTAATGATTATACAGAAGTATGATTGGCATACGCATTCCTCATCGACAGACACATCGCTGTATTTATTTCCCAATGCCCAAGTACACTTAGATCTCTAGGCCTTAGTTTCCACCCCTGTAAAATTGAAGAACTTGTATTCTAAATCCTTTTCCGCTCTAATTCTATGATACAATGTTTTATATTTAGACAACTACCTGAAATCCTTGTTAAATGCTTTACTATAAACCTCAGAAACTCAGTTCACACTCCACGGGAAACTAAAAAGCCAACATTATATATACACGCACACATACACATACATATGACAGGTTTGTGTTTTTTAAGGATAAATATGCACATTGCTTCCATTGCTTTGTTGCAATGGTTGTCATCACTTCCTTCTCTACTTACTCATTTTTATCAATGCTCATGTTAAAGCTACAAGCAACCTTAAGTTTCATTTGATCCATCTGCTGAAATTTTACAGTTCTTTTCATTCTACAAATATTTATTGAGCATCTTGTATGTTCCAGAAGTGGGGAATATAGTTAAAGACCCAGCTCTCTTGGAATTCAAACGTAATTGGAAGAAACATATAATAATCAAGGAAACATTTAAGATAATTGCATATAGTGTAATTGCTTAGCGGGTTCTTTCTGCCCACTTTACAGATAAAGTCAATTCACTGCGACCAAGTCATTGCAGTGAAGAGTTTGACATGAGGCTGGCCATGCCACTTGAGAGACAGAGTTATTACTCAAATCAATCTTCCTGAACATTTGGAAGCTAGAGTTTTTCAAAGATAGTTTGGTGAGCAGAGGGTTAGGGCATGGGTGCTGCTGATTGGTTAGGGATGCAATCAGAGGAGTATGGAAAATGGTTCTCCTTTGCTGAATCGGCTTCTTGATGGAGGGCCAGCAGAGGAGTGGCTGGTCTGGGTGGGGTCATCCGTTTGTCAGAAATGCAAAAGCCTGAAAAGACGTCTTAAAAGGCCAATCTTAGGTTCTACAATAGTTCATTACAGGCCAGGCACAGTGGCTCACGCCTGTTATCCCAGCATTTTGGGAGGCTGGGAGGCCAAGGCAGGAGGATCACTTGAGCCCAGGAGTTTGAGACCAGCCTGGGCAGCAAAGTGAGATCCCCCTGCCAGCCCAGTCTTTAAAAAAAAAAAAAAAAAAAAAAAAAAAGCCAGGCGTTGGGGCACACTCTTGTGAGGCCAGCTACTTAGGAGGTTGAAATGGAAGGATCCCTCGAAAGGATCAAATAAAGACTCCAATTCACAAAGAAGTGAAATTGATGGTTGCTAGTCATGAAGCTAGGTAACAATAATCCCAAATAAACAACCTCGGACCCTGGTCCCTCAAGTGAAACCACCTCTTTTCTATTTTCTTTTTCTTTTTCTTTTTTTTTTTTTTTGAGCTGGAGGTCTCACTCTGTTGCCCCAGCTGATCTGAAACTCCTGGGCTCAAGCAATCCTCCCACCTCAGTCTCTCAAGTAGCTGAGACTACAGGAAACCCTCTCCAAGTTGCATTCACTTAATTACCGAAAGCAGCTTTGAAAAAAGTTTCAGTAAGGCTTTCGGATTGAGGCCCCAAGAGAAAGAAGCAAGGTTGAAGGAATTGACAGGCAGAAAATTACAACAAGCAGAAATCCAAAGTTATCTCAGAGCTTTGTAATGGTAGGAGTACTTGGGCTGATATGAAGTGAGTTGGAGAGGTGGGTGGGGAGAGGCAGGTAAAGATGAGCAGAGATGGGTAGAGGAATAGGGCTTTCAAATAAGAAGTTTGTGTTTTTTTGTTGAAAAGACTATCCAGCTCAAGATCCCAGAGATGGAATGTGGCCAGAGGAGATAAGAAAGAGAAACTACTTTGCATAAATAAGAGCTCAGCAAGTTAACTTTCAAACAAGTGAGTCCAGAGTACACCTGCAGAACGGGCCTGGCCCAGAAACAACCACCTTCCCTCCCCTGGGCCTGTTTGGGTGTTCACAGCAGGGCACTGTCAGCCTCTTTGCTCATTCCAAAACCAAGTTTGCATACGTCTAGACCCATCCTAGAGTTGTCACCTGTGACATTTGCACAGTCAGCTGGAGCCATCTGGAATGTAAAGCCAAAAAATCTGCCTGTCCGCTTCTAATTCAAGAGAGCCTTTAAAGGACTCAGAAAAATCAGACCCGGAGACTTTGTTAAAAAGTGATCTCCAGAGACTATTTGCATTTCAACAAAGTGTTCCATTTTTACCTTTTATCTTGCAAGTTCGAGAGCAGTTTCCATAGTAACTTCTTTGTGGCAATTCAAATATGTTCATGGTAGAAAAATAAATGAGAAAATGCTCCACCCACTCTTCTTCAGGAAAACATATATTTTTTACTAAATGAGCTGACACTTTTAGTAAGGCCAAACCAACACACGTTTTGAAGGAAAAAAAAAAAAAAAAGGCCGGATGTGGTGGCTCACGCCTGTAATCCCAGCACTTTGAGAGGCCAAGGTGGGTGGATCACCGGAGGTCGGGAGTTCGAGACCAGCCTGACCAATATGAAGAAACCCTGTCTCTACTAAAAATACAAAATTAGCTGGGCGTGGTGGCGCATGCCTGTAATCCCAGTTACTCGGGGGGCTGAGGCAGGAGAATCGCTTGAACCCGGGAGGTGGAGGTTGCAGTGAGCTGAGATCGCATACGAAACTCATCTCAAAAAAAATATATATATACATATATACTCAGTTATGTTAATGATGTGTGTTGTGAGAAGCAGTGTAGACAATGGACACTGACTGCTTATTTCATGCGGTCACCTCCCTAGAGTTCCCTTGGGGGAGTTTAATTCATGGTACATGGGTATGGCAGCCATGGAAAAGCACCATTCAGACCTACTTTCAAGAGAACCAGTTGCAAGGAGTGTGGTTGACTGACAGCTTCCTGCTGTCTTCCTCTGGGATCATTTATGCCAACGGCATACTCTCTGTAGGGCTATTCCCAGCAATGACTGAGAAAGGTGTGCTGGAGCCAGGCCATTTCTGCCCAGTGCTGGACTCCTTCACCGGGCAATCATTGACCTGGGCTTCCCATCGACTTGGCCCAGATTTCCTCAAAGCCTTGCTGCAATCAGATACTCTTCCTACCCAATCTTCCTTCCTTCCTTCTCTTCCTTGACAGGTGTCAGAACTTCCTTGTGGTCTCAGACCCTTACCACCTGCTCTTGCTCTCGCTTCCCTTTTTCCTTCATAGGCATTTCCCCTAATATATCTTATACTTCTAATTCCATCTTGGCTTCTGTTTCCTGTAGTACTCAAACTGACACAGCAGGTGAACATTTGCACCTTGGTTTCAGTATTTGGACTCACGAGTCTTGTTTTTGATCACACCTGACTGTTCATCTCCAGAGGTCAGAATATTGGTTTCTTTCTTTCTTTTTTTTTTTTTTTGAGATGGAGTCTCGCTCTGTCACCCAGGCTGGAGTGAAGTGGTGCAATCTTGGCTCACTGCAACCTCCGCCTCCTGGGTTCAAGCAATTCTCCTGTCTCAGCCTCCCGAGTAGCTGGGATTACAGGCATCTGCCACCAAGCCCAGCTAGTTTTTTGTATCTTTAGTAAAGACAGGGTTTCACCATGTTGGTCAGGCTGGTCTTGAACTCCTGACCTCAGGTGATCCACCCGCCTCGGCCTCCCAAAGTGCTGGGATTACAGGTGTGAGCCACTGCTCCTGGCCAGTTTTTTTTTTGTATTTTTAGTGGAGACAGGGTTTCACCATGTTGGCCAGGCTGGTCTTGAACTCCTGACCTCAGGTGGTCCACCTGCCTCGGCCTCCCAAAGTGCTGGGATTACAGGCGTGAGCCACTGCACCCAGCTGTAACCACATTTTCTATTAGGCATCCAAGGGAGAAGAGGAACTTTGGTCTTTCATCCACTGACTCTGACATCTCAAAAGATAACTCTGATTGGCCCAGTTTGGACCATATGCCTATCTTGGGTCCTATCACCTCTAGAGAGGCCTGCCTTACAGAATTTGTAGCCCTAGTAGAACCACATGGAGTGGGGAAAGAAGAAAGACTTCTCTGAAGGAACTCTGAAGAGAATCATGCCCTGGCAGACAAAAGCAAGAGTTGTTTACAACTGTTAAATGTAAGGTGGGGTCTGGGAATTGTACTTTGAAAAAACATTCTAAGTGATTTTGCTGGGGTTTGTGATGCCCTGGGCTAGATGACACAGGTCCTTCTCAGCTCTTGGAATTCCACAAAAGTAGCTGGGTTGGGAAGAACAAAATAGAGAAGACTATCATAGGGGAGGCCTGGCACGGTGCCTCATGCCTGTAATCCCAGCACTTTGGGAGGCTGAGGCGGGCAGATCGCCTGAGGTCAGGAGTTCGAGACCAGCCTGAGCAACATGGTGAAACCCTGTCTCTACTAAAAATATAAAAATTAGCAGGGCATGGTGGCACATGCCTGTAGTCCCAGCTACTCGGGAGACCGCGGCAAGAGAATCACTTGAACCCAGGAGGCAGACGTTGCAGTGAGGCAAGATCGTGCCATTGCACTCCAGCCTAAGCAACAGAGTAAGACTCTGTCTCAAAAAAAAAAAAAAAAAGAAAGAAAGAGAGAAAGAACAAAAGAAAAAACTATAATAGGGAACAGCATAAAAGAAAAGGAAGCAATGCAGAAGGAAGGAGTTAAGTGGTCTGAGGCTGCTGTGATGCTGAGGCTGCGGTGGCGCTGCTGGCATTCTGCAGCAGGTAGACTGATGGCGGGGCATGCCTTCCTTCCTGTTCTGCCGACAGTTGGGCTCTTCTTGGCTGACATTCAGTCCCCTTTCAGGGCTGTCAGTGGGGCTCTCAGGTGGGCCTATTCAGAAAGCTTGATAGGTGCTCTAAAGGGCTAACATATTTGCATTCCTTCTGTGAGAATGGGCATGCTCCAGCAGGAGGAGAGATAGAGGCAAAAATGCTCTTAGAATCATTTCCCTGCCTCCTGGGATGCTCTGTCTTCTCTCTCCTGAAACAGGCGAGCCTGGAGTGGATGTACTGTTCCTAGAGTCTAGACCTCTGAAAATGCCACTCACAGGAAAGTGTCATCAGTGAAGCAACGAGGCCACTTGTGACTGTGGGAATTTATCCTGCATGGTCAAGTCAGAGTCAGGGGTGAGTGGGGTGGATGTCAGAAAGGATGGGCTGGCTGGTTTTTGAGGCAGGGTCCTTCTGGACAAGGTCAGAAAGCTCCTATGCGTCCAGAGTTCACACTGAAGCTCCAACAGAACCTGAACTCTATCAGTTCATCAAAAGAATTGTGCTCTAGGCCCGGGCGTGGTGGCTCACACATGTAATCCCAGCACTTTGGGAGGCCGAGGCAGGCGGATCACGAGGTCAGGAGATCGAGACCATCCTGGCTAACACGGTGAAACCCTGTCTCTACTAAAAAATACAAAAGAAATTAGCCGGGCGTGCTGGCGGGCGCGTGTAATCCCGGCTACTCCATAAGGCCGAGGCAGGAGAATGGCATGAACCCAGGAGGCGGAGCTTGCAGTGAGCTGAGATCGCGCCACTGCACTCCAGCCTGGGCAACTGGGCAACAGAGCAAGACTGTCTCAAAAAAAAAAAAAAAAAAAAAAAATAGAATTGTGCTCTAGACCAGGTGTGGGGATCATACCTGTAAACCCAGCACTTTGAGAGATTGAGGTGGGTGGATCACTTGAACCCAAGAGTTCAAGACTAACCTGGGCAACATGGCTAAAAAAAAAAAATTAGCCGGGCCTGGGGACTTATGCCTGTAGTCCCAGCTAAATGGAGGGCTGAGCAGGAGGACTGCTTGAGTCTGGGAAGGTAGAGGCTGCAGTGAGCTGTGATTGCGCCACTGCACTCCAGCCTGGGTGGCAAAGTAAGACCCTGTCTCAAAAACAAAAAAAACAATTTCTTTGAAAAAACAATATTTAAGGCCGGGCACGGTGGCTCACACCTGTAATCCCAGCACTTTGGAAGGCCAAGGCAGGTGGATCACGAGGTCAGGAGATTGAGACCATCCTGGCTAACACAGTGAAACCCCGTCTCTACTAAAAATATAAAAAATTATCCGGGCATGGTGGCGGGCGCCTGTAGTCCCAGCTACCTCAGGAGGCTGAGGTAGGAGAATGGCGAGAACCTGGGAGGCGGAGGTTGCAGTGAGCTGAGATCATGCCACTGCACTCCAGCCTGGGCGACAGAGCGAGACTGCGTCTCAAAAAAAAAAGAAAAAAGAAAAAACAATATTTAAAAAATACATAAGTAAGAAAATAACTGTGCTGTAGAGAAAGAGCTTACTAAAATGGCGCTCAAAAGAGATGGATGCACAGACCACTGCTCTTTAGTAAACAGAATGTGTGTGGGTAAAGACTTGGGTGGGGTGGGGAGGTCAGTCAGCATAGCCATACTCTGTTGGTGGGAAAGAGTCAATATTTAACATTTATTGAGCACTTGCAATGTTCATGGGGGTTAAAGAGATAACTAACACTTGTTACCCAAGGAACTTATAGCTGGAGGGGAGGAAAAACTTTTCCTCTACCCTCTGACGTTTGTATCCGGGGCCTGTGAATTTAACTGACAAACAACAGATTACCAGGAAAGAATTCGTTTATGTGTACAATGTGCATACAAGAGGGAGTGCTCAGTGATGAGTAACTCGAGTAACTCAAAGGGGTGGTTAGAATGTGAGGCTTAGATACCTAATTTAGTAGGGGAAGAGGAGCAGGGAGAAAAGATTCCTATGGGAAGAACAAGTAGGTTTCCCCAGGGAAGACAAATAGGTGTTTTTGGAGAACAAATGGGAGATAAGAAAGTTTGTGATCATGTTTTTCTTTAAGCACAAATATATATTTTTTGTAGAGACATATATATATAATACATATATATAAAATACATATATATAAAAATACATATTTTATATATATATATATATATATTTTTTTTGTAGAGATGATTTCTCACTATGTTCAGCTCTCACTATGCTGCCCAGGCTGGTCTTGAACTCCTGGGCTCAAGCAATCCTCCTGCCTCAGCCTCTCAAAGTGTTGGGATTATAGACGTGAACCACCACGTCTGGCCATGTTTTTCTATATAGATATGAATAGTCTTTCTGTCTCCTTTAGGGCCATGAAACTTCCCAGAGAAGGGCTTTCTGGTAGATTTACTCTTGGTCTGTCTCCTAGGGGTAGAAGCTGCCCCAGAGAAGGAATTTATGGCAGTCTTCACTACTCAGACAAACAACCAATTAGCAAGGAAGAATTCGTTTACATGTGTATATGTGCAATGTGCATAGAGTTTCTGCCTTGAGTCAGATAAGAGAAGCTCCAAGAAGGCTTCTTTCTGCATCTGTTGAATCTCAAATGTCTTCAGCTTAAAATAATCTTTATATCAACTCTGGGGGGCCACGTGGGCCCCCACATAGTCTAATATGGAAGATAGACATATAAGCCAACCCAACCACAGTAAGATATTTAAGGAGGCAGTGCAGTGTGTGGGGAGGAGTTCAGAACACTAGCTTTGGTGTCAGCAGGACTTTGATACAAACCCAGGCTCTACCACAGAGCTGTGTGACCTTGGCCAAATAACTTAACCTTTCAGGTCTCAGCTCCCTCACTGGAAAAATGGGGCTAATAAGAGTCCCCGTCTCATTGGATTGTCGTGAGGAGTGAATGAGATGACATAAATTTCTAGCATAGCACCTGGAGTGTAACAGAGACTAAGAAAGATCCATTACTGCTAAACTGTTTGTATCCGGAGATCTCAGCAATGTGGGAGAGAGTGTTACAGCAGGTTCATTAAGTATTTCAATAAATATATATGTTTGGGCACTTGCCCATTGCGAAGAATTGTTCTGTGAAAAACAGACATAATTCCTGTTCTCATGGAGTTTACAGTCTAATAGAGGAGATGGATATCAAACAAATAATGCCATGATAAATCTATCATCGCAAACCATGATGAATGCTGTGGAAGAAAAGAACAAGGTGCTATGAGAGATTATAACAGTGATATTTTATCTAGATTGGGGAGGGGCGTGGCCCAGGAAAGGCCTATCTGAGAAAGTGACATTTAAGATGAGAGTGTAAGGATAATTTTGAGTTGATGAGGTAAAGAATGTTCCAGATAGACAGACCAGCCTGCACCAAGGCCTTGGGGAGGATGTAGCTCGGTGTGTTCTGGTACCTGAAAGAAGGCCCCTGAGGTGGGGTTGGGGAGATGGGCAGAGATGAGCCTGGGAGGTGAGCGTGGACCTGCTAGTTATTTGTCTGTGCAATCCATTCTCTATCCTCTGTCCTGCCCTCTGCCCTTCTGACCTCTAAGAGCTCCATGACCTGCATTCTCATGGCTTCTGGCTTCCAGAGGGTTCTGCCAATTTTGTGAGGGGATGCAAAGATGGAAGAAAGAGAAGTCATGGTACTTCTTCCCCTGCACACCTGCTTTGTCACATGCTTCTGGCATTGGGCCCTCTGTGGCCACTGCTGGTGTCAGGCAGCTCCCCTTCTGAGTTTCCTTCCCTTGTCTCTTCAGGCTTTGGGTGGCAACGTCTTCACCGTGATGTGAACCCCTGGATGCTTGCCCAAATGCTGTTGGCTTCCTCACCCTGCTGGCACTGCAGTAAACTGTCTCCTCACTACGGGGTCTTTGGCTACACTCCTGAGAATGCCAGTGTTTCCTGCTGGGACGCTGACTAACATAAGGGGTCACAACATGGAAGGAATTGTATGTCAAGTTAAGGACACAGCCTTCTTAGATTATTTTAGGTGCAACAGGAAGCTACAGACATGCTATAGTCACTTCCATGTCCCTTTATCTTCTCCCAGCTGTAGCCCCATTTCTCTGCTCCCTGTAACAGAAGGCTGTCCTCTTCACAAAAAGGCTCCTCTTCATTAATTCCTAAGCTACAGTTGACCACTTCTTCCTTCTCAAAATTCCTCTCTTAGCTTTCATGGCCCCAGAATCTTCTGGTTCTTCTTGTATTTCAGGCTCCTTGGAAAACTTTCATTTTTTCTCTCCCAGCTTCTAGATATTGGCAGGGTGGGGTCTCTAGGGCTTACTTTTCTCCTTTGCTGCCAATGTCAACCACAGTCATCTCTCTAGATAACTGAACTATTGCAAATACCTGTATTTGTCTCTCCAAAAATCTTTTTTTTTTTTTTGAGACAGAGTCTCACTCTGTTGCCCGGGTGGGGGTGCAGCCATACAATTGGCTCACTGCAACCTCTGCCTCCTGGGTTCAAGCGATTCTCCTGTCTCAGCCTCGCAAGTAGCTGGGATTACAGGCACCCACCACCATGCCTGGCTAATTTTTGTATTTTTAGTAGAAATATGGTTTCGCCATGTTGGCCAGGCCAGTCTCAAACTCCTGACCTCGAGTGATCCGCCCACCTCAGCCTCCCAAAGTGCTGGGATTACAGGCGTGAGCCACCACATCTGGACTCCAAAAGCCTTTTGAATCACAAATTCGACCACATTACTATCTGCACAAAATACTTCCATGGCTCCCCATGGCACTTGGAATCCAAACTTGATCTACCAGGTGTCTATACCTGATACTGTGACCGCTTGTGGATTGGGACTAAGGCCAGTTCCCAGAAAAAGGGGTGATGGTGGCCATAGGCTCAGCAGTTACCACTAAAATTGGTCATTGACACTGTGGCAGTACAGTATTCCCCCCATCCTAAGAGGATATATTCCAAGAGATGCTTGAAACTGCACATAGTACCAAACCCTCTATACACTATGTTTTTTCCTATACATACATACCTATGATAAAGTTTAATTTATAAATTAAACACAGTGATATAGTTTGGCTATGTCCCTACCCAAATCTCTTCTTGAATTGTAGCTCCCATAATCCCCATGTGTTGTGAGAGGGACCCAGTGGGAGTTAATTGAATCATGGGGGTGGGTTTTTCCCATGCTGTTCTTGTGATGGTGAATAAGTTTCAGGAGATCTGATGGTTTTATAAAGGGCAGTTCCCCTGCACACACTCCCTTGCCTGCTGCCATGTAAGACATGCCTTTGCTCCTCCTTTGCCTTCCACCATGATTGTGAGGCCTCTCAGCCATGTGGAACTGTGAGTCCATGAAACCTCTTTTTCACGCCAGGCACCGTGGCTCACACCTGTAATCCCAGCACTTTGGGAGGCTGAGGTGGACAGATCACTTGAGTTCAGGAGTTCAAGACCACCCTGACCAACATGGTGAAAGTCCATCTCTACTGAAAATACAAAAAATATCCAGGTGTCATGGCAGGCACCCGTAAGCCCGGCTGCTTGGGAGGCTGAGGCATGATAATACCTTGAACCTGGGAGGCGGAGGTTGCGGTGAGCCAAGATTGCACCACTGCACTCTAGCCTGGCTGACAGAGTGAGACTCTGTCTCAAAAAACATGTCTTTTTCTTTATAAATACCCAATCTTGGGTACTTCTTCATAGTATGAAAACGGACTTGGTCGGGCACAGTGGCTCACACCTGTAATCCCAGCACTTTGGGAGGCCGACACGAGCAGATCACCTGCAGTAAGGAGTTCAAGACCAGCCTGACCAACATGGAGAAACTCTGTCTCTACTAAAAATACAAAATTAGATGGGCATGGTGGTGCATGCTTGTAATCCCAGCTACTTGGGAGGCTGAGGCAGGAGAATCGCTTGAACCTGGGAAATGGAGGTTGCAGTGAACCGAGGTTGTGCCATTGCACTCCAGCCTGGGCAACAAGAGCGAAATTCTATCTCAAAAAAAAAAAAGAAAAAAAAGAAAGTGGGCTAATACGCGCAATAAGAGATTAACAACAATAATAATAAATAGAATAGTTGGCTGGGTGTGGTGGCTCATGCCTGTAATCCCAGCACTTGGGAAGGTTGGAAGGTAGGAAGACGGCTTGAGCCCAGGAGTTTTAGACCAGCCTGGGCAATGTGGTGAAACCCTGTCTCTACAAAAAAATACAAAAAATTAGCCTGGTATGGTGGCACATTCCTGTAGTCCCAGCTACTTGGGAGGCTGAGGTGGGAGAATAGATTAAGACTGGGAGGCAGAGGTTGCAGTGAGCCAAGACTGTGCCACTGCACTTCAGCCTAGGTGACAGAATGAGACCCTGTCTCAAAAAATTTAAATAATAAAAGAGAACAATTATAACAATATACTGTAATAAAAGTTATGTAAATGTATTCTCTCTCTCTCTGTCAAAATATCCTATTGTTGGCTGGGTATGGTGGCTCATGTCTGTAATCCCAGCACTTTAGGAGGACAATGCCCAGGATTGCTTGAGCCCAGGAGGTTGAGACCAGCCTGGGCAACATACCGAGACCCTGTCTCTTAAAAAAAAATTAAGAAAAAGATCCTGTTGTACCATACTCACCCTCCTTGTGATGATGTGAGATAATACAATGCCTACTTGATGAAATGAAGTTAGGTGAATGTCATAGGCATTGTGGTGTAGTATTAGACTAGTAGTGACCTTCTGATGATTCATCAGAAGGAGAAGCATCTGTTTCAGGTGATCCTGGATCATCCAGCCATGACAATATCCATGGTTGGATGTCAGGAGCAGAAACTCTCCATGACTAACGGGCAGTGGTAGACAGCGTGGATCCACTGGCCAAAGGAATGATTCACATTCCAGGTGGGATGGAGCTGGATGGCATGAGATTTCATCATGCTACTCAGAACGGCTGCTCAGAACATTGAGCAATTTAAAATGTAGTATTGTTTCTTTCTGGAATTTCCCATTTAATATTTTCAGAGTACAGTTGAGCGTGGGTAACTGAAAGTGTGGAAAGCAAAACTGTGAATAAGAGGGGACTTCTGTACATTCTTCTTTTACATCATATTTATATTCTAGCCAATCCTTCCTGAGAATCAGTCTTCAGGGTATTGATTGAATTTTTGTAGCACTTTAGACTTTCTGTTTAGATTTGGAAGTCACCAAGGTTTGGTTCACAATTCGTTTACAAGCCCTCCCTGCAGTGAGGTTACTTCTTGATATTCTCATTCTTTGCTGTGTTAATTTGACTAATTTCAGAACATACTCTTTTCTTCTTTTTAATGCTACGTATCTATTCTGGTGACACCCTGTTATTAGAGAATACAAGTGTCATGACTTTTGTTTTGCTTTGTTTGGAAGTGGTGTCTGCCCATGGAAACTGATTTTCCTGTGTGCTGGCAGTTCTCCAGGAGGATCACTTGCGTCTTATGGCCTCTGGTGGGTGGTATTCAAACCTAGTTCCTCTTGGGAAGGTTTATGAGAATTTCCCTGTTTTTGATGATTCATCCTGAAAAGTGGTGGGTCACTGATTGAAATCCAACATCTGACAGATTCAAACACCTATGGGGAGGGGAGGGAGTGGAAAGTAAGATAGCAAGTAGTAGTAGTATCATTTTTAATACAGATTTATTCTGTTTCTTCAAATTTTTTCTTTGAAATGTTTTTATTAGTTTTTTTAATTACAAAAGTAAAATATGGTCATATGTCCTCATCTATCTACCCTTTGATGCAGCAATTCAACCCGTAGGTACTTATCCAAGAGAAATAAAAAGCTATATCAAAATTCTCATGTAAGAATGTTCCATAGCAGCTTTTTTCACAATAGCCAAAAACCAGAAATGACCCAAATGTCCTTCAACAGGGTATGGATAAACAAATTGTGGAATATCATTGGAATAGACTATGACTCACCAACAAAAAGGAATGAATGACTGATATATACAACAACCTGGATGAATCTCCCAGATAAAAGTGAGCAAAGAAGCTGGGCACAGTGGCTCTGTAGTCCTAGCACTTTGGGGGCTGAGGTGGGTGGATCACTTGAGGTCAGGAGTACGAGACCAGCCTGGTCAACGTGGTGAAACCCCGTCTCTACAAAAATTAGCTGGGCATTGTGGCACGCGCACCTGTAACCCCAGCTACTCAGGAGGCTGAGGCATGAGAATTGCTTGAACCTGGGAGGCGGAGGTTGCAGTGAGATGAGATTGCGCCACTACACTCCAGCCTTGGTGACAGAGCAAGACTCTGTCTCAAAACAACAACAACAACAAAAAACAAACAAACAAACTAAAACCAAAAATTAGCCGGGTGTGGTGGCAGGGGCCTGTAATCCCAGCTACTTGGGAGACTGAGGCAGGAGAATCACTTGAACCCGGCAGGTGGAGGTAGCAATGAGCTGAGATCGCACCACTACACTGCAGCCTGGGCAACAAGAGCCACACTCCATCTCAAAAAAAAAAAAAAAAAAGTGAGCAAAAGAAGCTGCACACAAAAAGTTATGGCTCCGGTTATGTACAATTCTAGAACAGGAAAAACTAATCCAAGGCAAAAAAAAAAAAAAAAAATTACCACGTTTGCCTGAGGTAGACGGAGCAGTGAGAACAAGAGAATTAAAAGTAGGCTGGGCACGGTGGCTCTTGCCTGTAATCCCAGCACTTGGGGAGGCCTAGGTGGGCAGATCACCTGAGCTCAGGAGTTCAAGGCCAGCCTAGTCAACATGGCGAAACCCTGTCTCTACTAAAAATACAAAAAATTAGCCGGGCGTGGTGGCATGCACCTGTAGTCCCAGCTACTTGGGAGGCTAAGGCAGGAGAATCATTTGAACCTGGGAGATGGAGGTTGCAGTGAGCTGAGATCATGCCACTGCATTCCAGCCTGGGTGACAGAGTGAGACTTCATCTCAAAAAAAAAAAAAAAGTAAAAGTAGAGCCAGGTATAGTGGCATGAGCCCATAGTCTTAGCTACTTGGGAGGCTGAGGCAGGAGGATTTCTTGAGCCTGGGAATTTGAGACCAGCCTGAACAACACAGTGGAATCCTGTCTCAAAAATAAACAAATAAATAAAAGTAATATACATTCATTTTAACAAGCAAAACAATCCACCTGTATAAAGAAAAATTTAATATGGTAATTTTGTTAAAATCTCAGTATTTTTTTTCACACTCCATCCATGCTCAGACAGATACAAACAATAATACATGCACATATGTAAATTTTGTTTTGGGATCATGCTAAAGTGCTTGCTTTAAAAAATACTCAATAGTTTATCATGGATATGCCTCCAGTTCAATAAATATAGATGTAACTCATTCTTTTTCTCATGTCTCAATAATGGTGTAATACCTTAATATGAATGTACCATAATTTATTGAACCATTCTCCTATTGATGGATAGTCAGATCATGTATTCATTTATTTATTTATTTTTATTTTTATTTCTTTTTTGAGACAGAGTCTCGCTCTGTCGCCAGGCTGGAGTGCAGTGGTACAATCTAGGCTCGCTGCAACCTCTGCCTCCCCAGTTCAAGCGATTCTCCTGCCTCAGCCTCCCGAGTAGCTGGGACTACAGGCGCACACCACCTCACCTGGCTAATTCTTGTATTTTTCGTAGAGACGGGGTTTCACCATGTTGGCCAAGCTGGCTCGAACTCCTGACCTCAAGGGATCCACACGCCTCGGCCTCCCAAAGTGCTGGGATTACAGGCGTGAGCGACTGTGCCCGGCCTTAGATCATGTATTTATTTACCAAAAATTAAAAAAAATAGAGATGGAGTCTTGCTATGTTGGTCTTGAATTTCTGGGCTCAAGTTATCTGCCCACCTAGGCCTCCCAAAGTGCTGGGATTACAGGTATGAGTCCCCTTGCCTGGCCAAGTCAGATTATTTCTATTTTTGGCTTTGCTATGGTAAATAATGTTGCAATAAAATAAATATTTCTTGGCAGGTCACAATGGCTCACGCCTGTAATCCCAGCACTTTGGGAGGACGAGATGGGTGGATTGCCTGAGGTCAGGAGTTCGAGACCAGCCTGGGCAACATGGTGAAACCCCGTCTCTACTAAAAATACAAAAATTATCCGAGCATGGTGCCACATGCCTGTAATCCCAGCTACCTCGGGACACTGAGGAAGGAGAATTGCTTGAACCTGGGAGGTGGAGGTTGCAGTGTGCTGAGATCACGCCACCGCACTCCAGCCTGGGCGACAGAATGAGACTCCGTCTCAAAACCAAAAAGGGATGTTTCTACATTTATCTTTACATATGGTTTTTAGAATAGATTCTCAAAAATGGGTATAGGGGAAGATTTGTGTTTATTTAATTGGATATTGGCAGACTGTATACCAAAGAAGTTATAGGGCGGTTCTCACTCTCACCAAGCAACACATTGAAGAGCCTGTTTTGTCACATCCTCACAAGCACTGGATGCCATTGCTCTTTGGAATGCTTGCCAACTGGATTGATAAAAATAAGTTGCTTTGATTTCAAAGTGTTTATAGTTGAGGCAAACCTGTGTTTTTATACCTTTTGTAGAAACGCCTTTTAACATCTCTCCTGTTTTTCTGTTCTATTTCTTCTTGGTCAGTACGGCTCAGACCTGTCAAAACTGCTCTTTTAGGTGTATTGGGAGATGGAAGGCAGGCATCCAGGGAAGGAGTCATTCCCATCGCTTGTTTTTCTTCTGCTTCAAATACTCTGTCTAACAGAAAGAATGGAATGAATGATACACCCAGAGATCCGAAAGCAGTTGCAGACCCTAGTTCAGTGGCCCATGGCAGAGACACCAAAAAGAAAAGAGTGATTTACATCAGAAACGGGTTCCTCCAGTAAGATTGCCACCACCTTGCTCATTCTAGCACTGTGTTTCCATCCGCCTCCTTGATGTAGATGTAAACTGGCTCAGACAGAGTGAGTCAGAAAGGTCTTCCCTAGCTACTCTGCCTGAGGTTGGTTTTCTCTGTCATTCCCTGTCACAGTAGCCTATGTATTTTCATCCCGGTACCAACAAATGTCTGTGATTATTTAATGAATTTATTAATTTGCTTATATTAGGGAGGGCCACAGCAGAAAACAGAACTCAAAAGGGTTTTGTTGAACAGAATGATGGGAAAGAACTATTTACGGAGGCAAGGTTAGGGTTAAGGGTGTTATCAAGGGTGTGGAGGCACTTGTGACCCCATTACTTCCTGTTTCAGTTATCTATTGTTGTGAAAGAGACCACCCCAAAACCTAATGACTTTGAAAAACAAATACCTGGCTGGGCCTTATGCAACCTTCAACTCCCAGGGTTAGGCGATCCTCCCACCTCAGCCTCCTGAGGAACTGGGACTACAGGCATGCACCACCATGCCCGGCTAATTTTTTGTATTTTTTGTAGAGACTGGGTTTTGCCATGTTGCCTAGGCTGGTTTGAACCCCTGGACTCAAACGACCCACCTGCCTCAGCCTCCCAAAGTGCTGGGATTACAGGCATGAGCCACCGTGCCCAGCCTACTATAGTTTTTATCTGTCTTTCATATAAGAATATAAGCTCCTTGAAGGCAAAGCCATGGCCATCATGATTACAGCTGATTCCCTAGTGTCTAGCAAATGTCCAACACTTCCCAAGTGCTCAGTAAAATAGTAAAATATGCAGAATTAAGTTCACTTATCTGTGAATGAATCATAAACTCGACCTTTCTTCTTTCTAATGCTACAGAGGAAATGCCTGAGACTGAAGTAGGAAGATTAGTGAGGAAAAGAGTCGGTTGGTCCTGAAGCTGGATTTCAGCCACAGTGTCACTTTGGGGCTAGTCATTGTATAAAGTATAAATGCATACTCACTAGAGATTGGCATGGATGATATTAGAATGCTTCTAGAGTTTCAAGAACCAATCTGGTCTCCCTGATGATTTGCTGAGCATTGTTATTTCCTTACTTGGGTCCTTGATGATGAGCTTAGGTGCCCTGAATTAGTGATTTGCTTTCCTTAATGTAGCACCTGTGAGAAGCCAGAAGTTAATTTTATAAAAATTGAGATATAATTCACATATGATAAAATTCACTCTTGTGACAATTCAGTGATTTTTTTAGCATGTTCACAAGGTATGAAACCATTTCATTATCTAATTCCAGAACAGATGCACAGAACCACACCCAGCAAATGTTGCCTAGGCTGGTCTTGAACTCCTGACCTCAAGCAATCCTCATGACCGTCCCTTCAAAACCAGCATCCATCAGCAGTTACCTCCCTTCCCTGTTTCCCCCCAACACCTAGCAACCATTAGTATACTTTCTATGTCTATAGATTTGCCTATTCTGGACAGTTTACATAAATGGAATTATACAATATGTGGTATTTTGTGTCTGGCTTCTTTCACTAAAAGTGATGTTTTCAAGATTCATCCATGCTGTAGCATATATCAGTGCTTCATTTCTCTTTTATGTATGATTATTATTGCATTGTATGATATCCATACTTTGTTTAATCCATGAATCTTTTTTTTTTTTTTTTTTTTTTGAGACAGAATCTCCCTCTGTCACCCAGGCTGGAGTGCAGTGGCACCATCTTGGCTCACTGCAAGCTCCGCCTCCCGGGTTCACACCATTCTCCTGCCTCAGCCTCCCCAGTAGCTGGGACTACAGGTACCTGCCACTGCACCCAGCTAATTCTTTGTATTTTTAGTAGAGATGGGGTTTCACCGTGTTAGTCAGGATGGTCTCGATCTCCTGACCTCGTGATCCGCCCGCCTTGGCCTCCCAAAGTGCTGGGATTACAGGCGTGAGCCACCGTGCCCGGCCCATGAATCTTTTTTTTTTTTTTGAGATGGAGTCTCACTCCATCACCCAGGCTGCAGTGCAGTGGTGCAGTCTCGGCTCACTGCAGCCTCTACCTCCTGGGTTCAAGCAATTCTCCTGCCTCAGCCTCCCAAGTAGCTGGGACTACAGACCTCTGCCATTGCGCCCGGTTAAATTTTTTTTTTTTTTTTGGTATTTTTAGTAGAGACAGGGTTTTACCAGGTTGCCCAGCCTGGTCTCAAACTCCTGATCTCAAGTGATCCACCCACCTCGACCTCCCAAAGTGTTGGGATTATAGGCATGAGCCACTGTGCCCTGTCCCATGCAACAGATTTTATTTTATTTCATTAAAAAATTTTTTTTACAGACAGGGCCTAGCTCTGTTACCCAAGCTGGAGTGCAGTGGGGCAATAATAGCTCATTTGCAGCTTCAAAATCCTGGACTCAAGCGATCCTCCCACTTCAACTTCTCAGTACTCCTAGGACTAAAGGCCCACACCAGCACCACAACTGGCTAATTAAAAAAATTTTGTTTTAGAAACAAGGTCTCTAAAAAATATTCTGGCTATGTTGCCTAAGCTGGTCTTGAACTCCTGACCTCAAGCAATCTTTTTGCTTCAGCCTCCAAAGTGCTGGGATTATAGGCACGAGCCACCATGCCCAGCCCATGCAGCCATTGATATACTTTTGGGTTCTACTTTTTGGCTACTATGAATAATGCTGCTCTGAACACTTGTATACAAATTTTTCTGCAGAAATGTTTTCAATCCTCTTGAGTATATACCTATAAATGGAACTGATAGGTCACATGGTAACTCTGTGTTTTTGCTTGTTTGTTTTTTAGAGACAAGCGCTTGCTATGTTGTCCAGGCTGGCCTCAAACTCCTGGGTTCAAGCAATCCTCCTACCTCAGCCTCTGGAGTCTATATTTAAGTTTCTGAGTAGCTGCCAGACTGATTTACAAAGCGGCATTACCATTTTACATTCTTCCCAGCAATGTATGAGGGTTTTAATTTCTCCACATCCTGGTTACAATGTATTATCTACTGTTGCATCATGAGGTTTAAAAAAAAAAAAAGAAAAAGAGAAAAGAGAACTTACTATCATCTGTCTTTTTTATTGTTAGGTATGAAGTAGTATCTCATTTTTTTTTTATTTATGTTTCCCTGTTGGTTAGTGATGTTGAATATCTTTTTATGTGCTTATTTGCCATTTGTACTTTTTTTTTTTTTTGCTCTTGTTACGTAGGCTGGAGTGCAATGGTGTGATCTCAGCTCACTGCAACCTCTGCCTCCCAGGTTCAAGTGATTCTCCTGCCTCAGCCTCCCGAGTAGCTGGGATTACAAGCACCTGCCACCACACCCAGCTAATTTTATATTTTTGGTAGAGACAGGGTTTCTCCATGTTGGTCAGGTTGGTCTTGAACCCCCAACCTCAGGTGATCCACCCGTCTCTGCCTCCCAAAGTACAGTGATTATAGGTGTGAGCCATTGCACCCTCTGCCTTATTTATTTATGAGACAGAGTCCTGCTCTTTTGCCCAGGCTGGAGTGCGGTGATGAGATATTGGCTTGCTGCAACCTCCGCCTCCCGAGTTCAAGCAATTCTTCTGCCTCAGCTTCCCAAGTAGCTGGAACTACAGATGCACACCACCACACCCAGCAAATTTTTGTATTTTTAGTAAAGATGGCATTTCACTATGTTGGTCAGGCTGGTCTCGAACTCCTGAGCTCAAGTAATCTGCCTGCCTTGGCCTCCCAAAGTGCTAGGATTACAGGCATGAGCCACAGCGCCTGGCCCCATCTCTATTTAAATGAATGAATGAATGAATGAATGAATGAATAAAACTATTGCCTAATGTGAGGTCCTGAAGATTTACCCCTACATTTCTTTTTTTTTTTTTGAGACACAGTCTTGCTTTGTCACCCAGGCTGGAGTGCAGTGGTGCAATCTCTGCACACTGCAACCTCCACCTCCCAGGTTTAAGCGATTCTCCTGCCTCAGCCTCCCAAGTAGCTGGGATTACACACATACACCACCACACCTGGCTATTTGTTTATGTGTTTTAGTAGAGACAGGGTTTCACCGTGTTGCCCAGGCTGGTCTTGAACTCCTGAGCTCAGGCAATCCATCTGCCTTGGTCTCTCAAAGTGCTAGTGAGAGGTGACAATGTGTTAGCAGCCCTCGATTGCTCTCAGTGCCTCCTCTGCCTTGGCATCCACTCTGGCCATGCTTGAGGAGCCTTTCAGCCTACCACTGCCCCTCTCTGGGCTGGCTGAGGCCAGAGCCAGCTCCCTCTGCTTGCGGGTAGGTGTGGAGGGAGAGGTGCGGGCATGCTCACGGGCCAGCGCAAGTTCCGGGTGGGCATGGGCTCAGCAGGCCCCGCACTCAGAGCTGCCAGCTGGCCCCAGGCAGTGAGGTCCTTAGCACCCGGGCCAGCAGCTGAGGAGGGGGCACCGGGTCCCCCAGCACTGCCGGCCCACCTGTGCCATGCTCAAATTCTCGCTGGGCCTCAGCTGCCTCCCTGCGGGGCAGGGCTCGGGACCTGCAGCCTGCCATGCCCGAGCCCCCTGAACGGGGGGATCTCACGTGGCCTGAGCCTCCCCAACAGGTGCCACCCCCTGCTCCATGGTGCCCAATCCCATCGACCACCCAAGGGCTGAAGAGTGCAGGCGTGTGGCACAGGACTGGCGGGCAGCTCCACCTGCGGCCTCGGTGTGGGATCCACTAGGCGAAGCCAGCTGGGTCCTGAGTCACGTGGGGTCTTGGAGAACTTTTACATGTAGCTGGAGGATTGTAAATGCACTAATCAGTACTCTGTGTCTAGCTCAAGGTTTGTAAACGCACCAATCAGCACTCTGTGTCTAGCTCAAGGTTTGCAAATGCACCAATCAGCACTCTGTGTCTAGCTAGAGGGTTGTAAATGGACCAATCAGTGCTCTGTGTCTAGCTCAGGGATTGTAAACGCACCAATCAGCACCCTGTCAAAACGGACCAATCAGCTCTCTGTAAAACAGACCAATCCACTCTCTGTAAAACGGACCAATCAGCTCTCTGTAAAATGGACCATTCAGCAGGATGTGGGTGGGGCCAGATAAGGGAATAAAAGCAGGCTGCCCGAGGCAGCAGTGGCAACCCACCCAGGTCCGTTTCCACACTGTGGAAGCTTTGTTCTTTCACTCTTTGCAATAAATCTGGCTGCTGCTCACTCTTTGGGTCCACACTTCTTGTATGAGCTGTAACACTCACTGCGAAGGTCTGCAGCTTCACTCCTGAGGCCAGCGAGACCTCGAACCCACCGGGAGGAATGAACAACTCTGGACAGGAGGAATGAACAACTCTAGATGTGCTGCCTTAAGAGCCGTAACACTCACCAACAGGGTCTGCAGCTTCATTCTTGAAGTCAGTGAGACCAAGAATCCACCAATTCCAGACACATTTTGGCGACCAGATGGGACTATCGCCAAGCGGTGAGACCATTGCCTATGGCTGAGCAGTGAGACTGTCACCTATCGCCAAGCAGTGAGTACCATCGGACCCCTTTCACTTGCTATTCTGTCCTACTTTTCCTTAGAATTCGGGGGCTAAATGCTGGGCACCTGTCGGCCAGTTAAAAGCGACTAGTTTAGCCGCTGGACTAAAGACATGGGTGTCAGGCTTCCTGGGAAAGGGCTTTCTCTAAAAACCCCCGACTCTTCGGCGTTGGGAGTGTTGGTTTGCCTGGAACCAGCTTCTGCTTTTCCTGTACTTCAGGGCTGAGCTGAGGGTTGACAGAGAGGAAAGCCATTCAGCTCTGGGGTCCTGACAACAAGTTGGTTGAGCCTGTGGCCATGAGTGGAACTCTCAAAGGCATGTTGCCCAAGCGAGACTCGCCCATCTATCCTACCTATCCTGATCCTTGCCCTCTGTGTCCTAATGCCTGCCAGACAAACTTCCTCTCGCCTCTCTTCTCCGAGGCTAGTCCTGCTTCTAAAAATCGCTCCCTGTCTCTGGTGCTTTTCTAGTTTCTTCTATAAGAATGATTTCTAGTATAAACTCCAGGACTCTGTTACCTTCTTTAGACACCCGGGCTCACCAATCAGAAAGACAAAATTTTTGGCCAAAGACTCGTTGGGGGTACTATCTGGAATTTTAGGATCCCTCCTCAGACAAGTAGGCCTAACAAAAGCTATTCCTGAAGCTAGGATATGGGGAGCCTCAGAAATTGTATCCTTCCTCACTATTCATATAAGTGAGGACAAAAGGCATCACTCTTCCAACTCTGGGTTGGCATCACTCTTCCAACTCTTCCCTCCCTCAGGGCATGGCCCTCCACTTCATTTTATGGGCATAACATCTTTATAGGACATGGGTAAGGTCCCAATACTAACAGTAGAATGCTTAGGACTCTAACAGGTTTTCGAGACTGCATCAGTAAGGTTAGCCACTAAATCCGATTTTTCTTGGTCCTCTTTGTGGTCTAGGAGGACAGGCAAGGGTGCAGGTTTTCAAGAATGCATCAGTAAGGGCCACTAAATCCGACCTTCCTCGGTTCTCCTTGTGGTCTGGGAGGAAGACTAGTGTTTCTGCTGCTGCGTTGGTGAGAGCAATTATTCCAATCAGCAGGGTCCAGGGACCGTTGCGGGTTCTTGGGCAGGGGTTGTTTCTGCTGCTGTCAGTGAGCACAACTATTCTGATCAGCAGGGGCCAGGGACCATTGCAGGTTCTTGGGCAGGGGGAGAAAAAAACAAATCAAAACCGCAGGCAGTTTTTGTCTTTCAGATGGGAAACACTCAGGCATCAACAGGCTCACCCTTGAAATGCATCCTAAGCCATTGGGACCAATTTGACCTGCAAACCCTGAAAAAGAGGCAGCTCATTTTTTTCTGCACTACGGCTTGGCCTCAATATTCTCTCTGATGGGGAAAAATGGCCACCTGAGGGAAGTACAAATTACAATACTATCCTGCAGTTTGACCTTTTCTGTAAGAGGAAAGGCAAATGGAGTCAAATACCTTATGTCCAAGCCTCCTTTTCATTGAGGGAGAATACACAACTACGCAAAGCTTGCAATTTACATCCCACAGGAGGACCTCTCAGCTTACCCCCATATCCTAGCCTTCCTATAGCTCCCCTTCCTATTAATGATAATCCTCCTCTAATCTCTCCTGCCCAGAAAGAAATAAGCAAAGAAATCTCCAAAGGACCACAAGAATCCTCAGGCTATTTGTTATGTCCCCTTCAAGCTGTCGGGGGAGGGGAATTTGGCCCAACCCGGGTACATGTCCCCTTCTCCCTCTCTGATTTAAAGAAGATCAAGGCAGACCTGGGGAAGTTTTCAGATGATCCTGATAGGTACATAGATGTCCTACAGGGTCTAGGGCAAACCTTCGACCTTGCTTGGAGAGATGTCATGCTACTGTTAGATCAAACCCTGGCCTTTAATGAAAAGAATGCGGCTTTAGCTGTAGCCCAAGAGTTTGGAGATACCTGGTATCTTAGTTAAGTAAATGATAGAATGACAGCTGAAGAAAGGGATAAATTCCCTTCCGGTCAGCAAGCCATC